>NC_000005.10:157276475-157579505 GCF_000001405.40 Homo sapiens
CTCACTTGTTCATGATGCATAATCTTTTTTATATGTTTCTGGATTCAGTTTTGCTGAGGCACTAACTTTTATCGAGCACTTTCTACCAGCCAAGCCATTTACATGGACTAACTCATTGAGTTTTCAAAGCCTAAGAGATAGGAACTATCATTATCCCTTATACCAAAATGAAGAGAGTGAGGCTCAGAAAGGTTATGTCACCTACTCAAGGTCACACAACTAGGTATTGGCAGAGGTAAGATTCTAACTCAAGCTATCCAGTTCACCTCCACACTAAAATGCCTCTCATATGGATATCAGTGGTGGACATGGGATGATTTTCAGATAATACCCAGACCTGTGTTTATGTTCATTACTATGTTTTTTATGGCTCCTCTGTTTATGGCATATAATATTAGTTTTCTCTCTGTGATTGTGATATAAAGCTTCCTTCTAAAATGAAAAGTGGCAAAAAAGAGAATCCCTAGAAAAAAATATTAAGTAAGAATTATCCTGGCAGTTTATGGATATGACTATGTATTCTATGCTGATTTAAATTATCTGTATGGGTTTTTTCTCTTTTTCTTTTTTTTTTTTGTGACAGAGTCTCGCTTCGTCACCCAGGCTGGAGTACAGTGGCTCAATCTCAGCTCACTGCAACCTCCACCTCCCAGGTTCAAGCAATTCTGCCTCACCCTCCCGAGTAGCTGGGACTACAGGTGCGCACCACTATGCCCAGCTAATTTTTGTATTTTTATTAGGGATGAGGTTTCACCATGTTGGCCAGGCTGGTCTCGAACTCCTGACCTCAGGAGATCCGCCCATCTTGGCCTCCCAAAGTGTTGGGGTTACAGGCATGAGCCACTGAGTCTGGCCTTATCTGTGTAGCCACCAAGTCCGGTCTTATCTGTGTAGCCACCGAGTCTGGCCTTATCTGTGTTATTAATAGTGAAGGAGAAGGAATGGAAAAACTAGAAGTAAGGACATGGCCAACTTCAGGTCGTCTCCTCTCTCCTATGTTGTCAGGAGATTGAGGTGTGTTCATGAATTCTTTCATTCAGTACTTCCCCAGTGCCTAATCTGTTTGCAGCACTCTGCTAAGGTCTCTGCATTTTCAGTGATAGGTAAGAAAATGGTCCCTGACCTTGAGGAGCTTTCACATGCATGGTTCTACTCCAGAGAGGGCATGTTATGTTTTATTTCATGGGCAAACTCAGATTGATTGCTGGTGGCTTCCTGGAGCTCAGTATTTCATGAGGATTCTGAAGCTGTCTGTGGACTTAGTGGAAAATAGAGTCATTACCAATTAGCAATGTCTGTCCTGGCATGGGAGGAAGAAGTAGCAGTATTTGGGTTTTATTCTGGGGCCAAGAAAACATCATAGAGTGCATTTACACAAACCTGGATGGCATAGCCTACTACACACCTAGGCTATATGGTATATAGCCTATTGCTCCTGGGCTGCAAACCTGTACGGCATGTTCTTGTACTGAATACTGTAGGCAATTGCAACACAGTGGGAAGTATTTGTGTATCTAAACATAGAAAAGGTACAGTAAAAATATGATATTATAATCTTATGGGAACACCATCATATATATGATCCACTGTTGACTGAAGCATCATTATGAGGCAAATGACTGTAAATTTTTTTAATAGGAACAACCTAAATCTCCCTTTTATTTATTTTTATATTTATATATCTATATAATATTTTCTTTGTAGTAATATATGTATACATATGTGTATATATATGTATATGTGTGTGCAGTATGTTTGTGTGTGTGTACGTATACTTATATAGCCTCTGGCTGGAGCGCCATACGGACATGGAAAATATTTCCTGGCCTCTTGATGTTCATGAAACACAAAGGTGACAATTACCTAATCTTTCTAGCTTGCCAGAGTTGTGTTCTTCTTGAGGAAGGAAAAAGCAGCCAAACTGGGAAAAAAATATGTTTGGCACCTTTCAAAAAGGTACAAAACCAGGTGTGGTCTAGAAGAAAAGGCATAGAATTGGGAGTCAAGGTATCCTGTTTCTACCCTACCTCTGCCACTAGCTGACCATGTGACCTTGAATAAAAGTGTTTACTTCTCCATAACACAGTGTCCTCAGAAACACAGCAAAAATTATACCTGCTGAATTGAATTTGCAGGATAGTTGTGATTGAGAAAATCAATGTGAAAGATCTATAGAACTGAGATATTAGTGTAATAATAATAAACCTTCCTTTTTTTGGTAGGAGAATTGTTGGAGTATTTAATTCATCCTCTCTATTGAAAACAGGCCACAGACTAGCGAATGTTAAACGAAAGTATGGGAGGCCATTGTTTAAGACTAAGCTCCTGTACTAGGCCCCTAAAAACCAGACCAAATCAAAATGGAGTCACTCATGCTAAATGCCACTCTCTACCTGAGTCAGCATAATAAGCAAATCCTCTCTGCCTTAATCCTTACAAAAAAGTAACCTGAAGTAACTTGATGTTAACTAATCATTTATTTTTCTATTGTTGTGTTTTCTTATTCCCACCTTACAAAACCCACAGTTTTGCTATTGCCCAGTGGGAGCTTTCATTCTATTGTATAGAAAGGAGGTGCTTCAATTCATAAATCACAAATTAAGGACAATTAATTCTATAAATTTATTGTAATTTTGTCTTTTGACATGTCTTTGCTGGCTACTGTGTTAAGTATTCTACATGCTGTAGTTATATAATCAAAATAAACATTGAGGACAGGCACTATTGTAAATTGTCACCCTTACAAGGTAAGGAAACTGAGGCTCGGAGAGGTTAAGGAACATGCTATTGTTTATATAGCTCATAAGTGGCAGATGACAGATTGAAACCCAGAACTCAAGCTTACCCACTACACTAGCCTAATATTTCACTTCAGTAAAAAGTCTTAATATTTCATTTCTTTCCAGAAAAATCAAACAGATAATGACAATGCAAGTATTTTGCTTACAGAGAAACAGGGTTTAAGCTGTAAATGTCAGAACCTGCATTTCCAAAGCCATGTTCTCCTGGCAGTCGCCCTGCATTTATGGGACCCACCCCCCTCTTGCTTGGGGTCTGTCAGTCATGTCTGCCTGGGGGGGCACCTAAAGCCCCCCCTTCTCAGAAGCAAATTGCTTGTGTGCCCAATGTTATTATTACTTTTGGTGAAACCAGGCCACCGACTGAGTTTGTTATGAAGACACTGCATTTAAACCCATCATGAATGCCCGCCACTGAGAATTTGCAGCTGTGTTTGGTAAATGATGCTCCCAGAACACTGTTAACTTTTAAATATTTTATTAATTTCTTTTTCAAAATGATGAAATGGTCACATGTTCGTAGACCGAATATAAAGAATCATTCTCACTTGGAAGATTGCGTAACAGGCAGGACACTTGGGCAGGAAAGAAGTACGTTCTTATTTTCATTTATACCTCTGTTCAAATTTCCAGAATATTTTTCCTTTCTGATTGATGTGGATTTGGCAGTGCCTACCAGCACTTGAGCTAAAAATGTCGGATTTCCTTCTCCCTTAGGCACTGAATGATCTACCAATGCTCATAGAAATCCACTACAGAAGTTGTATTTGCCAGGGGAGAAGAAAGATAGCATTAACATAAACAGACTCCTAATTTATTTGCTTTGTAGGTTGTTCACTTACTTATTGATTCTCTTCAAGGGATGTTCAGGGGTACTATTATGCTACAGAGGAGAACTTAATGGTTATTCTGGTAAATGAGTATTTTTGTGTGTGTGTGTGTGATGAAGTTTTGCCCTTGTTGCCCAGGCTGGAGTGCAATGGCATGATCTTGGCTCACTGCAACCTCTGCCTCCTGGGTTCAAGTGATTTTCCTGCCTCAGTCTCCTGAGTAGCTGGGATTACAGGCACCCACCACCACGCCTGGCTAATTTTTTTTTTTTTTTTGTATTTTTAGTAGAAATGGGATTTCTACTAAAGAAAAATTGACCAGGCTGGTCAGGCTGGTCTCGAACTCCTGACCTCAGGTGATCCACCCGTCTCAGCCTCCCAAAGTGCTGGGATTACAGGCGTGAGCCACCACACCCGTCTGTAAATGAGTATTTTTTAAGTTTGAGTAGCCCAGAAGAAACCTAGTTACAGGAGAAAAAAAGGGAAGTTGGATAAGAGCTGGGAGCTTATAAACTGATCTAGGGGATTTTATGAAAAATTTGAAACATATATAAAATTGGATGGAAAAATACAGTAATTTCTATGTATGTGTCACACACAATCTATAGTTACTAACTCACTGCGAATTTGTTTCATTTCTATTCACTCTTCCCCCATCTAGTATTATTTAGAAGCAAAACCCTGTGTCCTTTTATCTATATTTTAGTAGATCTTTCTGGAAGATATAGGTTCTTTTAAAACATAACCTTGATATTATCAAACCTAAATACAATATTTCCTTCATATTATCAAATATCCAGTCAGTACTAATTTTCTAATTTTCTCATAAAGTTATAATTTTATTTGTATGGTGGTTTGTTTGAAATAGGATCCAAATAAGGTCCACACATGATAGTGTGTTCAGTCTCTTCAAAATCTATAGACTTTCCTCCCATCTCTCTTTTCTATCTTTGCAATTTATTTGTTAGAGGTCCTGAGTCATTTGTCCAGCAGAATTTGTCATAGATTGCATTTTGCTGATTACATCACTGGGGTGTAGCATGTTTTTCTGCCCTCTTATATTTCCTGTGAGTTGGCGTCAAAGGCTTAATTAGATTCAGGTGTTTTGTTTTGGATCCAGCATTCTTGGTGCGTTTTTCCATCATTAAGCACATAATATCTGATTGTCTTTCATTTAGGGATGTTAACAGCTGATGATGATCCGTGCCTAGATCCATTTGTTTGTAGAGGTTGGAAAACAAGGATATTATCATTTTTCTGTTAAAAAGGAAAAAAATACTTTTATGGAAAGAAACATCCATCTCTTCTATAGTTCGGTTATCTAGTGGTATAGTTTAAGAAAGACAGGTTAAATGTTTGCTTTTATTTACCAATTCTCAACATAAAGGTTGGTTCACAGGCTCATCTAACAGTAACAAAGTAATAAAAACCAAGCTTTTATTAGATGTCTTTGTGATCCATCAGGGCTCTTCCAGCACATCACTCGATTTTAAAATCACTTGGAATAATAGTCCCTTTCTGTGGAGTTACTCCAATAGTACAACATATATATACATTCATTTGTTTCATTTTACTTTTCGATTTGGGGGCCACTTTTTATAAATTTAAATTTTATTTTATAAGTATGTAAAATGTTTTGACGTTTTCAAAGTCAAATCTACAAAATAAGGCATATTCAAAGGATTCTAGCCCCTATCTCTTAACTGTTTTCCCTTCTTTTCCTGTTTTCCATAGGTAACTAATTTTTAAAAGCATATGGCTTGCCTTTCCATTGTTTGTTTTTTAAGTAGAAGATGTGTGTGTAGACATCTGCAGCCCCCTCTCCTGGGTAAATGAGTGCATGCTCTCCATACCATGTCCTGGAGATCACCCGTAGTTGCATGTAGAGAGGGTCCTCACTCCATTTTCCTGCTGCTTCATATTTCCCTGTACAGTGGCACCATAGTTTATCCAGACAGTCCTCTGTTAATGGATGTATTAGGCCATTCTTGCACTGCTATAAAGAAATATCTGAGACTGGGTAATTTATAAAGAAAAGAGGTTTAATTGACCTCAAGGTTCCACAGGCTGTACAGGAAGCATGGTGCCAGCATCTGCTCAGCTTCTGGGGAGGCCACAGAAAGCTTTCAATCATGGCAGAAGGCAGAGGGGTAACAGTTATACCATATGGTGGAAGCAGGAGCAAGAGAGTGGGCAGTGTGGGGGAGGGAGGTGCCACACACTTTTAAAATGACCAGATCTCCTGTGAACTCAGAACTCACTCATCACCAAGGGGATGGCCCAAGCCATTCATGAGGGACCTGCCCACATGATCCAAACACCTCCCACCAGGCCCCACCTCCAACACTGGGGATTAGAATTCAACATGAGATTTGGGTGAGGGCAAGTATCCTAACTATGTCAATGGATGTTTGCTGTTTTCAGTTTTTGCTATCACAAGTAGTCCTGCTGTGAATGGCCTTGTGCATATATCTTTGTGTATTTTTGTCAATGCATCTTTGGGACAGATTCCTAGAAGTGGGATTGCTGGTCAAATGGTAAAATGCTTATGGAAGTTTGTTAGATATTGCCAGATTTCCTCCTACGGGAGTTGTGTCATTTTGCCATCCCTACTAACAATGTTTGGTAGATCCTGTTTCTCCATAGTCTTGCCAACAGCATGTGTAGTCAAACTTTTGGATTTGAGTCGATCTAATCAGTGAGAAATGGTGTATCTCCTTGTAAGTTTCATCTGGATTTTCCTTATTGAAAATGAGATAGGACACCTTTCAAATGCAGTCTTCCTGGTCCCCTGGTTGGAACCCAGGCATTGTGTTATTAAGAAGCTGTGCACATGATTTTTTGGCACAAGCAGGGCCAAGAACCATTAACACAGAGTGTTTGAAAACACCTAGCGTAGAGGTTGGTATGAAATAAACCTCCACTTATCGAGTGTAATCTCAAAATGTGAGCATGAGCCCTTGGAAGGAAGTATGTAGTAAGGAAGCTGACTTCAGACTATGGAGCTGGACAAACCTGGGTCAGACCTCCCTCCACCACTTGCCAGCACTTGATCCTATGAAATTAAATGCCGAGGTTCTGTTTGTTCATCTATAGACTGGGAATAATCATAGTACCTACCTTTATAGGGTGGATGCAAGATTGAAATAGTCAAGTACTTCGCATAGTGTCTGACACAGAGTAAGGGCTAAAGAAATGTTTCACTATTATTATAATTGGAATTAATGAAGAGAATTACTAGGGCTTTGGAGGTTGAAGATCATTATGCCCAGTAAAATCATTACTCCCTCCTGTAAAATGGACCTAGTAGTAGTGTAAGAAGGAAGACAGTCTTTTTTTTTTCTTTTCTTTCAATGGATCAGTGAAGTGGTTTTGCTGTAGAACTGAATGCCACACTTAGAATTGTGGGGGAGAGAAGAGGAAGAAGCTTAGGTGTGGAGAGGACCTGAAACCACCATAGGAGACCAGCCTTCTGCAGAGGGCAGATGAGGAAGTTACCTCTGGGCTCAGTGAGCCCTCACTGGATGCAGCATTTGCTGTTGTCATGGTACGTGATGGGAAGGTGTGTTTGAGAACTCAGTGAAATGTGAATCTAGTTAGCTGCACAGCAGCCAGTGAAGGCTCAGCCCCAGTCTGCCCTCCCAGCCTTGGGCCTAAGGCAGGTATTAGTCTCGGGGCAGCAGGACCTTAGGTATATTCTGCAGTTGTTTTAGTCCTTGGCAGCCCGTGGACCAAATTCTTGTGTTGATGGTCCTTTTCCCCCCTAATGTTAGACACTGTATTTCCTAACAAGCAAAGCAAACTCACTGACATTCACAGCAGAAATCCCAGCCCCAGGATCTCACAACTCCCTGGGATCGAAGGTGGTTAGGAAGGGATTCTCAGACAAGCACAGTGGCCCTTCTCTTTGTGTCCCTCTTAATCGTGTGTTTAGGGTTGGCTTTATTATTATTAATAATATTTTTCTGAAACTCAGCTTTTAGTGTTTTTGTTCACCTCTACTGTTAACGTTTTATTTTGCTTTGCTTTTTGCTTTATGTCTGCCTTTGTAACTCTCAATCCCTCTGTTCTCATTTCTCTGGGCTGATTTTTGTTCTCTTAAGGTTTTTGAGTGTAACATTAACTTCATTTAGTTCCACTTTTCTTTCAGCTAAATGTGTTGAAGACATGTATTAGTGCTTTCCATCTTTCATTTCTAAAGATCTTATCATTTCTATTTGAATTCCTCTTTAGTTATGAATGACCTTGAAGTATGTTTTATAAATTTTCAAAGGTATGGGATTTTATTGCTACAATTTGCATTATTGATTTCTAATTTCCTTGAATTATATTTAATAATAAGTGAATGTGACTTGTAGGCCATCATTTTTGAAGAAACTTGGGGGAACCTGATTTATAGCCTAAATCATGATTAGTTTTTAAGCAGTGTTTCACATATGTTTGGGGGGAAAAATGAGTATTCTGTTTGCTGGGTGCTGAGTTCTTAAAATAGGAATTAGCTCTAGTTGGGTAACTGTGCTGTTCAGATTCTCTTCAGCTTCTAATCCTGCCAAACATACTATCAAAGCAGCTGCGCTGTGCCAGGGTCTAAGACACAGAAATATCCATTTAGGGCTGATTTGTTTGATGTGGCTCACAAAACATACCCAGGTCAAGGAAGACAGTGGCTCCTCCATCTTTGCAAAGAAGGTTGATTTGCAGGAATTGAGTTATTTTAATCCCAGTTTAATTAGCCTAAAAACCCGGGCTCTGGTTTTCAGTTGATTATCTTGGCTGTCACGATCCTGGATAATTGTATTGCATGGTAATTTAAGAGTGGAACTCATAAATATCCTTATGAAGAACAAAAGGTGGAGAAACTAACCATGACCTATGTTCTCACATCCCACTTGAGGTCCCTCGCTTGTGGTCACGTGACTGTGTGGGCATCACATAATTTCTCTGAGCCTTGATTTTTCATCAGTTATATGGATAGGGTACCACCTTCCATGTTGATCACAGAGGGTGGTGGTGAGGCTCAACCAAGTGCACACAAAATACCTTGTTAGCCATAAAGAGATCCTGAGATGTAAAAGATACACATCGAGAGCACCTTGGGAAGAAGTGGTGAGTGGAAGTGGCCTCAATGCATTTTAACTCTCTTTATTCTCCCAAAGGATGCTGGTCATGGTGCGGTTAAGAGGAATTTTAGAGGCCCCTGAAATTCTCCACTGACCTTCTCTTCCTTCCCTTCAGTGCAGAATACAGAAACTGCAGCCATGACCACGCACGTCACCCTGGAAGATGCCCTGTCCAACGTGGACCTGCTTGAAGAGCTTCCCCTCCCCGACCAGCAGCCATGCATCGAGCCTCCACCTTCCTCCATCATGTACCAGGTAATGGAAATGGTAGATAGCACCAGGGGGCCCAGGAATTCTGGGGATCCCCTAAGAGAGTTTGCCCTAAGGCAGAGGGAAGGGGAGGTCTGCATCTAGAAGGTGAAAGGTTGTGAGCTGATGGAGTCCCTTGTGCGCTGGTAGAGCCGAGTATAAGGAACAGATTAGCTACTAAATGTGCCGCAGGACTGTTTCCCTCCCTCCCCCAGGGAAGTCTTGTTGATCTGCTTTGACCCCAAATACCTTCCAGGCTATTCTTGCTGCTGTACCAACCAAGGTTTTGGCAGCTCTGGCCTCATGAATTAAATATTGCAATTTAGAAACCCCAGAGCCTGCCTGGGTAATTACTTTTCCTTCATGCATGTGAGGAGGGCACTACAACACCTCATAGCAGCTCATGGCTCAGGGAAGCTGGTCACAGTTGTTTGCTTTTGCCTAAGAGAGCAAAGCTTGTGATAAACCACCATCAGATTGTTCCAAACTATGACCTATCAGGGCCGGGAGTCGGTATAGCCCCTTGTCTGGGTGTGCCAGGCCAGATGCCATGTTAAGAAAGGATATGCTAATTTGAAAGTCTTAGCTGTGTTTGACCTTTTGATAGTTCTCAGATTGCTACAGGAGACTAAATATAAATACATAATAAATTCTTAAATTTCATTCAGTAGATGTATGAAGTACATGCTTGAAGGTTCGGCCCATAAACTTCATTGATTCACATCTTCTAACCCAGATTAAAATTTTAATTATACAAATATCTTTTTTATTATAAGCAATACAGAAAAGTATACAAAAAAGTATACAAAAACATATAAATTTTTTCTATAACTATGCGGATATATACCTTTTTTACCAAATATACATATATATGTGTGTGTGTATATATATGCATATATATATACATATATTTTTTTTTTAACCAATAGAGAACCATACTATATTTATTGCTTTGTGAGTTGGCTTTTTAACTTAAAATTTATTATGGATATTTTTCCATGACAATACCACAATACTACCACATTAGGCTTAGCCACCTCATGGTACTTAAAAGTCCATTTATGGATATGCTATTTTATGTATATATATATATATATATATATATATTTAGCCTTTCACTGTTGATGGATATGTAGGTTGTTTACAGTTTGTTTTAATCACAAAAAACAGCCACAGTAATTATTCTTGTACCTATATATCCACACCCTTGGGTGAGTATTTCTGGAACTGCCGAATCAAAGCAATGCACATCTTAACTTTTAGCAGCTATTTGGGCTTGTGGAGTTTAAGCATCTGCTTCTGAAGCTCAGATGAGTGAACCTGATTACTGATGGGAAGCAGACGGCAGACCCTGTCATCACCAGCTCCTGCCCAGTGTGATTGAGAGTGGGACTTTGTGGGGAAGGGGCAAGATGAAAGGTGACGCAGCAGGAGGTTTCCACAGAGAGCTTGCGTTGTTTGTTGGCAGCAGTTTGCCCTCTGGACACCCAGCCAACTTGGAACTGTTTTCTAACAACCAAAATGTTCCTGTCCTCTAATTCCACAGGCTAACTTTGACACAAACTTTGAGGACAGGAATGCATTTGTCACGGGCATTGCAAGGTACATTGAGCAGGCTACAGTCCACTCCAGCATGGTAAGTCTCTGTGACCCACGTGTGCAGACATGCTCCCTGCTGGGCTGGCAGGGGCCGCGGGCAGCTTCTCACACCAGAGGCATGTGCTCAGCTACTCTAAGAACCCCCTGCCTCAGTCAGAATCATCTGCTTAAGCCCACTCTTACATTCTGCGCCATCCCCTGTCGGTGCCTAGAAACATACAGTTCCCCTTTATTGTCCAGCTTTGGGAATCCTACTCAACTGTTAGGGCCCAACTTAGTCTCCACTACTCACTTTCTTGAGCTCCTATAGCTTTTTGGGTTAACATGTGATTGGATCTTGCCTTGTTTATAGGTTAATGAATGTGTGGAATTTTGTCTCTTGAGCAGAGCAAAAGGTTCCTTGAAAAAGGGACATTGGCTTTGGTTTTGGAATAACAGTTACTCAAAAAAGCTGATGGCCTAAATCATTTGCAAATAGGGCCAGTTATTATTTTCTCTCTTAGAGTCTGATTCATCTGTGGAGGGCTCCTCCCCTTCTCTGTTGGGCTTCCATTGATTTTATTCTCATGCAGCACTGCAATTTAAAGAATTCCAAATTCCATGTTCATAGACCCTGCCTGTGGTTCCATAAACCCTGCCTGTGGCTCCATAGACCTTTGACACTATATGTCTTAGCTCGTTTTGTGATGCTATAACAAGGAAACTGCAGACTGGATAATTTATAATAAATAGAAGTTTAGGCTGAGTATGGTAGCTCATGCCCATAACCCCAGCACTTTGGGAGGCTGAGGTAGGAAGATCCCTTGAGCCCAGGAGTTCAAGACCAGCCTGGGCAACATGGCAAGACCCTGTCTCTACAAAAATTTTAAAAATTAGCCGGGTGAGGTGGCACACACCTATAGTCGCAGCTACGTGGGAGGCTCAGGTGGGAGGATTGCTTGAGCCCAGGAGGTTGAGGCTGCAGTGAGCCATGATCGTATCACTGCATTCCAGCCTGGGCAACAGAGCAAGACCCTATCTCAAAAAAATAAGAGTAGTGGCTTATTGGCTTATGATTATGGAGGCTGGAAAGTCCAAGATTGAGGGGGCAGTATCTGGTGAGAGCCTTCTTACTGTATCATATCATGGCAGAAGCCATGACATGGGTGGCAGAGAAAGGGAAGGGGTCCAAACTCATCCTTTATGAGGAACCCACCCCCATAATAACAGCATTAATTCTTTCATGGGGGTAGAGCCCTCATGACCTGATCACCTGTTAAAGATCCCACCTCTCAACACTGTTGCACTGGAGATTTAAGTTTCTAACACATGAACTTTGGGGAACACACTCCAACCACAGCACTGTATTGGTTATCTCCCGTAACCTTGTGTTGACAAACCCTGCTCATTCATTCAATAAGTATTGTGTGGCTGGTGCCCTCAGAGGACTGTGTAAATGCTGGAGAGGTATGCAAGGGCAGATAGGGGCCAGTCCTGATCCTCAGTGAGTCAAGTGGGAAATAGATAAGCTTACCATTTATCGAATGCTTTTTCTATACAGATATTTTAGATGCATTGTCTCATTTGCTCCTGACATCAACCCTGTGAGGTAGGTTCTATTATCATATCCATTTTGCCGATGGGGAAAACTGGAGCCCAAAAAAATTGCATAACTTACTCAGGGTCCTGCAGCTGACAAGTGACAGCTCTAGATCAAGGTCTGCCTGACTACAAAACCTTTGCTCCAGACTATGCCTTGCAGACAAACAAAAATACACGAAGTTAAGGGTAAATGTCATGGTAAAAGTTCAAAGTTCTGTGTTTTTGAAGGAACCTTGAGAGAGTCAGAGAAAGCTTGATGTAGGAAGTGGCTTTTGTGTGAGGCCTTGTAGGAGGATAATGATACCTTGTAGATACAGTATACTTTAAAATATATGTAAGGCATTTTCATATATTATATTATTGGAGCTTTATAACAGCCCTGTGACTTGCAAAGGGATCATTATATCCATTTTAGGGATGAGAAAACTGAGGCCTAGAAAAGTTAATAAGCAGGTTGCTCATGATCCCACAACCAGTAAATCACAGGACTGGACCTGAAATCCAGGACTGATTGCCAGTCCTGATCTCTTTCTCCTGTTCCGTGCTGTCTCACACAGTTAGAATTTTACCAGTCAGAGATGAGACGGGGAGAGCACACCATGTGGAAGAGCTGGTGTGAGCAAAGGCACAGGGCAAGGATTTTCGAGGAGTGACTGGTATGGACTGTAAAGTGCATATAGGGATATTGTTTACAGATTCCCTACAAATAAAGGGTCGGGGCATAGAGGGTGTATTCGTTGGCTTGGATACCTTAACAAAGTGCCACAGACTAAATGGCTTAAACAGCAAAAATGTATTTCCTCCCCGTTCCGGAGATTAGAAGTCCAAGATCAAGGTGTCTGTAGGTTCGGTTTTTCCTCAGACTTTTTTCCTTGGCTCCCAGATGGCTGTTTCTCTCTGCATCCTCACATGGTCTCTTCTCTGTGTGCACACATCTCTGGCACCTTCTTTCTGTGTGTCCAGATTTCCTCTTTTTATAAGGACACCAGTCAGATTAGATCAGGGCCCTCTCTAATGGCCTCATTTTAACTTAATTACCTCTTTAAAGGCCCCGTCTCCAAATACAGTCACATTCTGAGGTCCTGTGGGGTTAGGGCTTCAACCTATAAATTTGGGGGGCACACAATTCAGCCCATAACAGAAGGCTTTAGTTTATTTAATAAAAAATTAAAAACAATGGAAAAATCTTTATCCTTAAAAGAGATATGAACAGAACGCAGCTTGGGGGACAGATTCCATGTGTTAGTCATATGTAGAATGAGTTGCAAGTAGGAATGAGGCAAATAAATTAGTCAAGATAATTAAAGTTATCTACACTGCAGGCATTCAAGGCTGAATGAGGGTGATGGCACTGGGGTACAGCTAAGAGGATATGGATGTGAGGGACACTGGCTTAGCAGTCACCTGGGACTGCACTGACTGAGTTCCCAGGAAGACCAGGTCAAGACACCAACAGAGCAGTCGGAAGGAGGGGTTAGGTTGGAGAGTGATAGTGTTCATTTTCTGTTACTGCCCTAATAGAGTGTCACAAACTTAGTGGCTTAGAAGAACACTGATTTATTTGCTTATAGTTTTGTAGGTCAGAAGTCTGACGTGGGTCTTACTGAGTTAAAATCAGGGTGCCAGCAGGGCCGCATTCCTTCTGCAGGCTCCAGGAGAAAGTCTGTTCCCTTGCCTTTTCCAGCTTCTAGAGGTGTCTACATTCCTTGACTCGTGGCCCCCAGCCAGCAGTGACATCACTCTGATCTCTGCCTGCATCTTCAAATCTCCTTCTCTGACTCTTCTGCCTCCCTCTTTTGCTTATGAGTACCTTGTGTTTACACTGGGCTCCCCAGGATAATCCAGAACAACCACCACCACCCGCCTACCCCCATTGCAAGGCTCTTAATTGGTCACATCAGCAAATTGCCTCTTTCCATGTGAAGGAACATATTCACAGGCACCAGGGATTAGGATACAGACATCTTGGGGGGACCATTATTCTGCCTACACAGGGAGAGTGTTGATGTGGCTTAGGCATGAGTCATGAGTGGCATGCAATGCTGACATTCCTGGATAACACCAAAATCTCCCTTCAGTCAACAGTGTCTTCCTCGTGCCTTCCCCAGTCTTTCTAAGGTAGCTTATTAGCAGCAATGTGGGTGTATGAGATGCTCATCTTCTTGTATGTCTCCTGTCCCCACTTGGGCAAGGTGAATCTCTCAAAGGACAGGATAGCCAGAGAAAAGAGGAGGAGGGGAAGTACGTAAACCACATAACTGACCAACTATATGGAAGAGTTGAGGGTTCTTTGCTGGGGTGAGATGGGGGCTGAGTGATCACTGGATCTGTCACTACATAAAATTTGAGCTACACTCACATTGGGTTTAAGTCATGGACTTTCAGAATATTAGAAATGTAAAGGACCTTAGAGATCCTTAGTCCTGAAGCTGTCAATGTGGGCTGCACAAGAGAATCAACCTGGGGATTGTTTAAAAACACCAGTGCCCCACCCCATCCCCAGGGATAAATATTTAGTTAATCTGGGGCATGGCTTAGGCATCAAATTCCCCAGGTGACTCTAATATACAACAAGGGTTGAACACGAATGATTCAGGCCAACTCTTTACCTCCAAGTAAGGAAACTAAGACATTACAAGTTAAAAGGTGGGCCCAAGAAGAGTGAGGACCAGAACTCAAGTTTCCCAAGACCCCACCCAGGGCTCTTTCCACTGCACCATCCTAACCTCTACATTCTAGCATAATTGCATGACAGATCTGGCTGATGGCCAAACTGTCCGTAGGGCAGAGTTCACATTCTTCTTGTTCACTGCGCTGTTTGCAGCACAAAGCACAGAGCCTGGGACCCATGAGTGCCCAGTTAAACATTCACTGAATGCATGAGTCGGAATTAACACCCGTCGGCAGGCAGGTTGGTGCTACAAGTAGACACGTGTTCCTTACGTGACTGTCACTTCCCCTTTTGGACATGTGTTCTGAGGCAGATGACTGCGGGACCCACGGGCTTGATTGGTTCTCCCTGTTCTCAAGGACAACATGTTACTGATTTTTAAAGTTCTCTAAATTAATCATTGAAGTGTGACTTGTCAATGACATTTGCTGCTGAAAACAGAACTGTCATAAGTAAATTGATCTGCTGTTATACTAATAAGATATTATGAAATGGTGGTATGTGGATTTAAAAATAAAGTTCATTTTTTAATATAGATATAAACATTTATAAAAAGAGATGGCCTAGTAAAATTCTTTCTTTGGTGATTTTTTTTTCAAAGTGTATTTCCATTTGAAGTGTACAATTCAGTAGTTTTCAGCATATTCACAATGTTATACAGCCATGGCTACTACCTAACTTTCATCACCCCTAAAAGATGCCCTGGACCTGTTAGTAGTCAATCCCAATTCCTCTCACCCCACCACCTCCTGGAAGTCACTAGTATACTTTCTGTTTCTATGGATTTGCCTATTTTCATCTAAATAAATAATCCAATATGGACCTTTTGTGTCTGGCTTCTTTTACTTAACATAATGTTTTCTTTCTTTCTTTTTCTTTTTTCTTTTTTTATTTTTATTTTTTTATTTTTTTTGAGATGGAGTTTTGCTCTTATTGCCCAGGCTGGAGTGCAATGGCACAATCTTGGCTCACCGCAACTTCCACCTCCCGGGTTCAAGTGATTCTTCTGCCTCAGCCTCCTGAGTAGCTGGGATTATAGGCATGCACCACCATGCCCGGCTAACTTTGTATTTTTAGTAGAAACAGGGTTTCTCCATGTTCATCAGGCTGGCCTCGAACTCCCGACCTCAGGTGATCCACCTGCCTCGGCCTCCCAAAGTGCTGGGATTACAGACGTGAGCCACCGCGCCTGGCCAGCATAATGTTTTCAAAGTTCATCCATGTGGTAGCGTGTATTGGTAGTTCGTTACTTTGTATTGCCAAATAATTAATTGTATGGACATGCCACATATTATTTATCCATCCATCCATTGATGGACATTCGAGTTATTGGGCTATTTTGAATAATGCTGCTATGAACATTTGTGTTACATGCAAATCTTGAATCTACACATTTTTCTGTGTGGACATATGTTTTCAGTTCTCTTGGGTATACACATACCCAAGAATTACTGGGTCGAATGGTAACTCTGTGGTTAACGTGTTGTGACACTGCCAGATTATTTTTCTGACTCACTTCACAGATTACCAAGAGTATGTGTATGTGTTCCATTTAATTCTCATAAAATTCTATGAGATTATTATTATTATCATGATTTAACAGATGACTAAGTGGAGAATTTTAGGATAAGTGATTTACAATAGACTAAAGGGCTAATAAGTGATGAAGCTGGGATTTGAGCCCAGATATGTATGTATGTATGTATGTATGTATGTATGTATGTATGTATGTATGTATGTATGTGTGTTTGAGATGGAGTCTTGCTCTGTCGCCCAGGCTGGAATGCAATGGCGCAATCTAAGCTCATTGCAGCCTCTGCCCCCCGAGTTCATGCAATTCTCCTGCCTCAGCCTCCAGAGTAGCTGAGATTGCAGGCACCCGCCACCACACCTGGCTAATTTTTGTATTTTTAGTAGAGACGGGGTTTTGCCATTTTGGCCAGGCTCATCTTGAACTCCTGACCTCAGATGATCCACCGGCTTCAGCCTTTCAAAGTGCTAGGATTACAGGTGTGAACCACTGCGCCCAGCCTTGAGCCCAGGTATTCGGACCTTGAGTTTAGGTCTCTTTCCACAGCAGCAGTTCCTCAGTGAGATGAGTCATCACTGTATTTTTTCACGCTCGTTTTTCATGCTGTTGTTGGTTTTCCCATCTGCTCTGCTTATTATTAAAAATTGATATTAATCATTTTCCTGCTTATGAGATAGTACATGGGCTGTTATAAAAGTGTGAAAATTATAGTGCTATATGACTTTTTAAAAAGTGATGCAAAACAATCCAGCCTCACAGAGAGCTTGCTATCCATAGCTTGGTACATGTTGCACTGAAATTTTTTTTTCAATACGTAATAATGTAATCACCTGATGGGTTTTTCCTGTCCACTGCACAGACAAAACCAATTCACTGAGACAGTGGTATTGCAGTAAAGAAAGAGTTTAATCAATATGAGGCTGGCCACAAAGGAGACAGTTATTATGCAAATCAGTCTCCCCAAAGGCTTGGAGGTTAGACTTTTTCCAGGATAGTTTGGTGGGCATGGGGCTAGGGAATGGGTGCTGATTGATTGGGGATCCAGTCATGGAGTGTGGAAAACAGGCCTCATGTGCTGAGGCTGCATCTGGGTGGGGGCCATTGGACCAGTCGAGTCCCAAAAGTCCAGGTGGAGTCAGTCTGAAGAACTTCTCAAAAGACCAATCTTACATTCTACAATAGTGTTGGTATTTGTAAGAGCAATTGGGGAAGGCACCAATCTTGTGACCTCTGGCCACAAGACTCCTGAATAGTAAGGGATTATGGAAAGTATGCCTACATCTTCAGCAGAATTCACACACCTCTCATAATCCTAACCTTGTGGCCTTTCATTAGTTTTACAAAGGCAGTTTAGTTTTGGAAAGGGCTATTATCATCCTTGCTTTAAGGTTAAACTGTCAACGAAATTCCTCCCAAAGTTAGCCTACATCCAGGAATGACCAAGGACAGCTTGGAGGTTAGAAGCAAGATGGAGTCAACTATGTCAGATTTCTCTGTCGTAATCTTTGCAAAGGCAGTTTTGATAATATACTTTCATAACTATTTCTGTTTTGTTTTTTAACCTATCTGCTGTACATACTGTTTTGCTACTTGCTTATTTTCTTGCTAACATTATATCTGGGGGGCACATAGCTCTGCCCCATTCTTTCTAAGGTAGCCATCCATCTGTTTGGGAAAATGTGGCCTGAGGATGAGTTCTTCTCAAACTCATTGTGTATGTGAGTCATCTGGGAATTTTGTTGAAATGCACATTCTTATTGCATAGGCCCAGGGAGGGACCTGAGATTCTCCATTTCCAGTAAGGTCCCCAAGTGATGTCCATGCTGTGGGTCCATGGACCATACCATAACTAGTGAGGATCTGGGGGCTTTTGCAGCCTGGTGGCACCCGTCTTGTTCCTCCCTGCTGAGGCTGTTTTACCATTTCAGAATGAGATGCTGGAGGAAGGACATGAGTATGCGGTCATGCTGTACACCTGGCGCAGCTGTTCCCGGGCCATTCCCCAGGTGAGACTGTCCTTGTTGTGTGTCTCTTTCCCCTCCAGAGGGCATTACTAACCCCTACTTCATCCCCAAACCAGAGAGCTGAGCTTTTCTTTCCACGTGGTAGGGAGTAAAGCAGGTCCTCTTATCCAAGGAAGAACCTGGAAGACATTCAGAGAGCTTCCCATAAAAGTGATGACAGGGACGCATGTCGAGGGACTTAAAACACATTTGTTCAATATATTTTATTTCCAAAGCAGTATATGGTAACTACATGACACCAAAACCACTGCAGAGGGTATGAAGTAAAAAGAAAGATGTTCCCACTGCCTCACCCCAACCACCCAAACCCACATCCCGCCATGGGATGGCCATGTACACTTTGTGACATATTTGTCTGGATCTTTTTCCTGGCATGAATATTATTTTGTAAATTATTATTTACAAAAATGTATTATTTTGTGTTTATATTGTTCTGCCACTTGCTTTTTTCCCCACTTAATTCTTAATTACTGACTTTTGTCATGTTGACACACATACAGATATTTTTATTACCATCAGTGCCATCATCATGTAATTAACGGGTCCCATGGCAACAAAATCAGCAAGCCACAGGTGTGTAAACAGAAACTATTCCTCCCCCTTCCTTCTAATTCTAGGCCCCAGCAATAACTACTATTAACAATTTGGTTTGCATCCTTTCAGATTTTCTATGCCTGTCTTATATATGAGCACACATGCTGTTTTGTTTCACTTAATAAAAATGGGACCTGATTATTCTGTCACTTTTTTCACCTGTTTGTGGTGACTTTGTTTCCTGGTTACATAAAACTGTCTCATTCCTTCTAACAGCTCACAGTGATATTATGTGATTGTAGCATATTTTATCCACTTAATTGTTGACTGGTGGATATTTAGCATGATGCTGCCACTTTAAGACTTTCTAAGCAATAGTATGAAGAATGTCCCTGTGCTTACCTTGGCTCGCTCTTCAGATCCCATGTATCCATTAGCAGCCTTGGCGTGTGCGTTGTGAGGATGTCTGCCATCGGATTCTGATGTGCACACTGGTGAAAACTGCAGAGCAGGGGAAATGGGCCTGGGTAGGTCTAGGGGAGCTTTGTCCCAGGTGTATCCAGAACAATGGAAAGAATATTTCTCTCTGCTTAGAATCCAGCTGGACCCCGCTAGAGTGCGGACAGGGGAAAGACTGAAGGAGGGAGAGCTTGCAGATAAATGTGAACATGTCAGTAACTCATGGACAGGGCACAGAACTGAGAAAAAGGAAGGAGGGTTCTGTTCTTGGGACCAACTGGTTCCTTTCCTGCAGCCAATGTCTGCGGAGCACTTCTGCCCCCTGCCAGATTGGTGAAGCAGGGGCTACCCAAGTCTCCTCACTAGGATGAGCATATCAGTTATCATCCAAAATCAGGTGTATTTGAGAGTGAAAAAGGGCCCTATTAATAAGACAGCAGGGCCGTGCATGGTGGCTCATGCCTGTAATCCCAGCAATTTGGGAGGCTGAGGTGGGAGGATTGCTTGAGCCCAGGAGTTCAAGACTAGCCTGGGCAACATAGTGAGACACCATCCCTACACCAACTACAAAAATTAGCTGGATATAGTGTTGCATGCCTGAAGTCCCACCTACTTGGCAGGCTGAGTTGGGAGGATCACTTGAGCCTGGGAGGTTGAGGTTTCAGTGAGCCATGATCATGCCACTGCACTCTAGCCTGGACAACAGAGCAAGACCCTGTCTCAAAAACAAAACAAAACAAAAAACAGTAATAAGACAACAGGTGTAAACCAGGATGTGTGTGTCCCCATTATCCCCCACAGGTGAAATGCAACGAGCAGCCCAACCGAGTAGAGATCTATGAGAAGACAGTAGAGGTGCTGGAGCCGGAGGTCACCAAGCTCATGAAGTTCATGTATTTTCAGGTGAGTGGGGAGGGGCAGGTCTGCATCTGGAGAACTGAAAAGGCCCCTAGTTTTCTAACCACTGGGGTCTGCAGTTTTGTGCCATGTTATTTATTCACTAAGCAAATATTTTTTGACTGTGCCCTACACATCCCTGGGTGAGCAAGACGGATGAGTCTCCCCACCCTCGTGGAATTTTCATCCTAGTGAGTATGTGAGTGTGTTTTGTGTAGGAGGAGAGAAAGACAATAAGCAATACACATTAATATTCAGGGAATAATAAGTGCTGTGAGTAAAATAACATTTTGAAAAATTCTGGGTTATAGAGTGCCTGTGATGTGAGTGCTGCTTTAGGGACAGCCTCTCAGGAGGCGGCATTTGAGCTGAGACTCAGAGAGAGAGGCTGACGTGTGATGACCAGGAGGAAAGGTTTCAGGCAGAAGTTGCCACAGAGGCAAAAGCCTTGAGGCTGAGGCCGGAAGGAGCTTGCTGTGTTTAAGAAATAAAACGAAGTGCCTGGGTGTGAGGGAAATGGGAAGGTGGGGTGTGGATATGCAGCCTAGGTGGGGAGCATGGCCTTTGGAGGCAGAGAAGCCCAAGTCACATCCCTGGCCCTTTCACTCTCTAACTGTGTGTTTGTGAGTTATTTAATGTCTCTGACACCTTGGGATTTTTCACCTTGAAAATGACCGGCTTCACAGGTTTATGGTGAGAATAAATGAGGTCTGTTTGTAAAGAGCCAAGTAGGACCCTGGTCAGAGTAGGTTTCACAAATTGCAGCTACTGTTAGCATCATGGACCTGCCTTCGGGAGCCCAAAATCTTTTTGGGAAGGCAGGGCCAAGAGAGAAGAACTATCCAGAAACTGATTAACTGAGAAACTGAGAGTCTCCTGACAAGAGGTATTTACAGAAGGGAGGATCTGGAATAATTTAGAACTGTGCTGTCCAGTGCCATAGCCATTAGCCACATGTGGGTACTTACATTAATTAAAAAGTGACAACATGAAAAACATAAAGATTAAAAATAAAAATAAGTAAAAATAAAATTTTAAAATCAAAGCATGAGGTAGGTTGAAAAAAAATAAAACGAGACAACATGAAAAATTCAGTTCCTCAGTAATCCTAGGCACACTGCAAGTGCAGAGTGGCCACGTGTGATGGTGGCTGTCATATTGGACAGTGCAGATATGGACCATTTTCATCTCCCAGAGTTTAGTTGGACTTAGACTCTGGCAGGAGAAAGTGTGACTTAGTCTGGTCTTTGAAGGAAAGGACTGACTGGCTGGTTGGGCCTCTCAGGCCCGTGGAAGCAGAGTGGAGCTCAATCGGGGCCATCATTTCTCCTCCCCCTTCCTTCCCTGCTTTCCTTTTCTTCCTTCTCTTTCTTTCTTGCTCTTTCTGGGTTACTTCAGTAGCCTCTTTTTGTTGTTGCTGTTCCACTGCCTTTTAAAATTTTTGGTACCAGTTTTATAGAGATATACTTAACATATACCATATAATTTGCCCATTTAAAGTGGATAATTTAGCAGTTGTTAATATATTCACAGAGTTGTACATTCATCACGACAATCAGTTTTATTTATTTATTTATTTTTGAGACAGAGTCTCTCTCTGTCGCTCAGGCTGGAGTGCGGTGACACTATCTCGGCTCACTGCAACTTCAGCCTCCTAGGTTCAAGTGATTCTCCTGCCTCAGCCTCCCTCCCAAGTAGCCAGGACCACAGGTGTGTGCCACCACGACCAGCTACTTTTGTATTTTTTTTTTTTTTTTAGTAGATATGGGGTTTCTTCATGTTGGCCAGGCTGGTCTCGAACTCCTGGCCTCAAGTGATCCACCTGCCTTGGTCTCCCAAAGTTCTGGGATTACAGACATGAGCCACCACACCCGGCCCACAATCAATTTTAGAACATCTTCATTACCCCAAAAAGAAACCCCACGCCCTTTGGCCATCACCCCATAATACCTTCATCTCCCCAGTCTCAGCCCGAGGCAACCACTAAGCTACTTTATGCTGCCATGGATTTGCCTGTTCTGGACATTTCATATAAACTGAATCATATAACGTGGTCTTTTGTGTCCATCTGGCTCTCTTCAGTTAGCATTATGTTTTTAAAGCTCATCCATGTTACAGCGTGTATCAGAATTTCATTCCTTTTTAGGACTGAATACCATTCCATTGTATGGATATACCGTATTTTATTTATCCATTCATCAGTTGATGGACATTGGTTTATTTCCACTTTGGGGCTATTATGAACAAACATTGATCGTTCACGTACAAGTATTTGTGTGGACGTATGTTTTCATGTCTCTCAAGTAGAGACCTAGGAGTGGAATTGTTGGGTCAGATGGTAACCCCACCTTTAAGCTTTTAAATACCCTCTTAACTATTCTCTCACGTCTATCTTTGCACCCTAGAGCCAATGTGACTCTTTTAAAATATAATTCAGGCCATGTTATCTGGCCTCAGAACCTCCCATGTCTCCCCAGCTCAAGCATTGTCCAAGTCTGAGCCCTCACAAAGGCCTGCAAGAGACAGTGCCCTGACCCCATCTCTCTGCCTCCTTCCTGTACTCGCTCCGCTTCAGCCACCCTGGCTTCCTTCTCATCCCTGGAACACACCTCAGGGCCTTCACACTGACCATTGAGTTACCCCATAAGCCTCTTTTCCCTCCTCTTTCAGCTTCTTTTCCTGCAAGTCACTTCTTGAGGATTCCATCTCTGATCTTCCTCCTTAGAAGGACAACCCCTCTGAGCGCTTCTCCTCAAGCCTTCCTTCTTTATTTTTTTCCATAGCACATACCACATTCTAATAGATCTATGTATTGTTTTCTGTCTTCTCTCACTAGAATGTAAACTCCTAGGCCAGGCGTGGTGGTTCATGCCTGTAATCCCAGCACTTTGGGAGGCCAAGGCAGGCAGATCACTTGAGGTCAGGAGTTCGAGACCAGCCTGGCCAACATGGTGAAACCCAGTCTCTACTAAAAATACAAAAAATTAGCTGGGCATGGTGGTGCATGCCTGTAATCTCAGCTACCCAGGAGGCTTAGGCAGGAGAATCACTGGAACCTGAGAGGCGGAGGTTGCAGTGAGCCGACATTGTGCCACTGCATTCCAGCCTGGGTAACAGTGAAACTCCATCTCAAAACAAAACAAAACAAAACAAAAAACTAGAATGTAAATTCCTGAAGGCAGAATTTGCTTGCTTGTCTGTTTTTCTCTTTTGTTTCCTGCTCTACCCCGGGACCTAGAATGGTGCCTGGCACATAGTAGATGGCTATTAAATAGCTACTGGATGAATGAGCCTCTTTTCCTCTCTGCATGTCTCTCACTCTTGGTCTCTACCTTCTTATCGACTGGTACCTGACACTGTCCTAGGTGCTGGGAATGCCAAAATGAATAAGACGTAATGCTCAGCCAATGTATGTTGAATGAATGCATTGGTTTGAGTCACATAGAGGCAGGTTCCAGGCTCCCCTCAAGAAATCAGCTTCGGGCCAGGTATGGTGGCTCATGCCTGTAATCAGTCCCAGCACTTTGGGAGGCCGAGGCAGGTGGGTCACAAGGTCACGAGATTGAGACCAGCCTGACCAACATGGTGAAACCCCGTCTCTACTAAAAATAGAAAAATTAGCTGGGCATGGTGGCACACACCTGTAATCCCAGCTACTCGGGAGGCTGAGGCAGGAGAATTGCTTGAACCTGGGAAGTGGAGGTTGCAGTGAGCCGAGATCGCACCGCTGCACTCCAGCCTGGTGACGAAGCAAGACTCCGTCTCAAAAAAAAAAAAAAAAGAAAAAAAGAAATTAGCTTCGGATTTAAGGACTCCTCTGAGAAAAATTGCCTGGCAGATTTGCCTTTCTCGAGAGGGCTGGCTCTGAGGAGGGCCCTAGAGGAGCCTGGACCCTGCCCCCATAAGGGAGCACAGTGGACCTTACTCACTGCCCCTCTGCCCCCAGCGCAAGGCCATCGAGCGGTTCTGCAGCGAGGTGAAGCGGCTGTGCCATGCCGAGCGCAGGAAGGACTTTGTCTCTGAGGCCTACCTCCTGACCCTTGGCAAGTTCATCAACATGTTTGCTGTCCTGGATGAGCTAAAGAACATGAAGTGCAGCGTCAAGAATGACCACTCTGCCTACAAGAGGTCAGGGCAACCTCCCCCTCTCCCCTTTCCCCATCCAGGCCCCTCCTCCAGGGCTGCCTGTCAAGTGGAGGAAGAGAATGGAGCCCCTCTCACCTGCTTTTTCTTTGATACCAAACTAGCCATCCCCCAAACATAGTGAGGCTTGGCCTGTTTCAGTGTGGTTTGAGGAACAGGGCATAGAGCTGGGCCTTGGAAGAACTTGATCTTTGTAGAGTTTTATATCTCAAGATGGAATCAAACCCTCAGTTCCCCCATCTCTGGAGCAGCAGCATTTTATGTTGCCCCATGTAATATGGGACCAGTAAGATCATCACAAAATGGTTACATTAGTCATTTTCTGCAAGAATCATAAAGCCAATTCAAACAGTGTATGTAAAAGAAGGAAATGAATTGGCTCACAGAAAGTCCAGGTACACCTGCACACAGGCATTCAGATGACAATGTTAGCCTGAGTGCCTCCAGCTCTCAGGTCAACCTCCTCCTCTACATTGGCTTCATTCTCAGGTCTGTGGTGGCTTCCAGCAGCTTTCCTCAGGCCAGTGCAGCAATCCCAGCTTCTAAGGAAGGACAGGATGCTTCTCCTTCCAAATACTTTCATGGAAGTCCCAGGGAGGATTGCCTTTGATCAGCTTGAGTCATATGCTAAACCTTCTATCAGTCACTGGAGGTGTAGAGGTGGAGACACCCTGATGGGATGGTTGCTTGCCTTTGGAGTGCAGGGTCTCTGCCAGCTCTTAAGAAGAAGAAGGTTAGCCAGGAGAGGGTCTCACACCTATAATCCTAGCACTTTGGGAGGCCACAGCAGGCAGATGACTTAAGCCCAGGAGTTCAAGACCAGCCTGGAAACCATAATGAGACCCCGTCTCTTTTTTTAAATTAAAACAAAAAAGAGGACTGAAAGTGGGGGAGGAGTCATTCCAGAAACCAGTATACAGCCACCCAGAAGTCTCTTGAGAAGGATTTGCTGTGTCTCTGATAAAGAGAGACCCTCCTTGAATGACATCTTCCTGGGCTGCAAGGTAACTAGAGAAAACAGACTGATTCTCACAAGTTTACCCTCCTAAGTCAACTGTGAAATCTGGTGGTGTCCAGCAGGCTGGGCCCCATCTCAAGGCTGACTTAGAAGTGACAACTTTACAAAGTTTTTATGGGTAGCTTATTGCATAATATCTTCTATCAAATTTTCCCCACCTGTAGCCAGCCTGCTTCTGTCATGGCCACAAATGAGATCCTCTGCCGCCCAGCTAGGTCATGAGCAAGGTGGGGTGTCTTGTCTGTTTTCACAGTTCATGATGACACAGGTGGCACCATCCCCATGTTAGGCTGGGAAGTCAGGCAGCCACAGCTTTCTCCCATCAAGTCCTGCTTGTGTTCCCTGTGCCCGTCATCCCATCACCTGCGATTCTGTGAGGTTCCATAGCCTTCTGTTTTCCATACAATGCTTTGCTTTGGAAACGTTGAAGTTTTCCTGTAAATAACAGAATACACAACAGGTGCATTCTAGCATCCTACCTGCACTGCTTCTCCATAACTTACTATGCAGCCTCACTGGAGGTCACAGGAGGGTACAAGGATGATCATTTCACTCCTGTTTTACCACTCCCAGCTGGTTGATGGGATGCTAGTTCCCCTTAAACTTTCTGAGATTTCAGAGATTCTTAGTACATTCCTGCCTTTTAATTTAAGGGGCCCTTATTACAAGGGTGTAGACAGCCCCAAAGCAAATGACTTCAGAACACACTCTGTTTCGACATTAGTGTTGCCTGGGATATTCAGAGCTCATTAACTTCCAGGATGATGTCACTCTGTGTTAGGTGGGCATGCGAGCCCGTGAGGCATGGTTTAGGCCGTTGCACTTGGACAGTCCTCTCTGCAGCACCCACTATCTGCGTTTCAGGGCAGCACAGTTCCTGCGGAAGATGGCAGATCCCCAGTCTATCCAGGAGTCGCAGAACCTTTCCATGTTCCTGGCCAACCACAACAGGATCACCCAGGTGAGGGCAGACTCCTTGTTAGGCCTGGCCTGATGTCTCGGGGTTATAGGCAGGCGTGTAGAGGTTGGGTGGACCACGAGCCCAAGCAGACAAGCTCAGTCTGCAGCTTCCATCTCCACTGCCCTACTTGAGAGTGAAATGTAGCTGAGGACTTAAGTCTGTCCTCCCAACCCCAGGTGGCCGATTCACCCTCTCCAGTTGTCATGCTCGTGAAGCCCTCTCAGCCAGTGCTCTGACCCTGCATCAGGGTTGAGAACGTGGGGTCTGGAGTTAGGCAGCCTTGTTTTGTAATCCTAGACCACCACTGACCCACTCTGTCAGACTTGGGGCCAATCTAAGCCTCAGTTTCCTCATCCGTAAAATGGGTCTGTTATTTTGAGAATATTATGAGAACCCATCTCATAGGACTGTTGTGAGAAATAAATGATACCAGTATATGAAAAGTCCTTAGCATGCAGATCCTGACAGATGTTCAGGGCCTAGGAAGACATAGCTGTTATTGCTGCCGCTGCTTTGCCAGGGTACACCCCTCAGCTGCCATTTTCCCATTTTGCCCAACATAAGCAAGACAAGCATAACTGTCACTTCAGCCTAAACAGTCTCTAGCAAGAATATCTGCAGGACTCAGGCCAAAACTGAGGGGATCCTCCATCTTCCAAGGGTGTTCACATTCAAATCCATATCACGGAGGCCCTTGGGTTGACAGGGCCCTTGCCACTCTTTGTTAACTGCAGAAAGCTGTTCAGTAACTGAGGCCTCAGGTTTTCTTTCTCTTGCCTGTGGGAAGTACCAGCAGTGCCCTCCTCTGCATACCCTGCAGGGGCCTGGTTGGTCCCTTTGGAGAGAAAGGGCCTAGGGTGGGGACCTCAGACCCTTCTCTAATAGATGTTTTTCTACTGCTGTGTCCTGCCAAGAGGGAGACACCTGCCCCCCTCCCCACCGCCAGCTCTCCTCCCCTGGGTGGGGTTTTGCTGCCGTTGTCTGAGAAGACATCCTAGATAAGCCCACATCCTCCAAGCTGAGCTGAAATGACAAGAAGCCTATTGCTGTAAAACTGAGCTGCTTTTTAGCTCAGGCCAGGATAGCACTTTCTAACCATCAGAACTGCCTGGGAATAAAATAGGGGGTGAGTTCCTTGCCATGGGAGGTGTGCAGGAGTACTGTGGGGACATCAAGGAGAGGATTCAGGCATCAGGTGCCAGCTGGCATGCAGCCTCGCCTCCCTGGAGCTGTGATTCCTGGCCATCAGCGGGGACCACACCGGCCAGCTGTAGGGCTTCTGCAGGGGTGCAGGTGAGGGCACAGGATACATGCGCTGCCTAACCTGAGGGTGGCGCTGCTGTTCAGTGTCTCCACCAGCAACTTGAAGTGATCCCAGGCTATGAGGAGCTGCTGGCTGACATTGTCAACATCTGTGTGGATTACTACGAGAACAAGATGTACCTGACTCCCAGTGAGAAACATATGCTCCTCAAGGTAAAACTCCCCTGAGGCCGCACCCATGGAGCCTGGGCTTACCCTCTCACCTTCTTCTTATTAAAAATCCGTTTTAAAAAACAATGTTTCTTTTTTCTTAAACATTGATACAGATCTTACGGCACATAATGGTTTGTAACCTGTTCCTTTCCTGTAATATAATATACCGTAGTCACCTTTCCAGATGTCATTAAGGCTATTTCTACAATGTTATGTGTAATGACTGCCAAGTATTCTGTTGTATTGGAACATTGTCATGTAACATATCCCCTGTGGTTGGATATTTGTTTGCTAAACTTCATTGAACACCCTTGTAGCAGTTTTTGTGCACATCTTTTTGTCAAGGCAAACTTCCTAGAAGAGAAATTGCTGGCTCAAAGGGAAAAACAGAATAAATCTTTTTTTTTATTTCAATAGTTTTTGGGGAAGCAGGTGGCTTTTTGTTGCATGGAAAAGTTCTTTGCTGGTAATTTCTGAGATTTTGGTGCACCCGTTACCCAAGCAGTGTATGCTGTACTCAAAGTGTAGTCTCTCACCCACCTCCCTGCCTTTTCCCCAATTCTCCAAAGTCTATTATATCATTCTTATGCCTGGGCACCCTCGTAGCTTAGCTCCCACTTATAAATGAGAACATACAATATTTTGTTTTTCATTCCTGCTGTTACTTAGAATAATGGCCTCCAACTCCATCCAGGTTGCTGTGAATGCCATTATTTTGTTCCTTTTTATGGCTTAGTAGTATTTCATGATGTATATATATAACACATTTTCTTTATCTGCTTGTTGGTTGACGGGCATTTAGGTTGATTCCATATTTTTGCAATTGTGAATTGTGCTGCTATAAACATGTGTGCAAGTGTCTTTTTCATACAATAACTTCTCTTCCTCTGGGTAGACACCCGGTAGTAGGATTGCTGGATCAAATGGTAATTCTACTTTTAGTTCTTTAAAGAACCTCCATACTAGAAAACAAAATAAATCTTCAAGCTTTTGCTACATTTTGCCAAAGTGATCACAATTGTTTCATCAGTTCACACGTTTCATTCCAGAATTGTCATATGTATTGTTTTGGAAAATCTGGAATATACAGCAAAGCATAAAAAAATTTAAATCTCTCACAATCTCTTCACCAAGAGTTAACACTTTTAGCATTTTCTTTTCCAAGGTGGAGTCTCATTCTGTCTCCCAGGCTGGAGTGCAGTGGCACAATCATGGTTCACTGCAGCCTCTAACTCCCAGGCTCAAGCGATCCTCCCACCTCAGCTTCCTGAGTAGCTGGGACTACAGGCACATGCCACCACACTCAGCTATTTTTTTAAAAAATTTTTTGTAGAGTCAAGGTCTTCCTATGTTGACCAGGCTGGTCTTGAACTCCTGGGCTCAAGCAATCTGCCCGCCTCGGCCTCCAAAAGTGCTGGGATTACGTGCATGAGGCACTGCGCCTGGCCTACTTTCAGCATTTTTATGTACGTCCTTCTAAGTTTTTTTTCTATGCTTATATATTTTCAAAATTTGCAATCTGCATGACCATGTATCCATTTTATCTCATGTGACTAAATTTATTTGGCTATGTTATGCTGCTGTGAAATAATGTGATTTCCATAAGCCTTCCTTAGCCATTATTCCATTGTTAGCTTAGGTTGTCTCTAACTTATGCCCCACAGCTGTAGCACTGACATGAACAGCCTTCTCCCATTCTTTATACACGCTGCAGAGCCCCTTTTGATTCTGTCCCAGATCCTCACCTCTCAATGTTCTGGTGGTTTTTCCTTTCTTCTCCTTCAGTGTCTCTCCTGCTATTCTGAGAATCCCAGCCCTGTGTTGGTGCTCCTGTTTTACATGTCTTAGCACCTCAGTTAAGTTTGCAGGGCTGAGTGGCTTTGAGACTTGTTCACTCTGGCTTCGTCCCAACATCAGAAATCCGGAGAAGCCACTCACAGTTCACATATCCCTCTCACCACTGGTGCTTTGCCTGGGTGATTGCTGTAACTTTCCACAAGCTAAGTCACTACCTACCAGCCCACCAAGTAGTCTTAATGCGGCCTTCAAATTCTCCAGCCCCCCATACCCGGACTTCCCTGCCTTCTTCCCTCTCTGTTCCCCACCCTCTTCAATCTGGCCTTCACATGGTTTTGCCACATGGTTAGTTTGTGTTAGTGAACTCAGATGCCACCGTGGAGCACTGTCTGCTCTTATGCAGAAAACGATGAAGTTCATTCTGCAGAACAAAATATACCCACAGAGTGGCTCACACCTGTAATCCTAGCGCTTTGGGAGGCCAAGGCAGGGGGATCACTTGAGCCCAAGAGTTTGAGACCAGCCTGGGCAACACAGTGGAACACCATCTTGACAGACAAATACAAAAATTAGCCGGGGGTGGTGGCGTGCACCTGTAGTCACAGCTTCTTGGGAGGCTGAGGTGAGAGAATCGCTTGAGCCCAGGAGGTTGAGGCTGCAGTGAGCTGTGATCATACCACTGCACTCCAGCCCGGGTGGGGTGGGGTAGGGAACAGAGTGAGGCCATCTTAAAAAAAAAAAAAAAACCGGAAATGCACCCACAGAGGAAGCAACCTTAGCAGTACCCTGCTCCACCCTGTTCGTGTCAGATGAGAAATAGAGGAATGGAGAGAAGTGACTTTCTCATGGTCACACAGCTGCTCAGGCCCCCTTCTGCATACATGTTAAAAGGAGCAAAACAAGCCAGCATTCAGGAGACTATTAGAAGGGTTGGAATCAAGAATGTCAACCTACTCAGAGGGCAAATTCAGGAAGAGATTTTTTTTAAAAAATTAAAGTCACCAGCGGCTCCTTGGAAACATTTACATTGTCCTTTCTGTGGAGAAAGAGGTGGATACTTTCACATTCACTAACTGTTCAAGTATTCATCAGATGCCTGTATTGTGCCCCACCCTGGGATACAGCAAGGAGCTAGGAGTAGCCCTTTCTCTCAGAAAGATCTAAATGCGGAAATATTGTCAACAGATCCTGTTCAGCTCCTGTCTCTGCTGCTTCGCTGTGTGGCCTTGGCGAGCTGTCTAACCTCCCTGTGTCTCTGATTCCTCATCTATAGAATAAGGTTATTGCAGAGAACTTGACTCAAGAGAAAATCATGCTTATTAAAGCTCTGAGCACAGACTCTGGCCCATAGTAAGGGCTGAAGAAGTAGCTGCTGTAGTAATACACTAAATTTCTGGTTGAAATTAGACTTACATTTCCTGCCTTTATTTGAAGATGCATAGATTTTCATAATATAATGTGTGTCTCTACAGGGTGTGTGTGTGTGTGTGTGTATGTGTGTGTGTGTGTGTGACACATATACAGACCTACCTTTTTGTTTTTAAACTTTTCCAGCAGATGTGATTAGTTTCTATGCTCTGCCCTCTTCTCATTCTAGGTGATGGGCTTTGGCCTCTACCTAATGGATGGAAATGTCAGTAACATTTACAAACTGGATGCCAAGAAGAGAATTAATCTTAGCAAAATTGATAAATTCTTTAAGGTCAGCAACTGGGGCTGGGGCTGGGCAGAGGGCTGAGGTTACCAGCGCCAAGATGTCTTTGGGGGAAAGGGATGAAATGAGCCAGAAAACTGTCAGGTTTTTTTAATTGAGCTGTAGCTCCAAAGATCCCAAGAGTAGGAAGAGGAGGAGAATAGAATGGCAGGGCCTCCAGCTGCCATTGATGGAGGCATTTATGCCCTAGAAGGCTGCTGCATGAAAGCCACACATCGTTCCAAGTTGCAGGATTCAGCTGGGATTTGGCTAGGAGGAGGCCCTGTGATTCTTTTCTGAATGCTGCTTTTTTTTTTTTTTCCTGAAGTCCCTTGTCACTTAAAGAGGTACATCCCAGAAGACAGCACCTGCTCTAATTTCCAGTATAAATCAGAGCTCGCAGAAGTAGAATGATTAAAGACTGGATTTTAAATTGGTTCACATTTGCAAAATCACAGCCTCTCACCTGGTACACCAGGGACCACCTCAGCTTGCCCTTACCTCTGGATAGAATGCCTCAGCAACGTTCATCATATACTCACTGTGTTTCAGTGCCTCTGAGAGTTGATCTTTTGGCCACAGATCTTTAAAAATTTGCAGTTAAACTAAGCCTCTTAGAATTTTGCAAAGGAATCTTACACTTTGGAATTAACTTCCCATGTTCTCAGTTTATTCTAGCATTGGGCACTGCCGACATGGAGCAAGCCTGAGAGGTCAGTCATGGGAAAGCCCAGATTAATATTCACAGCAGAACTCAGTGGTGTGACATGGAGGGCATTAGATCGAGCCTGAGTCCCACTGACTCTTCAAGGTTAAGGAAAAGGAACATAAGTCACTAAGAGGAATCCTGTGCCTTGGCTTTGCTTGTTTTCAAGGGTGGAACTTTTACTTTTCTCTAGAGTTGCCCCAGATGAAAATAGGGCTCATTTTGGGAGACCCTTGCAAAATCTTCCCTAAGTCAGCATGAATGAGATGAGGGTAGAAGAGAAATACAACCTCTCCCTTGGCAGGCCTGGGTGTAAGTCTGGCTCTGCCACTTAATAGCTGGATGACGTTGGGAAAGTCACTAAATCACTGAAACTGAGTTCCAAGTCTGAAAAATATGAATACCAAGGGTATCGGCTCTGTAGCGTTCCCTGGAGGATTCAGTGGGGTTACATAGATGACTCAGAGCCCTGGGTTGTATAATCCTGGCTTCTTGACTTCTAGCTGGTCTGACTTTATGAAAAATCACTTAAGCTGTTTAAGCTTCAGTTCTTCTTCTCTGAAATGGGAATGATAATAGTGCAGACTTCACAGGGCTATTGTGTGGCTTGAGATACTGTTTTTAAAGTGCTTGGCATAGTACCTAGTGCATGAGAAGCACATAATAAATACCAGCCTCCCCGCCATTTGCCCTGGTTTTTGGTCGGGAGTTGTTTGCCCTCTGGTGTTAGGTATTATTACGGTTTTAATTGCTTTGAAAGTACAGACTTTCTCAGGAAGACCAACAGCGCTCAGACACCTGCTTCTAGCCTAGAAATCATAACAGCAAGGATGCTTTAAGCCAGGGAAGATTCGAGTGGAAAGGACCCTGCACTGGGCAGCCATCCATCCAGTCCTTGGCCTTCACACATGCTGTTGGCTAAGTGACCTTGGACAAGTCACTTTGCCTCTCTGGGCTCCGTTGCCTAGAACATAGAGTTGGTTGGAGGCAGGGGAGGACCTATACGCTGGCTAGGGCTCCGTTTGGCTTCAGAGTCACATGGTAGCGTCATCGGAAGCAGAAACTAGGGGTCGGCCCCCAGGCACACACAGAGGCCTGCCTCCCACAGTGGGGTGGCAGCGAAGGCAGCCACCCCAACCCCTCCTCAGCATCTCACGAGCTGTGTTTGCTTCCTTTGCAGCAGCTGCAGGTGGTGCCCCTTTTCGGCGACATGCAGATAGAGCTGGCCAGATACATTAAGACCAGTGCTCACTATGAAGAGAACAAGTCCAAGTGAGTGCCTGCCGTAATGTCTCTCGGCTCCCGCAAGGATGCCCAGCCCGGGCAGAGAGCCGAGGGGCCACTTCAGCCCCTCCTCCCTCCCCAGATCCCTGGGCAGGTGGATTCCATCAGAACACAGGTGCCGGCCGGAGGGGAGCCGCGAGGGTGCTCTGAGCCCTTTTGTATCCGCCCTCTGCTGCCAGCTTCAAAAGGGCTCAGAGCACAGCCACGCCCCTTGTCCAGCCCAGCAGTGACTCGCATGTCCTCTCAGCAGGACAGCAGGAGTCCACCTCGTTCCCTGAAGAGTGGCCAGCCCTCAGTGGTCCAGTGAGGAGAGGTGGCGTTGTTCCTCCTCACACTGATCCTCTCAGGTTAGGTGACCGTGCGCTAAGTCCATCGTGCAGTCGACGTGAATTGGGTGGGCAGCCTCACCTTCGGCCGCTTTATAAACCACAATTCTGGGTCATCTATGCAAAGGCCTGGGGTGTCAGTGCTTCACTGAAGTTGGGGGGCTCCAACCTCTGCTGCTCTTTTGGTCTCTGAGGCTGTTAGGGAGGTTCCTTCTGTGTGCTTCTCGCCCGAAGTTATGGCCTCTCCACACAGAGGGGAACCAGCCGTCCTTTAGTCAAGGGCGAGTGTGTTGGCATCTTAAGAAGATATGAATGGAGTGTCCTTGAACTGCATCCGCCTGGAGCCTCTGCGAACAAGTGTCCAAAGGAAAGCTCATGTAGTCGCTTCATCACCCTCTGGCTGCTAGCGCGTGACGGGGTTTTGCAGGAAAAGCAGGGAATGGAGAATGCTGAACTCATTCCTCACTTTTCCCTGCCTGACTTCTCGACCAGCTGAAGCTGGCTGGGAGCGGAGGCTAGGGAAGTGACTGGGGTTGGGTGTGAGGGGCCGTGTGCTCCCCTCTCCACAGGTAACTCTTTGAGTGATATTGAAGGGAGGCCTGAGGAAGGCTGTCACTGTTCTACCATTCTTGTGAGAACCATATCAGGGCTTCTTTTGAAATAGTAAATTCTCCCCAGAATCTTTCTTCTGCCTTGTCTGGTGCTCATGCTTCATCTGTCTGCTGGGTCACCAGCACCTGAGGGTAGAAGAGGGTGAAGGGAGTGGTCCTTTTTCTCTTGGGGATGGAGAGTGAAGATGTTCATTCATTCATTTCCTCTCTGACTTAGGATGGTTTTCCTAATGACATCTTTTCACAAGGCGTGGAAAAAAGGCGGAGGGAAGGAGGAAAGAGGGTGGAAAGAGAAGGAGAGAAGGGGGCGAGAGGTAGAGGGGGTGGGTGGAGGGAGGGGCCACCCCCACGTCTCAGAGTGGCCCTGGCTTCTCCCACCACAGTGTGCTTCCATGTTGCCAGGGCACTGTTGGAAAAGAGGCACAGTCACATTCATATTTCCGCAATCCCAGCCCAAAGGCCCCCCAAAGCCAGCTTCAACCGCAGAGTGTCTGTGCTGTCAGAGTGGGTAGGCTGGTTTTGGAGGTTGCCCACCTTGCTTTTTCTGTGCTCAGATTCCATCCCTTTGTAGTCCTAGAGAGGCTGTGTTCCCGCCCCTCTCATATTACTGGTAAGTATTATGGACCAGGTATCTGGAAAGGCCTACAGTTGGATCCTAGATGAGGCTGGCACCAAAGAGGAGGAGGAAGGACTGTTCCATTAGGCCTGAAGCTCCCACAGTGTTGGACTTAGCAGGCTTTCTTGCTGAGGCGGCTGGGATACCATTTGGTGTCACCCAGGGGAGTTGGCCACGTGGGCTGAGCACCAGGAGCAGCTAATGCCTGTTCCACCCAGGCGCCTGAGGCTGGGACCCTCTCCGACCCCATAATTTTCTACCCAGGTGGACGTGCACCCAGAGCAGCATCAGCCCCCAGTACAATATCTGCGAGCAGATGGTTCAGATCCGGGATGACCACATCCGCTTCATCTCCGAGCTCGCTCGCTACAGCAACAGTGAGGTGAGCATGCAGGCTGCTGGGGCACAGGCCCGTGGGCCCAGGGCCAGAAGGGGTAAGGAGCAGCCAGGAAAGAACATGGACCCACGGAACACTGGAGAGTAGAAGGGAGGGAGGCAGGAGGGTAAAGTGGCCAACAGCAGGGGTTTTGGAGCCAGGCAGACTGGGGTGAATTCTGGTGGTGCTGCTGCCCTTTGTAAGTTATTCAACATCTCTTTGCTTCAATTTCCTCATCTGTGAAATGAGGGTGATAACAGTATCTATCCTGAAAGGTTCATTGAGAGGATTAAAAGATATGGCAGATAATAAGGGCCTGGTGATGGTTAGTTCTGCCTGTACATGATAAGTGATGCAAACCATCTCCAACCTGGATGGCAAGAAAACAGAACACTCGTACTCATAACGCTACCTAAATGTTTTAAAACTAAACAGTAATAAATGATCATTGTAAAAAAAAATCAGTAATATACTTAAGGGCAGATAAAGGCCATAAAAATCTCCACTAATCCCAATAATTACATTTCATTTAATTTTTCCTTTTTTAAAAACTTTTTTTTTTTAATGGAGACATGATCAGCGCACAAACCTCAGGAAAAAAACCCAAATAAGCGAAAGGAGAGAAAATCACATAAAATCCTACCATCCCAGAACCAACTAAGACTGGTATTTGGATATATATATATCCTTCTGATACTCATCCCATACGTACCCTCCTAATAAATGAATATGCTGTTTGATAAACACTAATCCCCTGACTCAGATTCCTTTATTACATAGCACTCGTGGGTGACTGCGCACTGACCCACGTATGCTCACTGCTTCCACCATGTGGCTAACAGCCATGGTGACTGTACTTTCCAAACCCCAACTCAGGAGATGCCTTTGATCACAGAGCAACGTACCTGAAATGGGGACTGTCTGACAAATGCAAGGCCTCGTGGCCATTAGACCATGACTTGTGGTCATTAGACTTGTGGCCCACAGGGACCAAGGTCAAGCCCAGAACTTTAGCTTTCTAAATATATGTACCAATCCGTTGAACTGAAGTTACAGGAATAACTTATTTTGAGTGCTAGAGCTCTTTTAAAAATTTTTTTTAATATTTTATTTCTTTTTTAAAAATAGATCTCATTATGTTGCCCAGGCTGGTCTTGTACTCCTGGACTCAAGCAATTCTCCTGCCTCAGCCTCCCCAAGTGCTGGGATTACAGGCATCAGCCGCTGCACCCAGCCAGAACTCTTAATTCCTACTCTCATTTTGGTGTGGTCTAAGAATGAGTCTGGCCAAAGATATTTTTTAAAATTATATGCTCTATACATGTTGAGTCTCATTATTCACAGTAGTTCTGTAAAGTGGCCATGAACTCTGAAGTAGCAAATACTGAATCATTGCTCCAAGGAGAAATCAGAGTTACAGCCCTGTGAGCCTCTGGTCACAACATTTTCATCAACTGATCCATATATAACCTTGTTTTATATGTGCTTCTGTTTAAAGACACTTGATGTGATCTCTGTTGTTGATTCATTAACGCATGACCAACAGAACTATAACTCACACCTGAACAAAGCTTATCTAGAACACGTATTTTTTTTCCATAAGGCATGTTACAGCTTTCTTGCACAGAGGAACGCTATATAGCGCATTAGCCCTAAGCTTGGGGGCCATTTTAAATTGAACAATTAGAGTAAAAAGCACAAAAATATAGAAAACATGGCACTAAGTAGACTTCAAAAAAGACACTTGTTTACTGTATGAGAGCTGAAACAAGAAGGCAGAGTCACTTTGTCCGACTTCAGCTGGGAGTGGGTGTATGTCTGCAGATGACTGAGAAATCACCATGAGTGTTGATTTTGGGGTTACAAATAAATTTTAGCCAGTAAGGGAATTCACAAATACAGAATCCGCCAATAATGAGGACTGGCTGTATATGTATATATGTGTATGTACATATATACACACAGTATGTTTGTGCATACACACATATTCTGTATCATTGTGGAATATTATATAGATGTTTATCCACTGCCTTTCAATCAGTGATTCATGTCTAATGAGTTGTGAAATCAACTTAGTGTTTGTGATTAGCATTTTTATATAAATATAGACTAGAAAATCAGAAGGAATCCCATATATTAAGAGTAAGATTGCTTTGTAAAAAATATTGTTGAGGCTGGGTGTGGTGGCTCACGTCTGTAATCCCAGCACTTTGGGAGGTTGAGCCAGGAGGATTGCTTGAGCCCAGGAGACCAGCCTGGACAACACAGTGAGACCCTGTCTCTAAAAGAAGAATAAAAGAAAAACATATTGGTGCATACATAAATTTAATATCTCTATGTAGGTATATGTTCCTGAGTTACTATATCGTGTGCACTTCAGTAATTTATAAACCTTCAGTGATTTATAAACCATGTGGCCTTCAGCAAGGCACTTGTCTGAGCCTCAGTTTATCTGTCAAGGGGATGTAATAATAGCACTTCCCTGCAGTGTTCTTGGGGGAATCAATGAGATAACATATAAAAGTGTCAGGCACATAGACCATGAGTATGACACCTGATGCTCCCCAGGTGGTGACGGGCTCAGGGCTGGACAGCCAGAAGTCAGACGAGGAGTATCGCGAGCTCTTCGACCTAGCCCTGCGGGGTCTGCAGCTTCTATCCAAGTGGAGCGCCCACGTCATGGAGGTGGTAGGTGTCTCTGGGTAGAGGGCCTCACACTGACCTCTCTTTCCTTGGAATCTGCCTCCATCTCCCCCTAGCACTCTCTTTTTAACAGATTTACGGAGTTACAATTCACGTACCATACGATTTACCCATTTAAAGTATAAGTTCATTGGTTTTTAGTATATCCGCAGAGTTGTATAGCCACAGTCAAATTTAGAACATTTTCTTGACTTCAAAAAGAAACCCTGTGTTATCTCCCCTCCCATCTCCCTAGCCCTGAGCAATCTGCTTTCTACCTCTATAGGTTTCCCTATTCCGGATGTTTCACATAAATAGAATCATATGATATGTGGTCTTTTGTATCAGGCTTCTTTTCTTTTGCATACTTACAAGGTTTTTCATGTTGTAGCATGAATCAGTACTTTATTCCTTTTTTCCAGCTGAATAATATTCCATTGCATGGATCCACCACATTCTGTTTGTCCGTTCATCAGTTGATGGACGTTTGGTTTGTTCCCACTCTCCCCAGTACTCTTGGAAGCTGGTTCATCCCACAGACAAGTTCTGCAACAAGGACTGTCCTGGCACCGCGGAGGAATATGAGAGAGCCACACGCTACAATTACACCAGTGAGGAAAAATTTGCCTTCGTTGAGGTAGGTGCAGACTCCCTGCATCTCCCTCCCTCCCCAAGGCTGCAGCTCATGGTGGTTCCTGAGTAGTTCTGAGCAAGAAAACAGCATCGGTTGCCCTAATTTTCGTGCTCTTCCCTGTCCTACCATCTAAATTAATCCGTCAGAAGTTATTCTGCTACTCAGAATTGATTAGAAACTCATTCTGTTCTTAAAAATCCAAAGAAAAACATCCATTCCACTGGAAAAAAAAACGGGCACAAAGAAACCAACAGAAGAAACAAAAGAAAAACAAATGGCTACAAGAGGTATGAAAAATGCCCAAACTGGTCAGTGGTCAGAGAGCTACAGATTGGAATAAGATGGGATACAGTGTTTACCATCAGGATAGCAGAGATTTGACAGCTGGATGATGCCTGTTGCAGGTTAAAGTGCAGGAAATAGACATTCTCATGTCTTTAGTGGTCAGTCTACATTTTGTAGGCTTTCTATGAGAGCAATCTGATTATATGTACTCATGTTTTTAATGTGCATACCCTTTGGTGAAGTTCTTCTTCTGGGACTATATCCCAAGGAAATAAGCCAACTGTGCAGAGATATTTGTACATGGATATTTATCACAGTGTTGTTTATAATACCAAAATATATGAAACAACTTAAATGTTCTTCAATATGGAACCAGGTCAATAAGTTAAGATTCAGCTATATCATTGCATGCTATGCAGTCTCTAAAAAAGGTATACCATGGCTCACACCTGTAATCCTAGCACTTTGGGAGGCTGAAGGGGGTGGATCAGTTGAGGTCAGGAGTTCAAGACCAGCATGACCAACATGGTGAAACCCCATCTCTACTAAAAATACAAAAACAATTTAGCCAGGCATAGTGGTGTACACCTATAATCCCAGCTACTCAGGAGGCTGAGGCAGGAGAATCATTTGAACCCGGGAGGTGGAAATTGCATTGAGCCAAGATTGTGCCACTGCACTCCAGCCTGGGCGACAGAGTGAGACTCTGTCTTAAAAAAAATAAATAAATAAAAAGTAAAAAAATATACCTACATGGAAGGCTATGCTCAGCATATTGTTAAGTTAAAAAAGAAACAATTAAAGAACAGCATATCTGTAGTTTTCATGCAGACAGGGAAGATGCAAAAATATATCTAGAAATAAATATGCATATACACATAAATGTGGATATTTTTAAATATGTAAAGAAATATGTAATATGTCTAAATACGTATATCAACATATAAAAAATAAAAATCCAAATATAGACATTTAGACCAAAAACAGAACAGCATATAAAATGATTCCACTTATACCAAAATATAATATACTTTTATATATTTGTGCAAAACTGAAGGACATAAATATTTATGATGTATACCAAACCATGAACAGTAGTAATTTCTGGAAACAGGTCTGTCTGATTTATAACCTTTTGTATTGTGTTTTGTTTGATTACAAAATGATGTTTCTATTTGGGAGGAAAACTCCTTTACACTAGGTTGTGAGTGACAGCTATTTCTTTGAGGACCATTTGACACCTACAAGAGACGAATCTAGAAATCAGAGACCTGGATCCCAGCCCCGGGCCCTCTGGTCACTTCAGCTCTCAGAGCCTCAGATTCCTTATCTGTAAAATGGAGCTAATCAACCTTCCCCTGCCCCATCCCAGGGTTATTGTGGAGAATCAAACAATAATTGTCAAGTAAGATAATGGATGTAGATGAGCTCTGAAAACTTAAAGGGCCATACAAATGTAAGAGATTAGAGTCGTCATCTCTCCAAGCTTCACTTTAAAGGACTGAGGCTCGGTGGCATAATTTCATAATCACACTTGACATTGTCCTGAGTGGCTCCAGACCCCTTGGCACTTCTATTACTAATGGGCAACCTGGAAGAAAGTTTTGCAGTCATCACCAGAGGACAAAGTCATCCTCAAGCCTATTTAAAGTGAGACAGTCAGAGGGTAAATGCAACTTTATAAAACTATTTATGCACTTATTTCCTTAATAAAAGGGATGCGTATGCACTGTAAGTGATTCAGAAGATGCTCCCGCAACCCACTTCTACCTTCACCTTCCCACAACCTTATATCGTCATCCAAGCACAACCACCAAGAACATGTCACTCTATTTCCATCTAGTCATTACTTTGCTATACATTGGGAGGTTTTATCATTTTTATCTCATTAATAAAACATGTTTAAAAAAATTAAAAAGAAAAGTAGTTCAATGTGGCCTTTAATAATAAAACAAAGCAAAAGTAGTAACCTGCCTGTACCATGTTATTCCATTCTGAATCCCCAAATAGGAAACACCATTCAACTTGTTAAGCGATTCCTTGTGGTATTTATCTCCCTAGTTCTAACAGGCTTATGAGACTATTTCTTGGTTTTTCAGTTTATGACATTTTCTATTGATTTTCTACTTTGGGAAATGAGGATATAGCTCTCTCCTTCCTACCTCCCATCCCTGCAACACACCTGGTTTCCTTCCCCCATCTTCCCATCGTGGTAATTTTACACTTTTTGGTAAAAATCAATGGTTACCTTATTATTATTATAACCAAGTAACTGTTGTCCATCACTGAGCCACACGCTCTAATGTGAATCCATTTATTTTCTTGCACAACTTTTTGTTCTTCATAGAATTAGCAATACTGTATTTTTTATTTTGTTTTCTATGAGTCTATCAAAAAGGCAACCCCAAACCTACCAACAAAATGTAAAACTCCTTACAAAATAGTCCATCACAGTCATCATTTGATGAGTTTTGGTATTATTCTTTTTTTCTTGGAGGCATTCCTCCACAAGCTCTCTTCTTTCCAATCTGCATGGGTTTGTCTCTAGACCAGCCCCGCCACTGATCCAAGATTCTCCTCATTATTTATTATCTTGGGAATTCCCTTTACCTCTGTCCTGTCCTGTATCCCATTCATATATCTTCCTCTGTGAAGTATTGAGATCTTTTGCCCATTTTTAAAAAATCGGGTTTCTGTCTTCCTATTATGGAATTGTGAGAATTCATTCCATATTTTAGATCACAAGTCTTCAGTCAAATATATGTCGCAAATATTTTTTCTCATCAGTGACTTTGCCTTTTCATTTTTTAAGGGTGCCTTTTGAAGAGCAGCTGTTTTTAATTTTGATGAAGTCCAATTTGTCAGTTATTTGGTGGTTAGTGATTTGGGGGTTTCAGCTAAGAAATCTTTGCCTTGTCTAGAGTTGTAAAGATTTTTCCTTTAGATCCAACAGGCCTGCCCACTCCTCTGTATTTGGAGCCATTCTGAGACATCTTCATTATTTACTCCTTCCTTTTTCCTAATGTCTCCTAGTTATATCTGTAGCCAGGGGCCCAGATTCTGTTATGATCTAACAGTCCTCTAATGCTTCTCTCCCATTATTTCTCTGCACTAAAGCTCATCACCAACAAAATTGTTGTACTGTTGGTGCCAATGAAAACCATCACCTCCTGAGTTGTTTTCATACCAGTTCTATCTAAAAATGTTCTTTTTCTTCCTTTAAGTTTTAGAGAAAAAAACAGCCTTAGGGTCTGAGCTCATTCATTCATTTATTTGTTCCTTTTCAACAGAAAATGTGTCTGCCCACCATGGACCCAGACACTGGCAGTTGGGCGTGCACAGCATAGCTGGGCCCTGTCCTGTGTATTTCCAGTCTGGTGTAGAAGGTGGAACATGCCATTATGGGTGTGATCTGTGTGGCAGTTGTGAGGTGGACGATCTGCCACATGCCTTTCCCTCTGAATTCTGAATCAATTGAGAAATTAATATTAGAGGCCAATGGAGTCAAAGGCTCAGACTTACTGCTGGTAAAGCTAGACTAGAGAATGTGGTTTTCACCCAAGGCCACACCAGTGTTCCTATGCCTCCTACATCTCATTAAACTTGCCACTAGGTAATAGGCAAAGCAGCTGCATAGATACACGCCTCCCTTCCTCGGGATGGGCAGGGGATGGTTACTGCAAGAAGCAGCCAGAAACCTAGAAGGGAGGCCACATACTTGCAGGCAGGCAGGTCCCAAAAGAGCGAGCCAAGGTCAGGCCAGGCTCCTCTCATCACACGTGCCTGAATCCCCATCTCTCCAAACAGATAAGTGAGTTAGGGTAAGGAGAAGGGAAATAGGGGAGTAGAGGCATTCTCCCCCATGACTTCTGCAGGAGAAGTTTTGATTTTATAAACTCAAGCAGCAACTGGCCAAACGGTTTCAAAAACAAAGGTTGTAAAAATTCTTTAGAAAATTTTATGTTAAAAAAGTTCTATTTGATGTTGTCTGTGAGTGCCTGGTCTATGGAGAGGCCTTCAAAAGCCAAGGCACTTCTCAAAATGCTCAAATTGTGGCCCATGGGCCAGCTGCTATTTGTCAGCAGTGAACAACAAAATTGGGAGCTCATGCGAGGATGAAAATCAGTTGCATTGCGAAGAATGCTGTTAGTTGAGCTGACATTTGTGTTTTGTAGCAAGACTTTCTCAATGAATGAAGCCAAGTGCTGATATACGTACATTCTGGCACACATCTCTTACCTAGCCATGCGCTGGCACTTTGAGTAGCACTGGCCTCATGCCTCTGGACATCTCACTCCCCGCCTCCCCTGGCAGGGCGGTGATGGGTAGTAGACAGCTGGTGTGCTGGACATGGTGAACATGACCCTTGGCCTCTTCCTGCCCAGGTGATCGCCATGATCAAAGGCCTGCAGGTGCTCATGGGCAGGATGGAGAGCGTCTTCAACCAGGCCATCAGGAACACCATCTACGCGGCATTGCAGGACTTCGCCCAGGTGACGCTGCGTGAGCCCCTGCGGCAGGCGGTACGGAAGAAGAAGAATGTCCTCATCAGGTGGGTTTTCAGATGCCTTCAGGAGCATATCAGACATAAGCATGCCAGGTACCCATCAGAGAGGATGTCCTGGCTCAGCCACTGAACACACATGGGTCCTTCCAGCAAGCTCCAGAGGGCTCTTTAGGAGATTGGGCATTTGGGATGAATTAAGCCTTCATCTCTAGAAGTCCATATCCACTGCTATCTAGCTGTGTGAACTTGGTCAGGTTGCTGACCTTCTCCAAACCTCAGTTTTCCTCATTTGTAAAATGGGGATTATAATGCTACCTGCTGCCTGTTGGGATGATGAAATGAGATGGTCCATATATAGACCTAAGCACATGCAGCATGGAGTAAGTATGCAGCACATCTAAGCTATTATGAAAACTAAGCACACACAGATTTCATAAGACCGGTGAGACTCCCCTATAACCAGAAAGGAAATACAGACCTCTTGCCTCACACAAGTTCTGTCTCACTCGATGGGCTCAGAGCTGAGTTCTCAGACATCCCTTGGACATCAGAACCATGTAGGACACTTGTTTAAACACAGATTCCTGGACTGTACCTTAAATCTGTTAAACCAGAGTTTTGGAATTGGGGCAGAAATGAGCATGCTTTACAAGCACCCCAAGAATTCAAATGTGGGTGTTCCTGGGACACCACGGGCCCTAGAAACACAAGCTTGTAGTGACGTTTTCCCATGGTGAAACCTGGTCTAAGTCTTAGTTCTTCCTTCCCCAGCGTCCTACAGGCAATTCGAAAGACCATCTGTGACTGGGAGGGAGGGCGAGAGCCCCCTAATGACCCATGCTTGAGAGGGGAGAAGGACCCCAAAGGTGGATTTGATATCAAGGTGCCCCGGCGTGCTGTGGGGCCATCCAGCACACAGGTAAGCGGCTCCAGGCACAGGCCAGCTGCGTTGACTCAGAGGCCAGCCGGGCTATGGTAGATCATCATGGCTGGCCATGGGCAGTGGGACTGGGAGCCGTCGGTCAGGAGGGGCAGGGTTGAGTGGCTGCTCCGGTCTTATTCTGCCATCTTGTTTTGATATAGGAAGGAGGACCACTGGCTTAAGATTCAGGAGACCTGGATTCTAGTCCTAGATACCTGTGTGACCTCGGGCACTTTACAGATCTCTCTGTGCCTCAGTTGTTTAAACTGGCTAATGGGGATAATACCACCACATCCACCTTGCCTGGCTATCTTCTAGTCCTATGAAGTATAGATTCCAAAGTGGAGGAGGAGGTTAAAGTGGAATCTATCTGCATGCATCTATGCTGCCCCTCTTTAATAAGTCCTGGCCCTTTCCCCTAAAAGTTCTGCCTCTGACTTGCTGTGTGATCTTGGGCAAGCACCTTGAGCTTTCTGAGCTCTGATTATCTTCTCTGTAAAATGAAAACTTTGGATGAGATTGTGTTACTAACAAAATATTCCTTAGTTCCACATCCTTCCAAAAGTGCAAGTATTGAAAGCCCTTGTCCCCTTAGAGGAAGTCTAGTATTTGGAAACACTCAGAGTTGCCAGCCAGAGCTTCTGCACAAGAGGTCGCCCGTGGCTTATCCAGAGCAGTCATAACGTTACAGAAAAAAAAGTCAATAATCTGGGCATCTTCGTTAAATCCCTGCTACCTACTTAAGGATAGGTAGTTTCTGGTAATATTTTTGATGTACTGGAAAAAGCAGATGGTTCTCATTGCAAGTTTAAGGGTCTCACAGGCCTCACTTCCCATGACCTTTAAGCCTCTCTCTGTTCTCAGTCACCCAAGATGGACCATCTGAGGCCCACCCCCGACCCTTCTCCCTGTGTGTGCGTCTGTGTCTGTGCTGGGGGCTGGGGCAGGGGAGAGGTGGGTTCTCGGCAGGGTCATCTTAACTCCCCTTGGCTTCACAGCCCTCTGCTAGTTTGCACCAATCTCACCGGCTGGTTGTAGAACGCCCCAAGGAAGCGTCTGCAAACAGTTCTGTGTAATATCAAGGGTTGAGGTCCGGGAGACACTGAGCAGGGCTTTCAAGTGTTTCTGTAAATTTTAAGACATGAGTGAGCAAGAGACAGACAAGGCACAAAAGACACTGGAAAGGAGGAGGAGGGGACTTAACAGGCAGAGAGAAAAGGAGAGGAGAGGAAGGAGTATTTGTGTAGATAATGTGAGAGGGGTGGGTCACCAGCAGTAAATCCCGCCTCACCCCCAACCTCTACCAGGTCATGCTAGGTGGCACAGACATGTTGAATAGACTCGTAGACAACCAGAGCTGGGAGCGCTATTAGAGAAACCTAGGCCCTCCCCCTCTCTTGCGGATGGGGAAACTGAGGTCTAGAGAGGGGAAGTGACTTGTCCAAGTCACAAGGTGAGTCCCAGGTGGAGGTGGGACAAGAACCCAGGTCTCCTGACACCCACCCAGGGCTCTGGTACGGTCTTCAGGACACAGTAGACATGGGCATCTTGCATAGTTGGGATAGAGACTGTTTTGGTGAATTAAATGCTCTGTTAAGTAAAAGTACGTGGGAAAAAAGTTCACCTTCTTATGGGTGAAACCAGTTTTCAGAGAATTAGAGTTGGATATCAACTGGACAGCACCCACAACAGATTAGACTTGGATTCTTCCTTTGAGGACTTGAGAGGCCGTCATGAGAAGAGTGCTTCTCGGCTCCTAGGGATGGTGAGACAGGCCCTCCAACAGGGCTGCAGATGGGGGACTGTCTGAGGCACTGACGGCCACTGTGGCTGCTTTCCCACAAAGGAAGCCCTGTGGCAGGGATGGTGGGTCACACGTTTCTGTGGCTGCTCTACCCGCATCAGTGCCAGGCATGTGATGGGGGAGATCCCAGGGAAGCTCCAGAGGCAGCGAAGACGAACGCGGTTGCTGGGAGGTTGGAGTGTCTCAGAGGTGGCCCCCGGCAGTCGCGGCGGCTTTCCCACCGTATACAATACCTCTTGCTTTTCTCTCTCTCTCTCTCTTTCTCTCTCTCCCTCTTCCCTGTCTCTCCTGCCCTCCCATTCCCTCTTCCTTCTCTCCTATCTATGTCTTAGGCCTGCCAGTGGTCCCCGAGGGCTTTGTTTCACCCCACTGGTGGCACACAGGGCCGAAGAGGCTGCCGATCCCTGGTATCACACCGCCTGGCTGGGTTGGTTTGGGTACCCTTCTCGAGGAGGCAGCAGGAATGGACTAGCCTGGCTCCTCAAGGCCCCTTCCAGCCCTAAGATTCACAGACAAATGATGTGGAGAGATCTAGATTAGCAAAGAGAACCACCCCACCGCACTTGCATCCTTTGCACTTAAGGCACCCTGTAAGCGGGAGTTAATTGTCTAGTAGCCTCCTGTGTAAGTACCAATGTTAACCCGCCTTCCACCCTGAACTTCAGCAGGCTGTGCAGTGCAGCTGATGCCACCAAGGGGGCGCCATCGCTCAGCCATGGGGTCAAAACGCTGAGGGTCAGGAACAGGTGTGGGAGGGGGTTCGTTCTGATCTTATCCCATTTCTCAGTTCCTCAGAATGTTAGTGCTGAAAGGGACTGGTGTGAGAAGGCATCTGGTCCAACCCCCTCATGTTACATGAGACAACTGAGGCCCAGAGTGGGGGCTTTGTTGCCTAAGGTCACACAGCAAATCAGCAGCAGTGCCTGGCCTTGAACCCCGGTCTTTTGACTCCCAGTCCAGTGCTCCACCCATGGCATCTGTGGCCCTCTGGGAAAGCAGGGAGTGACTCCAGGGTGACACGTAATGAGGTTCTCCTCTGATATACACGCCCTTGGCCAAGCAGAGCAGGGAGCTACCTGGTGTGGCCAGGTCCACTGGCCCAGGGATGCCACGGGGCCCGGGTTGGCCATGAAGGTTTTCACAGTTCCACATTTATTTCTCAAACCTTAAACTGGTGCTTCCTTAGGACAGTGCTTTTTAAGAGCAGACATCTGCAGAAAAAAAAAAATACATAAATACAACATGAAGCAACCTTTTTCCCCGGGGTAGAGGGCCAGCTTCTGACCTTCTCATCTTGCTTTCTTTTTCAAGCTGTACATGGTGCGGACCATGCTTGAATCACTCATTGCAGACAAAAGCGGCTCCAAGAAGACCCTGAGGAGCAGCCTGGATGGACCCATTGTCCTCGCCATAGAGGACTTTCACAAACAGTCCTTCTTCTTCACACATCTGCTCAACATCAGTGGTGAGCTGCATCCCATCCCTGCTAAGGCATGGGAGGAGGGGATGAGGGCTCTCAGAGCCGCTAAGACCACCAAGCCAGGCATTGCAAAGGGACGTGACCGTTGACCCTAAGGGGCACATATCACCACCAAGGAAAAAACACATACACTTTCCAGTGGGCTTTTGGAGCTAGGAAAGGCCAGGTTCAACTCAGCTGTTCTGACTTAGCTAAATTTGTCCAGGAGATACTTGTGGCTAATTTGTCATAAAGTCCTTAGTAGAGCGGGATCAAAAACAAGAATACGTACATACAGACACACGGATGCTAGACTTTTGCTACTCAGCCGCAACCAAGCGCTAATTAGTACTTGCTGCTGCCAGCAGGGGAGGCTCTCGAGCTGCATCCCAGTCCTGTGTTCTTCACACTTCCTCTCCTTTTAGTAAGATGTATGTCCAGAGCAGAGGAAGAGTAGTATCTCAGGAACATGAGTCTTCATATGTCTGCTGGCATTGACAAGAGTGATTGTAACAAACAGTACAAACTTCTCCATTAGAGAGTAGCCCGGGAAGGGCCTTCAAGGTCTCTAAACTGTATGGGATCTGGCAATTATCACACGCGAGGAGTCAAGGAGCCACAATCCAGTTGAAAGTGGGCACTCGGGGGCCTGTCTTGACACTGTGTTTGTATAATGAACACACTTTTTTTTTTTTTTTTGAGACGGAGTCTTGCTCTGTTGCCCAGGTTGGAGTGCAGTGGCACTATCTCAGCTCACCGCAACCTCCGCTTCCCAGGTTCAGGCTGGAGTGCAGTCGTGTGATCTCAGCTCACCGCAACCTCTGCCACCCAGGTTCAAAGAATCCTTCTGCTTCAGCCTCCCGAGTAGCTGGGATTACAGACATGCACCACTGTGCCCGGCTAATTATTTATTTTTTTAATTTATTATTATTATTATTTTTTGGTATTTTTAGTAGAGACGGGGTTTCGCCATGTTGGCCAGGCTGGGCTCAAACTCCTGACCTCAAGTGATCTGCCTGCCTCAGCCTCCCAAAGTGCTGGTATTATAGGCATGAGCCTCTGCGCCCGGCCACGAGCGTACTTTTCATGCTTAGGTTGCAGGTTTTGTAGGAGAGTGATGGCTTTGTAGGAGAGGGATGGGAACTATAGGGGCATCTAAAGCTCTAAAACATCACTGCCTCCTCTTCTCCCCCACCAGCCCACAACCACTGCCTCTCAAGCTTAACAAATGCTTGAGAGGCAGTAGATGTTAGGCTTGCCTTTAAGTAAAAGAGAGCAGGATCTACTAATCAATATTAGTACCTGCTACATACCTAACACAGTGACAATAACAATGAAAATTAATAAAAACAATGAGAACTAAGGTCTTTTAGTTCTAAAAGTAACCAAAGGCTCGTTCCCTTATGCTTTCAGAAGCCCTGCAGCAGTGTTGTGACCTCTCCCAGCTCTGGTTCCGAGAATTCTTCCTGGAGTTAACCATGGGCCGACGAATCCAGTTCCCCATCGAGATGTCCATGCCCTGGATTCTAACGGACCATATCCTGGAAACCAAAGAACCTTCCATGATGGAGTAAGAGGCAGGATTGGGCCAGCAAGTGGCTCCTGGGGTACAAGTAGAGGGCAGTTTGCCAGGGAGATCCGTTCTTTCCAGAAGGAAGCACTGAGTTGACAAGAAATGAGGCCATATGTCCCACCACAGGGAGAGCTCAGCCAGACAGAATCATTTAATTCAGCCTTGCAGATAAATTCTGAAGTTTCCCAGCCCAACTGCCCTTCCTATGCCTTGTCAGCCTCATAACAGCTATGCTCAGAAAAGAATCATCTCAGGAGCAGGTAGCTTGTATTCTTAACTGCTACCTGATGTGTTTTAGTCCCAAATGAATTTTTACAAGTCTTGGTTTTATTTGCACCCTGGACTTTTTCTTTGGACTGACTGTAAAGTAAGTTGCTTCTAAGCGGTGGAGGCTCAAGGAACGTAAGAGAGGGATGAAAGATGGTCTTTTCCTGACTGTGAACTTGTTTCTATTTCCCAAGCAAGTATAAAGCTGTCTTCCTTAAGGGGGGTTATTAGCAAGCGGCTGGCTGTGTTTTTCCCTCTTCAGGTATGTCCTCTACCCTCTGGATCTGTACAACGACAGCGCCTACTATGCTCTGACCAAGTTTAAAAAGCAGTTCCTGTACGATGAGATAGAAGCTGAGGCAAGTGATGTGCTTCTCTTTTTGCTCCTTTAATCTTGTTCCAAATTCCGGACTTTTCCAGTCTTTTGCTATTAGCATGAAGTAGGAGTATCAGTGACTTGTTCTGGAGAGGAATCTCTGTAACCATGGCCATCAGAAGGCCTGTGTAACCTCTGAGGGCAGAAGTACAAACTGAGACACCCAGCTCAGGGCCTGCTGCCTTTCTCTTCCCACCCACAAACTCTGTGCTGCACCATGAAGGGCTTCATGTGCATGTGTATAAATACCCAAGCTCTGCCTGCCAACTCTGCTCAAAAACAGTGGCCCTTGGCTAGACCTAAACCCTAGGGTCACACACACCCATAGTGGAGTCCACCCTCAGAGGGGAAGCCAGGGAAGAGAGCACGTGGCCCTGGAAGAGGCTTGAGCCGCCTGTAGAAGGCTTCTCAGAACTGGTTCTAGAAGGGGAGAATGGGGCCTGAGTGCACACGCCCACCTTGACCTTATGGATTCTTTGCCTGGAGGGAGGTCCGCTGATGACCCTTGAAGCTCAAAGTGCAGGTCAGAGGCCTCGGTGACCTGGGTCTGAGGAAAGCACTAAACACAGCGCTGGGGTTTTGTGTTCTGCATACCACGTAGGGTGTGAGATGAAAGATCTGAAAGCTTTTTGAATCATTAACCTTATGGAGCCAAGAGTCTGGTGAAAAAAGGACCAAAGGTTAATCACATAAATATTAAACATGAAAGACTTAAAATATTAAATCTGACAGTAAATAGGATCTGTTTCCTTTGACTCTTACCTAGCTACTGCCTTTGCCCCATCTCATGGTCATGTCCTGCTCTTGCCATTTCTGAAATATTTGGTTTGATTCTTCATGTCTGTGTGAATTATCTTCCCACCTGAGCATCACAGTCTATCACTGATGATGAGACCCTGAAATGGCAAGACTTTATTCATTAAAAACCAAAGTTATGTAAGCAAAGTTTGAAGGAAGGCGCTTTTAAATGTGACTATCAACTTCATAAACAAATTTGTGGCCACATGTGGTGGCTCATGCCTGTAATCCTAGCACTTTGGGAGGCCAAGGTGGGTGGATCACCTGAGGTCAGAAGTTCGAGACCAACCTGGCCAACATGGTGAAACCCCGTCTCTACTAAAAATACAAAAATTAGCCAGGCATGGTGGTGGGTGCCTGTAATCCCAGCTACTTGGGAGGCTGAAGGATGAGAATCACTTGAACCCGGGAGGCGGAGGTTGCAGTGAGCCGAGATCACACCACTGCACTCCAGCCTAGGTGACAGAGCAAGACTCTGTCTCAAAAAAAAAAAAAATTGCAAATCAAAGAAAAATACAATGAAAATAACATCCATCTGAAGAGATGGATGGGGAGGCTGCCGAGTTAGCGGACGAATTTGAGCACTGATGGGTTCTGACAGTCTGTCTGTTGCATCCCTCCAGGCAGGCGGCCTCGAAACAGCTGAGGAGAGGGGCCGTGGGGAGATTGGGTCCTTTTTGAACTTTGACTTGTCTGTTCACTGACTGAGGACCCTGAGAGCAAGGGACCAAATCTCCCAAACTTAGCCACAGAATATTTTTCCCCTTCAAAGCGTCTTTCCCCAGAATGCACTCTGGGCAATCCTGCCTGACTGCTGTCTTTCAGTTGGCTCAGTTTCTGTCATAAAGCTGAACGGGCACCAGTGATGTTTCCTGCTTCCTCTCCACCAGGTGAACCTGTGTTTTGATCAGTTTGTCTACAAGCTGGCAGACCAGATCTTTGCTTACTACAAAGCCATGGCTGGCAGGTAGGAAAGCCCCAGAGCTGTGAGTAGCAATCTCTTAAGACTGCCACCTAGAAGACATGATTTTCTGTTGTGAAACCTCCCTTCTTCTTTAGCACCTTAGGAAAACAGAGCCATTCCACGGACCCGGACTGGGTGCTGAGATAGAGTGGAAAGGAAACTAGGCAGATAAAGGGCTAACCTCACACAGCCTGCAGTCCAGCAGGAAAGACAGACATCGACTAAAAGCCGATGAATGCACAGTGACAAGGAGGTTACATGCTGTCTGTGAGGGAAAAGCTCATGGGAATGTACGATGGTTAAACCTTTGGGGGCGGGGAACTAGAAAGGCCATCTTGCGGAAGTGGCATCTGAGTTCTTATCTGAAGTTGGTAGGAGTGAAGGAAGTAAAACGAGGTGAAGGATGGGGCAGGACGTTGCAGGCAAAAGGAACTGCTTGTGCAAGGACCCTGCGGTGGGAGTATGATGATAACAGCATGCCAACTTCACAGGGCTGTGGGAGGATTCCTGTGGATTAATACATGTCAGTGTCTCTTCACCACCACTAGAGGGGGCAAGCTGCATGCTAAGGCTGGGGAGTGGGCAGGGCCAGAGCACACCAGCTTTGTAGCTGTTTCTCCCGGGAGTGGAATGCCTCCGAATGGTTTCAAAAGTACAACCGTGACCCGATTCGATTTTTATTTACTTTTGAAAGTTTACTCTCTTAAAAATATAAATGTATGGAGAATGAATTGGAGAGGAATGGGTGTGTGCAAACCAGACAGGAGGCCAGTGAAGAAGTCTGGATCAGAGATGTATCAAGCTTTAGAGGCTCCTTGGTATTGCCAGTATATGTTGATTCAGACCCTCGTGAGTTCTTGGGTTTCAAGGACCTGTAACAGCATTGATCGAGGAAAACCTCAAATTTTATATATAGGTATTTCCTTTCTTATTGGAAATCCAAACATACCAACCAGTAATTTCAAGGATAGTTCCTTACTTTAATAATTTTTCTATGAAAAGGATTTGCTTCATTTTGCTTTTAACAGCCAAAGTAGCCCTGATATATTTCAAAGAGGAGTTGATGTGCAGCACACACAAGTGTCTGTTAACACAGGATGTGCATTAAATAACGCGACTCTTAAATGCTGTAAAGTATTGAAAGCATGCACGTAGGATTTCAAGGAAAGCAGAGAACACAGCCTTTCACAAAGTAGTCAATAGGCATCTGTGGATTGAATGGGATGTGGTTCTAACAGTGAGTTGAGTTTCTGGCTTCTGTAAGACAATTCTGATTCCAAATACACTGTTCCATCATCTATATAAACAGACTCAGGCGTGTCGAACCCTGGGTCTTCCTTCTTCAGACATATGGGCTTTTATCTACACCCTTCCCTGTAAGATCAGTGATTTTTTAAAGTGTGGGAAGTTGAGGAGGTTGAGAGATTCAGGGAAAGCCCAGGAAGAAAACCATGAGCTAGGTCAGTCCTGTTCATTCAAAATGCCATGTGGCCACAAATATGAGCCAGAGATGTTATTTTAAATTTTTTAGCAGACATATTTTAAAAAGGAAAAAGAAGCAGATGAAATTAATTTTAATAATATATTTTATTTAACCCCACATATCCAAAACATTATAATTTTGACATACACTCAATATAGACATTATTAGAGATTTTTCATTCTTTTCTTCTAAGTCCTCAAAATCCTGTTTACAGCCCATCTCAATTTGGACCAGCCACATCTCAAGTGTTCAGTAGGCACATGTGGCTGGTGGCTACTACTTTGGACAGTGTAAATATAGATGGTGTCTCTTTCTTGCGTAAAACCTTTTGGTGCCTTTTAGTTATGTCTAGAATACACCTAGCCACTTTACTATGGCCTGTGTGGCCCTACCTGGTTTGGCCCTGGTCTCATGTTATAAATTCATTTTGCACCATGCTCTCCAACCTGCACTATACTTTATCCACACTGGCCATCTTTCCTTTTCTTAAATGTAACCAAGCTTGTTGTGTAAATGATAGTGTTCCCTTAGATCTTTCCAATTTTATCATTCAGGTCTCTGTTTAGCAAAACTTCTTTAGAGAGACTTTGGACTTCCTAACTCCAAATGATCCCATTTTCTTATTTTCAAAGCACTTCTCCTCTGCAATCCATGCCTCAGTGTGAAAGATAGTAACACTCTCAGCTCATAGGGTTGTGGTGAGATTTAAAATGTGTGTGTGTGTGTGTGTGTGTGTGTGTGTGTGTGTGTGTGTGTTTGTGTTTAAAGTGCCTGGGAAATAATAAACACTATGCAACTGTTACCTATTATCTGAAATTATTCCATTCCTCTGTTTGTGTTTATATTATCAGTCTTTCCTCACTCGAATATAAACTCCATGAGGACAGGAACTTTGTATTCCCAGTACCCAGAATGTTTCCTGGGATACACCAAGCAGGCACTCAATTGCTTTTGCAGTAAATGAATAAAAGAGGAAAGTGGCTCAACTTCTGTGTTGCCCATCTTTAACTTAGAAACTCTGTTTCACATATTGAGCTTCTGTGACTGAAAAGAAATTTGACGTAACTTGTCTAGAGCAGAAAACAATTTTACTTAAGTTATATAAGATAGTGCTCTGTGGGTAGATCCTATGATCTGAAATAGATGTATCTGGGCAGTTGAGAGTCATTCACAATCTGTTTACTGGCCTTGTTTCACTTTTATTCCTTGCAGTGTCCTGTTGGATAAACGTTTTCGAGCTGAGTGTAAGAATTATGGCGTCATCATTCCGTATCCACCGTCCAATCGCTATGAAACACTGCTGAAGCAGAGACACGTCCAGGTATGGGGAGCAGAAGCCACCTTGGAGATGGAAGGGGCAGGAGAGAGCAGCTGCGAAGTTAGCATAGAGATCAGAAATCAGGCCTGGGTATTGTCTGCCCGGCATGTTGCCAGTGTGGATTTCCGAGCCTGGGTGTAGCACAGCCTCAGGATCTCATAAACAATAAAGAGGCATTGGGCTTCCTTTGGCTCAAGTTCTGGGCTTCTCCACCCATCTATAGCCAACCTCTGACAAGTTATGGCAACCAAAGCCTTTGTCTTCTCATCATAACCTGCAGCCCACTTTTTTCAGCTGGGACTGCCACTTAGAGATGGGTAAATCTGTCCCTGAACAGGGCCCAAGTGCCGGTCTAAGTGAGGAAGACTGTGGCGCCTTTGAAATGAAAGCATGTCAGGGCAAATCCACGGTAGAAATTGGGTTTTTTGTGTGCAGAGTTGGTTTCTATTAACATTTGACCCTATATGTAGAGGAGATGTTGCTGGGAACTGAGAAACATCCCCATTTAATAATATTAATGTGAGGCAGACAGACAGCATAAGAGATGCCCCAGCAGATGTCGAGCCCTCCTCCTACAGCCCTGCTGTTGGCCAAGCGGGTGGCAAAATGGCCTTTATGCTGTGACGTCTGTGTGCTTATTATGTGGTCCTGGTCTTTGTGAAAGGGCCAGGCTGAGGCTAAGATCATGCCAGAGGTGAAAAGGAAAGAATTCATCTCAGAAACCCTGGACATTCCCATTACTATGAGAAATCCAAGGGAGATGGAGAATCATTAAGAGGGGGGAAAAATAGAATTTGTACTTCTGTCAACAACAGGGGCTCAATGAGAGCTTTTCTTTCACCCTTTCAGAAGATTACTGCTATCGGTTACAATGCAGCCAGAATTAGCCACAGGATATTAAATACTGAGGGCTTTATGTGTGCATAAGATGGCTATAAGGGGCCCTGGTCAGTTGGTAGAAAATTGATGCCAAAAGAGAAGTTGAAAAATAAAATAGTTAAGAATAATCATTTGACACCTAGCAAAGTGCTGTGGACACAGCAGGTACTCAACAAATGTTCATTGCTATCTACATAGCAGCTGCAGTAATGCCCGCGTGTACCCCAGTGGAAAGTACCTTAAGTTATATTTTCCATTCTGTAATCAGACCTTCATCCTCTTGCTTTTAAATTTTCCCTCATGAAGGCACAATGTGGGCCCTTGCTGAGGCAGCTGCTGTGCCCTGGTGACTGAATTGAGTGCAAGAAAGATGGCAGAAAGAACCCCAGGGCTAAATTTGGGATGTCAGCAGAAACACTTATGGGAAGCCAGAGCCTACCCTGAACCTCTTCCCACAGCCTGAGTGAATCGTATTTTTCCTAAACTTCCTGTGTTTCAAGCCTACAGGGAAGTTGAAAGAATAATACGATAAACACTTATTTATCCCCTAGCCAGATTTGCAATTATTAATGTTTTACCATATTTAGTTCACATTCTTTCTCTCATGTATGTATTTTCTCTCTAGCACTTATACAGTGCGTATGTTTGTGTGTGGGGGATGAATATACATACTTTTGTTCTTAACTATTTGAGAGTTTAAGTTGCCAAATCATGACATTTCACCCCTGAATGCTTCAGCCTATATCTCCTAAGAACAAGGACGTTGTCTTATAAAAACAGAATAGAATGATGATACTCAGGAAATTTGACAATACTACTTTCTAAATACAGTTCCCATTCGTCCCAGTTATGTCCTTTGTAATTTTAATCCAGTTTCTTATCGGTGCATGCACGTAGTTGTCAGGTGTCAGCGCGAATCTTTATTTATTTTTTAAGAGACAGGGTCTCTTTCTGTCGCTCAGGCTGGAGTGCAGTGGCACAGTCATAGCTCACTGCAGCCACAAACTCTTGGGCTCAAGCTATCTTCCCACCTCCAGCCTCCCAAGTAGCTAGGACTACAGGCGTACACCACCACACCTGGCTAATTTTTTTTATTTTTTGTAGAGACAGATTCTTACTGTGTTGCCCATGCTGGTGTCAAACTCCTGGGTTCAAGCTATCCTCCTGTTGCAGGACTTTTTCTCAGTTCAGCTAAAGATGGGGTTCTTGTCTGTCCCATGACCATGAAAAATTAGGCTTGCAGACTGTTTAAAGGGTAGGTAAAGCAGGGTTTAATTGGGTGAAAAGGGAAAAAAAGGAGGGAAACAGGGACTCTCACAAGGCCAGAGTCCCTCAGCTAGAGAGCTTCCCGCCAGGCCGTTGGAATCCCAGGTTCCACACAAGAAGAGGAGGGGCCAGGCTCCTCCCTGCTGCAAACATCATAAACTTCCCGAGGCTCCACCTCAATGGACAGGCTGGTTGGAGTTTCTCCAGGAAACCCCTCCCACCTGGCAGTCTCACTCCCACCTTGGTCCCCCAAAGTGCTGGGATTACAGGCATGAGCCACTGCACCTGGCCAGTGTGAATTTTAAGTAACTTTTCTCTCTCTCTCTTCATCCAGCTGTTGGGTAGATCAATTGACTTGAACAGACTCATTACCCAGCGCATCTCTGCCGCCATGTATAAATCCTTGGACCAAGCTATCAGCCGCTTTGAGAGTGAGGACCTGACCTCCATTGTGGTAAGAGTCTGGGAGCGTGTGGGATTTCTGCTCTGTGATTTCTCAGACTAGAAGCCTAGATGGGGACTGTAGTTAGTCTAGTGCTGGGCCAGTTAAAGAGGGGCAGTGAGTCTCTTTCCCATCTGAATGGAGCTGGGAAAGAAAAACTTACACAGAATAAGAGTAATCTTACGTTCCTGATTGCCTTGGGAACGATAGCATGGAGGGGGTCTCCTTGAGATTTCTAGAGATGGCCAACCCTCAGACACAGCTGCATGTCCTTAGGATCCTGCAGGCTGAGCAAGTAGGTGAGGGGTCCTAAGAAGCTAGGGAAAATTGCACAAGAGGGTTGGCTTCACAGGTGTGCAGTAGTATAAGGCCCAGAAGGGCTTTGCAGCTGGTTTACCATTCTGCTTCACTATCTTGAAATTCTTAAACAAGGGGGCCCCACATTTTCATTAAACATTGCACCCTGCAGATTATGTAACTGGTTCTGATGCACAAGCCTGGAATAGGCCTACTCCTTTCTCCCAGAAAACAGCAATTAAAACGACTCTCTGCTAATTCTCTCTCTTCAAGAATTAGAGTAAACTTGACTGGTTGTTCTTTCAGTGAATCAAAGGAAGATTTCAGTGCCTTCAAAAGCGAATGAACAGAAGGAGTGGGAAATGGAAAATCACCGTTAGAACATAATAAAAATTGTAGGCAAGATCTGTCAATGGTTGCTAAAATAAGTGGGCAGAACTTTGAGAAAAATACTGCATGATTTCTCTTATATGAGGTTCCTACAGTAGGCAAATTCATGGAGACATAGGGTAGGTTGCCAGGGAAGAGGAAGATGGTGTTTGATGGATACAGAGTTTCAGTTGGAGAAGGTGAGTTTCACTTCTAGAAAAGGATGGTGCTGATAGTTGCACAACCATGTGAATGTACGTAATGCCGCAGTACACCTACAAATGGTTAAAATGTTCAATTTTATGTACATCTTACCACAATAACAAAATTTTTTTAACCAAAAAATCTTTGAGAAGAAATAGGATACTTGCATAGTCTCAAAGTATCTCCCCCAAGATGTTTATTAATTACAAAGGGAAGAATGACTCTACAATGGAGAAAATTAGCAGACACCATCTTAACCAAGTATCAAAGTTAATATTACCAGTAAGACATATTATTGTTATCAACATATATTCTTGCCAAAATGCACAATCTCAATCTAATTATGAGAAAATATCAGATGAACCCAAATCGAGTTCCATTTAAAAAAAAAAAAGTGAATGATACTTTTCAAAAGTGCGCAGGTCTTGAGAGACAGGAAAGACTGAAAACTGTTACAAATTAGGAAAGAATAAGGGAACCTGACAACTAAATGCAACATGGAATCCTAGATTGAATCTTAGAACAGAAAAAGGACTTTAGTGGGAAAACTGGTGAAACCTGAATAAAGCCTGTCATTCAGCTAATAGTGTTGTACCAAAGTTAATTTCCTTCATTTGATGATTGCACTATGGTTCCGCCAGATGTTAACAGTGGGGAAGCTGGGTAAAGGATATGCAGGGTATGCTGTTTTTACAACTTTTCTGTAAGTCTAACATTATTTTTAAATAAAGTTGGTTTTTATTTTAAGTGGACAAAGTATAAAAATAAAGTGACAGTGAACTGGGACTCTAACATCATACCTAGGGTCCCAGTCCTCTCCCTGCTACTTACTAGCTGTGTGATCTTGTGCAAGTTACTCAGCTTCTCCAAGCCTGTTTCCTTATCTATAGAAATGGAGGGAATATCAGAATCCACCTCTTAGGGTTACTATAAGGATAAAATGAGATACTACCTGTTTTTTTGTTTGTTTGTTTTTGTTTTGTTTTCTTTTGAGACGGAGTCTTGCTCTGTTGCCTAGGCTGTAGTGCAGTGGCGTGATCTCAGCTCACTGCAACCTCTGCCTCCAGGGTTCAAGCAATTCTCCTGCCTCAGCCTCCTGAGTAGCTGGGACTACAGGCATGTGCCACCAGGCCCACCTAATTTTTGTATTTTTAGTAGAGATGGGGTTTCACTATGTTGGCCAGGCTGGTCTCAAGCTCCTGACCTCGTGATCTGCCTGCCTTGGCCTCCCAAGAGTCTTTTGTATACATAGTTAGCACTTAATAAATAATAGCTTATGGAAAAAAGATGAGAGAAAAATAAATTTGGGGCTGCAATGCAGTGATTTTGGGTGATTTCTTAGGGCTTGACCTACCCACCCACCTAAGTCCTGGGTCACTTACTCCAGGAGACTGTAGTACAGCACACATTTTTCTGAGAAATCATTTGGTCACCTCTATTTTGAGAAACAGAGTTATTCTTTATGCCAAATGGTTAGCAGTGATTAGCTCCAAGTGGCGGGATTTTTTTTTCTTTTTTGTTTATCTGTATCTTCTAGTTTTCCAATAATGAGCATATCTTATGGGAAAAAAAAGATTTGGGATATGTGTGTCTCCATGGCCTCTTCCCACCTGTCCAAAAGCACTAAATGTTCTTTTAGCTGGGAACAAAATCAAAACAAGCAGTGAAAGCCCTTGCTTATCAGGCGAGGGCAGTGGCTCCCCAGAGAACACCAGTTCCTGGGAAGCCCATGAAGAGACCTCAGGGAAGCGCTCTCCGATGGGTCTGGATGGCCCCTGCTCGCCCTGGCTGAGAAGCTTCTACCTCCTCCAAGAAACAAAATGAGGAATGAGCTCCCCTCAGCCTTTCCCTCCACCTGAAAAACTCCATTCTGAGATGGGGAGGCAACTTGATTCTGAGTTGGGAGAGGTTGCAAAGATTTGGGGAGTTAGTCACCCTCATTTTACACAGCTGAGCAAACAGAGTCTCAGCAAGACCCGATGCTGAAGTTGAGAACGGGCAGCCCGCAGGCTGTGTTTTGTTTAGGCAGCATAGTACATTTGTAATTTTGAGCCAATGTTTAACATTTGGAAGAAATCAAATAAAACTGCAGAAGCTCTGGCAATGCCAGACCAGCATTCCCAGATGGTAACGATTGCCCATAAATGACTAGAAGTTCCTGTGAGATGGGCTACACTTTCTTCAGCTTGCCACAGCCTCAGTGGCAGGCTTCATTTATGTGTGTGACCTACGAGGCCTCACTGTACTGAGTTTGAGACCTTTGCTCTCTCACTTGCCTGAGGCCACAGAGCTGGTTGACAGTTGAATGTGGTTAACAATCAGGTCTTCTTTCGTTGATGAGCTCTTTCTCCCACTACTCTGAAGTTGCCCACTGGGGTGTTTTACTGCCCCAGTTCTGTTTCTCTGTGTTGCCCTTTAGTAAACCAGCCTTGCTGTGGAAAAGTGTCATCCTCTTAGGAGACCCCTAAACTGCCCACATGGCTTTTTAAGCCTTTTCCATGCTTTGGTGCGTTGAGCCCTGCATCCAGCTGGCACATGCCCTCTTCTGGTTTCAAGGCCAGAAGAACAAATCCGAAATGTGTTGCAGAAATATCGTCTGGGTTACATACTGTGCAGGGAGAAGTGGACCTGTGGTTGCAGCAGCCTCTGCCTCTCCTTCAGTTTCCCTTGTGAACACGGATGTATGTTGTGAGACTGCTGAAGTCACAGAACGATAACACAGAAATTGTTCCCCAGCTTCTCAGTTGTCTTCCCAGTAACAAGGCACCACAGTGTGCCAGGGGACTCAGTGATCTTAGAAATAAACTCAGCGCCACTTACTCCATGTATTTTTTATTTATTTAGTACCCATCCTAAGTGAATCAGAATAAAGACATATTCCAGCTAGCCAGGCCCCCAAGAGACAGAATCAGAAAGCTGATTCTGTATTTCCGCCCTTCATTTACTTCATGGTACACAATGACTGGAAACTTATTCCTCCGATGCTGTTCCAGAATTGAAATTCTGACCTTCTTTTGAAAAATTGCAGGATTTGCCATCACTAATCCCCCACTCCAACATGGCAGCGGTCAGACGGGGTATCAGAAGTAGCAGCTCCACCTTTACCTGGGCAGGGACATCCAATTTGCCATAGATGGACCCACTCCCCAAACTTTCTCTTCACCCCAGTTGATCTCACTTACCTGACCTGTCTGGTCTCTTTAGCCATGTGTGTTTGCAAGCCTTCAACCATTTCTGCACACTTCAACTTAGAGCCACAGAATCTGAGTTTCAGAGAGGCAGAGCTCCAAAAATTGGAAGCATAGCCTGGGATCTCCACCTGACCATGCTCTGGTCTCCATCTAGGGGTCTTTGTGGCTAATGAGAATGAAATTGAATCCTTGGCATGAGGCTGCCTCCTGTGGACATATTCCAGCCATTACAGCCGACCCTATGGTCATCCCACCCGGCCATGCTCTGATGAATTGGCCTTGCCGATGTTCTTTTAGCCTTTATGCTGTAAAGCCATCTTTGCCTTTCAAAGGACTTTCACAGCTCTTGCATCCTTGTTCCAGGGAACTGTGTCACAGGGACCAAGAACACATGATTTGGAATAAGGAGACTTGGATTCACATCCTAAGGCCTCTTATGGTGACCTTGGGCAAGTTACTTAACCTTCAGGGCCTCAATTTCCCCTCTCTGAATGAGGGACCATTGTACCGATCCTAAAAGATGGCTTAACCAAAACAGCACAGGAGTGGCCTAAGGTGCTTTCTGTCTCTACATAAGACTGTACTTTGATTCCTTTTGATAGCAGTGGCGGGGAAGTTGCAGGACAATGAGAGTCCAAAGCGTGTTGAAAGAGTTACACTCTTCTTTCATTTCCCAACAAATGCCATGTCCTGCTGTGTGCAGATACTCTGTCCCACTTTGCCTGAAGATGGGTTTCCTTCGTTCAGGGCCCACAGTGCACATAGATCCCGGTCATCATGAGCTGACTGCAGACTGCAGACTGCTTGCCCATGGCTTGTAGCCACGCCTTTGCCAACCCCATGTGATACCTCAAGGGGCCTACACTCCAAAGGATGAGGCATTCTGCTCCCACCTCTTTTTAAAACTTCTATAGCAGTTAGAGCATATAGTGGTTAAGAATGTGCACTTGGGAGCCCAGTTTCCTGGATTTGAAGTCAAGTTACTTAACTTCTCAAAGCCTCGGTTTCCATATGTATAAAATAAGAATGGCAGCAATACTGACCTCATAGGGTTTGATAAGCATTAAACAAGTTGACACATATAAAACTGGCACATACTAATTTGGTTGAACCAGGCAAAATTGCCAATATTTGGCCCTAAAAAACAAGTAACGTCATAGGGTTCAACCTAATAGTAAACCCTTAATTAGTGGTAGCTCTTAGTATTGCTTTTTTCTCACCAACATAGAAACTGGAAAGCAAGTAAGCTTGTTCTCTACCCAAAAGGGATTTGCACATGGTCTATGGTCTCCTTCCAGGGGGTAGGCGTGCAACCTCCCCTTCCCCTACCTTGCCCTTAACCTTCTGGGCCTCCATTTCTGTCAGCGTAGTCTGACAATCCTTCCACTTCTCAGAAGGGAACCTTGTCACCTGCTACTGTAAGGGTCCTAGTTCCCATGTAGATGGCCAGGAGGTTGTCTGAGCAGCTGTCACTTGCGTGAACAGAAGCAGTAAGATAAAACACACACATGTAATGCTTACAAGCAAGTCCTCAGCAGTTGTGGGCTCTCTCTCTGTACAGGAGCTGGAGTGGCTGCTGGAGATTAACCGGCTCACGCATCGGCTGCTCTGTAAGCATATGACGCTGGACAGCTTCGATGCCATGTTCCGAGAGGCCAATCACAATGTGTCCGCCCCCTATGGCCGTATCACCCTGCATGTCTTCTGGGAACTGAACTTTGACTTTCTCCCCAACTACTGCTACAATGGGTCCACTAACCGGTAAGGGAGTCCCTGTGCAGAGGGGGCCGGGTGGGGGTTGGGGGAGTGGCCAGCTGCCTCCTCCAAACTAGGCCCAGTACATGTGTGAGTGGTTCCTGCAACAGGTGTCTCTCAGAGCCCCTCCTGGGCACAGGCTTTGTGCTGTCTCACTTGCCTAAGGTCATAGAGCTGGTTGACAGTTGAATGTGGTTAACAATTAGGTCTTCTTTCATTGAAGAGCTCTTTCTACTGCTACTCTGAAGTTGCCCATTGGGGTGTTTTCCTGCTCCAGTAAAACATGGGGCATGCCATGGTGAGCAGATACCTTCCTGCCTCTTGAGTCTTCAGACTAGAGGAGGATGTGGGTGATCAATCACATGACAAATGTACCATTACAAACAGTGAATAAGGAGATGAAGGAAAGCCCACAGGGCCATGACAGTGGTAACAGTACCACCTATTCCAGTCCAAAAAGTCATGCAAACCTCAACGGAGGCTTCCTCTTTGAGGAAGTAATGCTGGAGTTAAGATGCAAAGGATGACTAGGAATAAATAAGGCAAAAAGGCAGGAGAAGAATATTCCAGACAAGTTTCTAAGGGTTTCTCCAAGAAGTTGATGAGGGTAAAACTAGTCGGGTGGGAAATGGTGCTGTGAAAGATAACACAGGAACAGATTGTGCAGTACTCTACAGGCCAGGGCAGGATCGTGCATTTTTATTAACCCTGAAAGAGTTTGAGGAAAGGAGATGACATGATCAGATTGTATGTTTGTAAGGATATCCACGTATCTGAAAGCATGCCTGCAAAACAGCATACATTTGCAGAGCACACATACGCATGACAAAGTGGAACTTGCCTCCTGCAAGGTGCACACGGCCCGGGGCCAGGCACTGAGGTAGAGACAAGACCTAATTTCTTTATCCCCACAAAGTTTCATAACCCAGTGGAAGAGTAAGGCATATATATTCACATACAAAATAAGTATGTAAGGATGCAAAAAAAATGTATTCATCTGCAGATCTTCTAGGTATCTCCAAGCCTTGGCTCAAGGCCAGTATTGAATGAGTGTGTGTTGAATGAATGAAAGGGTATGGGAGATATCCACAAATGCACCTGGATCCACACACTAAGTGAGATAGATTTCCAGTTCTATAAAGATTTAGGAGCTTTAACACTCTTGAGCAGGGAGCAGCAAACTGTGGCTCACAGGCCACATCTAGTTGCTGACTGTTTTTGTAAAGCCCATGAGCTGAGAATAGTATTCACACTTTTGGGTGGTTGAGGGGAAAAAATCCAAAGAAGAATAATATTTGGTGACAAGTGAAAATGATTTGTATTTGATAAAGTTTTATTGGAACTCGATCATGCTCATTTGTTTATTATTGTCTGTGGGTGCTTCCATGCTGCAACAGCAGAGTTGAGTACTTGCAACAGAGACCGTCTGGCTTCCAAAGCTAAAAATATTTGCTGCCTGGCTCTTTTGAGAAAGAGTTTGCTGAACTCTGCTCTTGAGAAACCAAACTGGAGGTAGAGGAGTGGAGCCCTAGAGAAAGTCCACTCTTAGTTTCTTGCCTAGTGTCATTCGGAGCAGCCACAAGCCCCTGGTTGAGCCCAGGAATCTAGACTGAATTTTTCCCATCTATAGAAAGGAGACGGCAGTTGAATGGGAAGATGTCAGAAGAGTTTAGTACCTTTATAGTCAACCACCTAACAAACAGTGCACTTGTACCAGTGCAAACCTTCACCTGGCCAGGAAGCACTCCTGTTATCTGTGTCCCATGGAGAATAATATTAGGACCATATTAACTCTTTCCCATCCCTATGCTTCTACTAGTTTTGTGCGGACTGCCATTCCTTTCACCCAAGAACCACAACGAGACAAACCTGCCAACGTCCAGCCTTATTACCTCTATGGATCCAAGGTAAGTAGTCCTGCCCTACCCTGCCTAGAAGAGGGTTGGTGAGAAAAAGCAAATAGAAAAGTGTCTCTTAATTAGAAGAGTAAGAAGGTGCAGAGATAAAGGCAGCAATGAGGTCAGGCACAGTGGCTCATACCTTTAATCCCAGCACTTCAGGAGACCGAGACCAGTGGATACTTCAGGCCAGGAATTTGAGAACAGCCTGGACAACATAGCGAGACCCTGTCTCTACCAAAAAAATAAAAAATAAAAAATTAGCTAGACATGGCGGCATGCACCAGTAGCTACTTGGAAGGCTAAGGCAGGGGGATCCTTTGAGCCCAGGAGTGTTATGCTGCAGTGAGCATGATTGTACCACTTCGCTCCAGCCTGGCTGACAGGGCGAGACTCTTATCTCTAAAGAGAAAGGAAAAAGGCAGCAATAAGATCCAGGCAGAAACAGCTGTGAGTATATGAATCTTTATTTGTTCACAAGTAGCAGGAATGGGGGCAAAAGTCTGGGTGCCGAGCAGGGAATGCATGAGGTAGGCAAGGGAATAGGGATGTGGGGCTTCTCGTCTTGGCTTCTCAGCTCCTGCTGTTTCTTAGTTGATTCACTGCAGTGTCGTCCTGTGATTCTGGGATTTTGTGCTCTATAGATATAAGAGGGTACTGGGAAGGTCTTGGATGATGCTTGGAGAGTACAGGCGTCTTCTCCAGAACAGCCTGCCTAGTCTGGTCAAGACAATTTTCTCAAATCAAGGGAAGCTGACTGACAGCATTTGAGGTGGTTCACAGACATGGCATTTAACTAACACTGACTCGCAAAGTAAAAACAGCACTTCCCTTTTCGATTCTCTTTCAAACCTTATGCTATATCAAGGAGAAAGACAAATATTGGTGCTAATATGTCTTTATTACCTCTCCAACACTGGATCTCCCTTTTTATCAAAGACAAGCAAGCAGGCATTAAGCTCAGAATCACTGGCAGGCAATAGAAGCTAAGTCAGATTATTTAATATTATCTTGTTTTCATGATGTTTATTCTTATGTCTCTTCCCTTCTGTTTGCAGCAGGAGGGTGCTGGTTTTTCACTTATGGAGTAATATAAGGCTGTCTTTGAAAATAAGTTTACGCTTAAAAAATGAGTCAATTTAAAGGAAAGTATTATTAATAATAGTGAAGATAATCCATGGTTTTAAAAAATAGAGAGCGGTGGTATGTGATTGCCTAAAAGTTGGAAAACACTCCAGAGCAAGGGTTCTCACAAATTATTTCCAAATAATCCCAAATTATTTCCAAATAATCCCCTCAAGGGCAGAGGAAACTGGACATCTACCTTTGCCCAAAAGTGTACCTCTGAGAGCCTACTTGTAACTCAAGTGTTTCCTTCAAGTGCTGTGTTTTATTTGTCATGCAAATTTTTGCTTTCTACTTTATAACATATCCATGTTTGTTTTAATGTTAAAACAATGCTTTCAATTCTTAACTGTGTCCTCCGAGTGGACGCTGCTGCTGAGATGCCTCGTTTGTGCCTTGGCATACCCTGGGGGATACATTTTCCAGCTTGAGAAGCTTTGTCATGGGGCATTCATCCAACCCAGGTGACCTACAATAGCAGTGACGTTTGATGGGAGAGAAATGGGTAGTCTATAGACACATTTGTACAAACGACCTACTGTGTGGAAAGCTTTAGGCTACATGATGCGGGCGCTCTCCTCCCCACTCTCATTCCCCACAATGAGGCAGTATAGCGGGTGGGTCACCACCCCCCCTCTGTAAGGCACCCGCATCAGGGGCATCCTGGTTGGCTTCGGGATCCAGTTCAGCTCCATCTCTGGAGTTCTTGCGTGGCATTTCCACCAGGGGGAGCCCCTGCAGGTCTTCCTCCCTCTGACCAAGATCCGGGGCCTCCTCTGGCCATCTCACCAACCCATTGGCCTCCTCCATGTGGCCAGCCCTGTAAGACCATCGCGGCTCATGGCAACGGACACACCAGAACTGGAGGCAGATGAAGGCCAAGACGGCTGTGAAGCAGGCCAGCAGAATGGCCATCAGCACCCAAAGGGAGATCTGGGGGTCTACCAGGGAGCTTCCAGGAGCCAGCGGACTCTTATCCAGGGTGTGGAACATGGTGCAGTAGTGCCTGTAAGGGAAGGCAGCCTTCTTACAGCTGATGCACAGGAAGTAGAGAGTGGAAGGGGCAAGATGTTCCAGCACCACGGAGCTGATCGTTCGAGGCACCTTCTCCTCGTGGTGGAAGCTGTAGCGAAGATAGCCAGAGAAGATGCTGTTCCAGTTGGGCCTGTACATAATATGGTAATAGTCCTCCAGGCAGGGCTCCGAGGACGACCAGGAGATGATGGCTCCTGTATAAGAAATGTTCCCCACCTCGATGTTCATCCCGATTCTGGAACCAGAATCAAAGTGAAGAGTGACATCCCCTGATTTAAGTATGTATTTATCATAATCATAGCCACCATTTATTGCACATTTGAGACGGGCACTCATGTTGCCCTCATCTTACAGACAAAGAAATGGAGGCCGAGAGGTTCTGTTATTTAGGCATAGCGAAAAAGTGGCAGGACAAAAGTTAAAACTGGGGCTGTCCCATGCCAAAGTTCAGGCCTAAGAACAGATGCACCCATGCAATCCCAGCCACATCCCACCCTAGCTGAGATCCTTCAGATAACAAAGGGGATTTTCTTAAGGGGATTGTTCTCATCCCCTTAAGAAAAAAGAAGAAAAGGTAAGGAGAAATCAGTAGAACCTCAGAGGCTCCACCTTTATTCTCAGGTCTGTGACCTCCCCTCAGGCAATTGATTCACCTCAATTTTCCTTCTTGACCTCCTGTTTCTGCTCCAAGTACTGTGAGCTCAGTGATCTAGAACATTCTGCCCACTGCTTTTTTTAGCCTCCTGGTTCTGTTGCCCATGGTGAGTGGAAATTCGCTTCGTCACTCTTTGGCAGCTGATCTCACCCCAAAGCTTCTGCTCTTGTTTTGTTTGTTTGTTTTTTCAAAGCCAGCGGTACCAGGAAATTTATTTTATGGGTGAAGATAATCAGCCCCTAATATCAGCATAACTACCACTATTTAATTCTGCTGTTATTATGAATGTTAATCATGGTAATAACCACTCACAGTAAGTGGTTGCTATGTCACTTGTCATGCTAGATGATTCACAGGCAGTAATTAATTTCCTTTATTCTTCATCACATCCTCTGAGCTAGATTCCCATTTTACGGATGAGCAACCTGATGTCACACCGCTAATACGTAGAAAAAGGACTTAGTGCCGCCTAACCACTACATTTCCTAATGCAAGGCTGCCGGGTTTAGTTACAGACGTTATCGCAAAATGAGGTGCCAGGACTGAGACCCAGTTGCTGTTTTTCCAGACAAATCAAATGAGCCCTCTTTAGATTGCCAGGCCCCGCTTTGATAAGAGAGAGCCATCTTCAAGTATTTTAGTTTCTCTCATGCAGTTCCCTCTACTGATTGCCCCTGATCAGAAATACAGAGACAGTCATAGTCAGCCTACGCATATTCACATAACAGTCTCACCCTGCTTTGTCTTCCGCCTCTCCTCCCTCACATGAAACCCCGTAGGTTTCATTTTGGGTTGCAGTGACATAGTAAACAGCTGTCAACTGGATTTTCGCCTGCATTGGATATTAAGCCAAACCAATGGCTATTATGACCTGCCTTTCTCTCACCTCTGCTTTCCCCCATCCTCTTGTGTTTGTGCCCATTTTCCTCCAGGAGTGGAGCTGCAGAAAGGTGCACAGCATTGAGTAGTTTCTTAATCCTTGTTTTTCTTCTGTAAGGGTAACAGTGAACTAAGATACTCAGGAAGGTGAATAGTGTCTTTCTATGTGGCTGAATATTTCTTCCCAGTAAATAGGGAACGAAAGGGATGAGACGGATGTGCTCAGACCCTTCCAGGGAAGGTCATCATGAAGGAGACCGAATGTTTATGTTTCCTAGCTTGGTGTCCTCTACACACTCATCCTCCCCACACCACACATCACTATAAATACACTTTCGACCACGATGAAAAGAGCTTAATTCATTATAGGCAGCCACCTGTGTAAAACCTTTCCATCAGGAGTAATCAGGAATCCTGTTTCTTGTCACGCACAAATGTTCTCTTGGCTTCCTATCTGCCACTAGCTGTCTGTACAGATGGAATTACCTCAGCAGACATTTTTAAGAGCTTTCTGTCAAGACGCAAATAGCATCCTCACCTTTTAGGACCAGGTCCGTCTCCCTTATTGATTTTTCTTCCTCTGTTTCCGTTTCTAAATTCTCCCCTATTTTTAACTATTCATTTGCCCGGCCCTTCTCCAAGCAGAGTGTGAAAAGAAGCCATTTCCATTTCCAAGAAGAGCCATCTATATGTCTTACCTGATGCTTGCAGCGTGTCTGGTTAGAGCTCTGCCCTCCGAGGTGCAGTAGATTAAAGCTGAGAGAATGGGGCCTTCTCCCTCCTCTGCTCTGGGCTTTCCGTGTTGTTTCTCTCAACACTGAGTAATCCCACTGCCGCCCCTAATGCTCACATTATTCATTTCTTCAGATCAGCATCATTCACCATGGCAACCAGCAGGCATCTGTACGCACGATGCTTTCAGGGACCAGCCTGGAAAGGCTTTTGCCCAGTGAGAGGAGCTCTCATTCCTTTGGCTGAAAAAGGGCAGATGATCCCCTGAAAACTGGTCCCCAGTGCAGTACTAATTCTTCTAACACTCCTACATTTTCTCCCCAGTTGGCTGATTATTATTTTCTTGTCCCATCTAGATCCTCTTTGGCCAATGGTTTTAAATGCAAAGATGCTTTTCTCAGTTATTCCACAACCAAAGCAGTAATATTCATCTTCATCCCCTCCCACCCCTACACTTCCCCATCCCAACTGCCTACCCCACCTCTTTATCTTCATCTTTCTTTATTCTTGACTCATGTGCCATTACATAGTTATATGGTACTGGTCAAGACCCTTTTATTTTTATTGTCTGAGTCTCAGTTCCACCATCATCTGTAAAGCTGTGGGCTTGGGCTACATCAGGATGGCAGATCAGAAGGCAGAAGACCTGAGCCCTATCCCTGCACAGCCCTGAACCCCTGTCAAGCTTGCTAAACCATCATGGCACTCTCACTGGGTTGAATAATGCCCCCCCAAAATACATATCCATCCAGAACCTTAGGATGTGACCTGATTTAGAAATAGAGCCTTCGTAGATATAACTAGTTAAGGATCTCAAGATGAAATCTTCCTGGATTTAAGGGTGAGCCCTAAATCCAATGACTAATGTCTTTGTAAGAGAAAAGACAGAGAGACTCAAGGGGAAGAAGCCAAGGGAAAACAGAGGCAGAGAGTGGAAGGATGCTGCCATCAGCCAAGGAACACCGGGAGCCATCAGCAGCTGGGAAGGCAAGGAAACATTCTCCCCTAGAGCCTTGGAGAGGGCATGGTTCTGCGAGAGCCTTGATTTCAGGCTTCTGGTCTCCAGAACTGTGAGAGAATAAATTTCTGTCATGTTAAGCTGCCACATTTATGGTAATTTGTGATAGCAACCCTAGGAATCTAATGCAGCACTGCTTCCAGCTGGGTGCAGAAACAGCCCCAGAGTTCCTCTGAACACAAGCGTCCCAAGAAACTGCTTCCCAATCAATCAGTTGGAGTTGACGCCAGAAATGGAAACTGTTTGCTACTCCTGGATTGAATCATCCCCAGCGTTCCTTTCCTTTCAAGAATCCAGACTGCTTGCCTCCCCTTTTCTCATAAAGGGCCGTCTGGCTTTGAGGTTCCATCCCTTCCTGTTCCTTTCAACCTTGTAAGAACCCATTGCCACCATTCTATTGAGATCACAGGGTGTGTCTGGAATAGAGGGTGGAAAGTAGCTCAGATAGATGTAGACCTGAATAAATTTATACACATTATATGTTTTTAAAAGTCAGCTTTTCTCTTCTTGGTTCTTGGCCAAAGTATCCAAGTTAACCCATGAAGGTCTCTTTCTGATTCACATTAATGATAAAAGGTTAGGAAGAAAGCCAGGCACAGCTGCAGTGGTGTGCACCTGTAGTCCCAGCCACTTGGGAGGCTGAGGTGGGAGGATCACTTGAGCTTAAGAGTTCCAGACCAGCCTGGGTATTATAGAAAGACTTTTTCCCTTGGAAAAAAAAAAAAAAAAGAGCCGCCTTGGTGAGTTGTGACCCTACCCTTGGCCAAAGGTCTCCGGGAGGCTTGGAGTCTTGGGAACTCGGGAACAAGCCAGTGTTCCTTGATCAGAAAGTTGCTCTGCAGCTTGCCCATGGCATTCAGTCTTCCCAGGCGCCTGTCTTAAATCTGCAGCAATGCATGCAGCATGTCTCTTCCCATGCGAGCACAGCCAGGTCAAGTGCTAATGGTGAGTCCCCACGGAGCATAAAAGCATCCTCCCCACAGAAAGGCCACGCAGCTGTTTGCAGATGCCCTTTGAAAAGGTTATTTTGCGGGGAGTAAAAATACCAGAGTTAAGGGGTCTGAGGAGGAACAAGGTAGAACTCAAGCCTTTTTCCACAGAAAATTGGAATTTATTTTTAATATTCTTGGATGACATTTTTAACCAAGAGAAATTTTCCACTGTGGAATTAAGATACTCAGAGAATGTGAGGCCTCCAAGCCCTCTTGTTTCACAGTCCTGGGAGAAGACATGGCATTCCTCAGACCGCTTGACTGATGAGTGGCAGAGCTGCCAGTGAAATGGGGTGGGGCCCCAGACTCGGAGGCGGAGGCCAGGGTTCATCCCGCTCCTCTGAGCTGTCGCCGCTCACCAGCAGCACCCAGAGGAGCCAGTGCAGCCGTTTGTGAAGGAGATAAAGTATCTGGGACACCTGCCCCAGGACATTACACCCCAGCCAGGCTCACACTTTCTCCATCATCAGGGACAATTCCTCCAGAGTCTGTGCAAGTTGTAGCCTCTTCGCTCTCAGGCCAGGTGAGCCCCAGCTAGTTGACATCAGTAGTAAATTACTGCTAGAGGAAATCAGCTAGGAGCAAGGTTCTTCCACCCTTCCTGAAGGTGGCAGTGAAGGGATAATATGGGGCAAGCCCCAGTCCCAAAGCTGGATTGGCACATGGGGAAAGTGAGTGGCTCACAGAGCACGCCCTGGAATTCCCAGGCTGGAGTGCAGTGGCACAGTCATGGCTCACTGCAGCCTTGACCTCCCAAGGCTCAGGAGATCCTCCTGCCTCAGCCCCCTCAAGTAGCTAGGACTACAGGTGTGCACTACCACCCCTGGCTAATTATTATTATTTTTGAGCTGGAGTCTCACTCTGTTGCCCAGGCTGGAATGCAGTGGCAAAATTGCGGCTCACTGCAACCTCTGCCTCCCGGGTTCCAGTGATTCTCCTGCCTCAGCCTCCCGAGTACCTGGGACTACAGGTGTGCACCACCATGCCCAGCTAATTTTTGTATTTTTAGTAGAGACGGAGTTTCACCATGTTGGCCAGGCTGGTCTTGAACTTCTGACCTCAGGTGATCCACCCACCTCAGCCTCCCAAAGTACTGGGATTACAGGCGTGAGCCACTGCCCCCCGCCTCACCTGGCTAATTTTTGTATTTTTAGTAGATATGAGATCAGATAGTTGCTCTGCGGCTTTCCCATGGCATTCAGTCTTCCCAGGGGCCTGTCTTAAATCTGCAGCAATGCATACAGCATGCCTCTTCCCAAGAGCTAGTGGTGAGTCCCCACAGAGCATAAAAGCACCCTGCCATTGCAGTGAACCAAGATCGCACCACTGCACTCCAGCCTGGGCGACAGTGGAAGACTTCATCTCAAAAAAAAAAAAAAAGCATCCTCCCCACACCGTGTTGCCCAGACTGGTCTCGAACTCCTGGGCTCAAGCAATCCACCCACCTTGGCCTCCCAAAGTACTGGGACTACAGGCATTAGCCACCGCACCTGGCCAAATTCCCTCACTTTATGTATTTATTTATTTATTTACTTATTTCAGTTTTTTTTATTTCAATAAATTTTGGGGGAACAGGTGGTTTTTGGTTACGTAGATTAATTCTTTAGTGGTGATTTCTGAGATTTTGGTGCACCCATCATACGAGCAGTATACGCTATGCCCAATGTGTAGTCTTTTATCCCTCTCCCTCCTCCCACCCTTCTGAGTCTCCAAAATTCATTGTATCATTCTTAATGCCTTTCTGTCCTCATAGCTTAGCTCCCACTCAAGTGAGAACATAATCATGTTTGGTTTTCCATTCCCGAGTTACTTGACTTAGAATAATGGTCTCCAACTCCATCCAGGTTGCTGCAAATGCCGTTATTTCATTGCTTTTTATGGCTGAGTAGTATTCCATGATGTATACATGCCACATTTTCTTTATCCACTCATTGATTAGTGGGCATTGGGCTGGTTCCATATTTTTGCAATTGCGAATTGTGCTGCTATAAACATGCGTGTGCAATATCCTTTTCGAATGATTTCCTTTCCTCTGGGTAGATACCCAGTAGTGGGATTGCTGGATCAAATGGTAGTTCTCACTTTTAGTTCTTAAAGGAATTTCCACACTCTTTTCCATTATATTTGTACTGGTTTACATTCCCACCAGCAGCGTAAAAGTGTTCCCTTTTCACCACATCCACGCCAACATCTATTATTTTTTGATTTTCGATTATGGTCATTCTTGCAGGAGTAAGGTGATATCACATTGTGGTTTTGATTTGCATTTCCCTGATCATTAGCGATGCTGAGCTTTTTCTTTTATGTTTGTTGGCCATTTGTATATCTTCTTTTGAGAATTGTCTGTTCATGTCCTTAGCCCACTTTTTGATGGGATTGTTTGTTTGTTTGTTTGTTTTTCTTACTGATTTGTTTGAATTCCTTGTAGATTTTGGGTATTAGTCCTTTGTCAGATGTATAGTTTGCAAAGATTTTCTCCCACTCTGTGGGTTGTCTGTTTACTCTGCTGATTATTTCTTTTGCTATGCAGAAGTTTTTTAGTTTAAGTCCCATTTATTTATCTTTGTTTTTGTTGCATTTGCTTTTGGGCTCTTGGTCATGAAGTCTTTGCCTAAGCCAATGTCTAGAAGGGTTTTTCAGATGTTATCTTATAAAATTTTTATGGTTTCAGGTCTTAGATTTAAGTCTTTGATCCATCTTGAGTTGAATTTTGTATAAGGTGAGAGATGAGGATCCAGTTTCATTCTTCTACATGTGGCTTGCCAATTATCCCAGCACCATTTGTTGAAAAGGGTGTCTGTCCTTTCCCCGCTTTATATTTTTGTTTGCTTTGTCAAAGATCAGTTGGATGTAAGTATTTGGCTTTATTTCTGGGTTCTCTATTCTGTTCCATTGGTCTATATGCCATTTTAATGACATTACCATGCTGTTTCGTGACTATAGCCTGATAGTATAGTTTGAAGTCGGGTAATGTGATGCCTCCAGATTTGCTCCTTTTGCTTAGCCTTGCTTTGGCTGTGTGGGCTCTTTTTCAGTTTCATATTCATTTTAGCATTGTCTATTCTAGTTCTGTGAAGAATGATGATGGTACTTTGATGGTGGGAATTGCATTGAATTTGTGGATTGCTTTTGGCAGTGTTGTCATTTCCACAATATTGATTCTACCCATCCATGAGCATGGGATGTGTTTCCATTTGTTTGTGTCATCTATGATTTCTTTCAACAGTATTTTGTAGTTTTCCTTGTAGAGGTCTTTCACCTCCTTGGTTAGATATATTCCTAACTATTTTAATTTTTTTGCAGCTATTGTGAAAGGGGTTGAGTTCTTGATTTGATTCTCAGCTTGGTCGGTGTTGGTGTATAGCATGAGCCTTTAGGGTTTTCTAGGTATACAGTCATATCATCAGCAAACAGTGACAGTTTGATTTCCACTTTACTCACTTGGATGCCCTTTATTTCTTTCTCTTGTCTTACTGCTCTGGCTAGGACTTCCAGTACTATGTTGAATAGAAGTGGTTAAAGTGGGCACCCTTGTCTTGTTCCAGTTCTCGGGGGAAATTCCCCCACTTTAAAAATGAGAATATTATAATGCCTGTCTTGTAGTGTTATTTGTAACAGATGAACCCATGTCTGTAAAGTCCTGGGCTTACGAATAGTAGCTGTTATTATTAAGAAGAAAAGGTCAGTGGTTCAGAGCCATTTCCTGAGTTGGTCATAGCTTCATCCAGAGGCTATAATGAGCAAAGTTTACACCCTGAATTGCATAGCACTTCCTTGCTTTTCCTCTCTTAAATCACTTTTATTGGTTTTATTTTTTAATGTATATGCTCATTGTACATAAATAATATTGAAAAGTTCAAAGATGACAGTAAAACTCATACAACTCAGAAACTTGGGAACTTTTTCTGCATTTAACATGTGTGTTCTCGTTTTACAAACCACATGACAACTCCTTGAGATCGGCCTTCTTATCACCATTGTACAACGGGAGAGACTGAAGCTCAGCGGGGCCGGCTTGGCTGCTCTCACAAAGCAAGGTCCTGGCAAACAATGGTGTAAGCCTGGGCCTGTTGGCCACTAGAGCTGGAGATCCTGGCTGGCCTCTTTGATGCTCTGCTGCTCTGCTTGTACCATCCTGTAACCTGTGATTCTTCAGTCCATAGTAGCCCTTTGCTTTGTGATTAGCTTCCCTTGAGAGGTAGGGCCAGGACTTCATAGTATGGTGGACTCCAGAATGCTGGAGCAGGTGAAGAACTAAAAGCTCTTACAGAGAACATCTAACCACCTGATGTGGTAGCGTCAGGGAAGACATCAACTCATTTGGAGAAATATGACCAGCAAGTGTTTCCTCTTCTGAACAGGCCCTACTCTGGAGTCTAAGTTCTTCTGTGCAAGAGCTCTGTCACTTAGAGATGATGCTCAATAAAACAAAACTTTAACAACTGGTCAAGTAATCAAAATTAATATATGAATCAAAACTTTAAGAATATATTCTCTAAATAAAGTAAATTATATAGAGTCTATCCTAAAACTGCCTTCCAAGTGACATAGATTGCGGCATAAAGCATTCATTCAATTATTCCAATAACTTCCTGGTAATTTTTTGGCCCTTAGAAATTGTTGGTGTGATCTGTTTGGCCTGGTTGTCACAAGCCCCCATCTGAGGCACAGTTTGACCTCAGGCAAATGCATCATACCGTCATACTACCACAGTGCCTCCCTTGTTAAATCATATCCTTAGGACCCAGAACCCAGTGCTTTGCTGCAGCAAGCTGGGCACAGCTCAGCTGGGTACACACCTGGATGCCAACACTGCCCGCCTGGGCTGACCAGGGGAATCTTGGTCCCTGTGACACCACCACCAACAGCACCTCCCACTTCCCTGCCACCACCCCACCCTTCTGTCTGCATGGTACCACTTCTACAAGGTAGTTTACCCACCAGTCCAGAAGGCTTTTGTGATTTTGGCAACCAATACATATGGAATTTCCTATGCAGAATTTCATCTTGTATCTCACCCCAGACAAGTCACTTCATTACACTTGGGATTCAGATTCCACTTCTGCTAAATGGGGATACTTGCACTGCCTTACCTGGTTTAGAAGGCTGAGAATGTTTCCCAAAGACATCAGGTCCTAATCCTGGAACCTGTCAATGTAACTTTCTTTGGAAAGAGGTCTTTGGAGATGTGATTAACTGGAGGACCTTGAGATGGGAAGATAATCCTGGATTATCTTGGGTTATGCTGGGTCCTACATGCTATCGTAAGTGTCATAAGGGAGAAGCAGAGGGAGCTTACACATGTAAGAGGAGAAGGCCATACGAAGACCCAGCAGAGAGATGGGAAGATTGGAGTGGTGCAGCTGCAAGCCCGGGATTGCCGCCAGCCTCCAGTAGCTGAAGAGACGGGAAACAGATCGTCCCCTGCAGTTTCTGGAGGGAATGTGGCCCTGCCGACACCTTGATTTTGGCCTAGTGATACCAGTTTGGATTTCTGGCTTCCAGAAGCCTGAGAGAATACATTGCTGTTGTTCGAAGCCACCAAATTTGTGGTAATTGTTAGAGCAGCCACAGAAAACAATGTGGGCGGCTGTGACGGAATTCGTATGTGAAAAATTCACAGAGAAGCTTGATATACTTGTGTGTCATCACATGAGTACTGATTATCAAGAAAAGTGATGACATTGGTTCCCTTCAAAAGTTTTAGCATCTCTGAGTGTGACAGTGTTGATGTGATCTCTCAGCTGGAAGGCTCGGCTCCTGTTCCCCTGCTTGCCTTTTCCAACGCACCTTATTCATAGCCCAGGAGAGAAAGGAGCGTCATTTCTTGAGATCTGCATAGCAGCTCTTTGGATCTTTCAGCCTCTGAGCTGAGAAGGCCAAGAAGGAACCCAGATGTTGGAGACCCAGCCCTATGGCCCCCCAAATGTCAAGAACAGACAGACAGACACATAGACACATTAGTAGTTTTACCCAAGCGTTTACAATGGATTTGATCCTGGAACTGAGAATTGATCAGTCCTTGGCACTGTCTTGCTCTGTGATCTTCCCGACAAGGACGATGCTGCTGTTTTATTTTTGCCGTCGCCTTTATTTACCTGCAGTGATTTTAGGGAATTGAGCTGCAGCCATTCCACCTAAATTAGAGAGCTGTGTTTGTGTTTGCGGGCTGATGATATCCATTAGAGAAATTGTAACAAAAATAGGAAATTAGGAACAGTTTAATTCCTCTTGGGATCTCTGAAAACAGCAATTGTGATTCCAGAGAGCAGAGATGCAAATTGCTTACAAATTCAGTTTACCAAGTAAATAGGCCTTACTGTTTGAAGTGGCTGGCCGTGTTTACCATCTGATGAGATAGAGGCCTATCTCAACGGATAGATGAAAAGTCTGTATACAACATTTAAACATGGCTAAAATGGTGAATTTTATTTGTATATTTTGCCACAACATTTTAAAGTTCATCTACAGATAATATTACAGTGCCCAGGATCTGCCAGATTAAACTCACCATATTTTTTTCTCTCCTTAAAAATGCTTTTTTGCTTTTTTTAAGAAAATGCAGGTCTGCGTCACACAGTAATAACATGGCTCTAATTCCTGAATCAGGGTTGTTTATTTCTTGAGATCTCATAAAGCTATCTATTTTGTGTAGTGTGGATTTAAATAAGCTTAATTTTAAGTGAGCCATCCTAACCAGGCAGGATACATAATTAGTTTCCTATGAGGCCCATTGATTGGAACCTATCAGTTAGCAGAATTGGTTCAATGGCAAGTTTCCAATGGCTCATGTCATGTTGCATTCTTGTTTTTCTTTGCCAACCCTCAGAAAATGCCCAGGCTCCCCTATTCCCACATTTTCTCAATAGGGCCCAGCCTCCTATTGAGCCAGCAGGTCAGATGGGTGCCCTTCGGGGATGAGTGTGTGTGTACTTTTCAGCATGCGTGTGCATTTCTTCTTGCATGCGTGGGGTATATTTGGGGGAATGAGGGGTCGGGGGGGATTTTTTTTAATCTTAGGAGGAGGATTTGAATTCTCCTCATTTCATGCTGGTCCTTCTCACATGAAATGCATCTTGGACCATCAACTGAAGCCTAAACTCCCAGTCTAGACCAGAATCCAAGACTGACATAGGAATGTCAATCAGGGGCCTCCAAAGTGAACCGAGTGGGTGTGTAGGGGGCATTTTAAAAATCCTTACGTGGTAAAACAGTTCCAATACTATTCTCCGCCTCTGCCTAGATCTGGGAATTCCTGCTGAACAGTTTCCATATATGTAAATGTGTATTTATTTGTGCTTGCCAGGAAGTGTTCAGGGAAGCTTGGTACTAGAAGCTCCTTGGGTGGCGGTGAGGGTTTAGGACACCACTCAGAAGGATGAGCGTCCAGGAAGAATGCGTTTCAGCTTGATCCTCTAGAGGGAGCACGTCTATCCCCACTTCCAGCCCTTGATGGGACCCCTTATAACAACCCTGTTGTTATAAGATACCTGCAGTGAGGAGGAACTCCACCCAGTACAATCTGTTACTGAACATCTCCCATTTTTATGATGTTCTTAATGTTGAATAAAATGCATTTTTTGGTGCATTCTATCAACTAGTCCTGGCTCTCACCTCTGTCCTATCACTTTGTGGGGTACATGCTGTGTTGCATAAAATTACCCCCCACATATGCACTCCCCTGTTTACAATCAGAGAATCGTAGCTGTCGCCAAAGCTGCTGGGGGAAATTCGACCAGAAAGCTGTGTTTTTGTCTTTATTTACCAAGTCATCAAACAAAATAATATTAATGGCTATTTTTTCAGTGAGCGTTTCCAGTGTGCCAGGCACCATGCTGACTGCTTTATATATGTGATCACATTTAAACCTCAAACAACCCTATTGGATTTGGTATTATCATCTCTACTTAGGGGAAATTAAGGCTTAGAGGGTTTAGGTAATTTGCCCAAGAGCATCTAACTAGTGCATTTACAGACCTAGAATTTGAACTGAGGTGTGCCCACCCCAAAGCCCATCCTATGGACTCAGACAAGCTAGAAAAGAAGTCAGAGAATCAGACAGAAAATATAAGTAGATGATTGCTTTTTGTCCCCTCCAGTGATATCCATTAGAAAGCTGCTTGCTACTCAGAAATTCCTTTCTGAAATATTTGAAAAGGGGACAAACGAGAATGTGCTGAGAGCTTTGCTGGGTTTACAGGAGAAGCCTAGAGTCCCTGGTGTGGGTGGAGAATGAGAAGGCTGTCAGGGCAGTCCATGAGCACTATGTTCCCATGGCTGTGAGCACAGCCAGGTCTTTGTCACCTGGTGCCTGTGCTGGCTGAAGCTGCAGCCCTCTTCAGGAGAAAATTTAAAGCATGTTTCTGCTTTTTAACCTTTGAAAATCATGTTGGGAAGGTGAATTAAGCTATGACATAGCTCAGTGGGATTTTTAAATTTACTTTTTTATTGAAGTATAGTCATATTCAGTAAGATGCACTGTCTTTGTCAGTTCAGCCTGCTATAACAAGAATACCATAAGCTGAGTGACTTGAATAACAAACATTTATTTCTCACAGTTCTAGAGGTTGAGAAGTCTAAGATTAAGGTGCCAACAGATCCAGTGTTTGGTGAGGGCCCACTTCCTGGTGTGCAGATGGCCCCTCTCCTCACTGTAGGCTCCCATGGCATAGAGGAGAGAGAGACAGCAAGCACTCTTGTCTTTTCTGATGAGGGCACTGATCCCACTCATGAGGGCTCCACCCTCATGGCCTGATCACCTCTCAAAGGCCCACCTCCTAATACTATCATATTGGCGGTTAGGATTTCAACACAAAAATCCTAATTTGTTCGTGATTAAGATTCCAAATCCTAATTTGGAAGGGACGCATTCAGTGCACATGGCACAGATCATAATTGTATGTACAGTTCTGTGAGTTTTGACAAACACTTCTATGTAGTCAACAGCCCAGTCAGGATGTAGAGCTTTTCCATCACCCTAGGAAGTCCTCTCATGCCCCTTTCCAGTTAGTCTCCTCCTCCCACCAGAGGTAAGCCATGGCTTGTTTGGTGATTGCTATGTATTCATCACCTCCAGAGAGGGAAACAGGAGAATACAGAGTGGGGCTTTGCTAACAGGGCAAAAACTAAGCTGCACTCGCTTAGAAGAGTACACGCCTCCTAGCATTTTGCATATCCTACATGCCTCAGTCACCTCAACCTAGTAGTCCTGGCCCCATTTGACAGGGTGGCCTGTGACAGAGGCACTCAAATAGATTTGTTCCACACCTAGAAAATGACATGGCCTGGCCCCACGGTTAGCTAAATCAACTCAGCAAGTCATACACTCCCAGGATTTGCTGAACATCAGCTTCAGTGAACATCATACTCTTAAGTCAGTTCCATTTTATCCCTATGTAAGCTATTACTGGCCCATACATTTCGAAGCTAAATACAATAAGTACCTCCCCTAGGTTCAGGCAGAGCTTGCTGTGACAGCTTCTCAGTGTCATGTACAAAATTTTGCTCCTTCTCACGTTCCAGGCCTCCCAATATCTAGGCATGAGCTCACCAAGAGAACTATTACTGAACCTGGTGAATGAGTGGGTGTTCTGATTCTTCACAAGTCCTTGCTATTAGTGGGCACTCTAATTGTGTTCGTCACGGATCCTTGTTATTAGTGCATACTTGTGATGCTTGTTTTGTAAAGTTTAGAATAATTCATACATACGTACCTAATTCAAAACTTAGACTGAACTCAATTAAATATTTTCTTGATGGCTCCAAAGGGAGTTGAAAATCTTGCAGTACTCCAAAAGCATCATTAGAATTTCCATTTAACTGATGTATAATTTCTAACTAGCTAGCTAATAGAGAATTTCAGTGAATGGAATATCTTATGTGGTCATCCCATAAATTGCATGTTCCATGTACAAGATTTTTGCAATTCCAGTTGGGAGAACTACACTCAGAACTAAGTTTTGGGCTGGGTGCAGTGGCTCATGCCTATAATCCTAGCACTTCGGGAGGCTGAGGTGGGAAGATCACTTGAGGTCAGGAGTTTGAAACCAGCCTGGCCAACATGGTGAAACCCCACCTCTACTAAAAATACAAAAAAATTAGCTGTGCATAGTGGAGGGCACCTGTAATCCCAACTACTTGGGAGGCTGAAGCAGGAGAATTGCTTGAACCCGAGGCAGAGATTGCAGTGAACCGAGATCGCACCCCTGCACTCTAGCCTGGGCGACAGAGCAAGAATCTGTCTCAAAAAAAAAACAAAGAAAAAAACCTAAGTTTTGAACTGAAACCTTATGTAAAAAACTGAGTATCATTTATATAAGAATTCAACTTCCAAAATACACCATGATAGGTGGAGCATGGGCTTTGGAATCAGCCGTACCCACTTCAGGGTGAGTGCAGGCTTTTTCCCACCTGAGCCTCAGTTCCCTCATCTGTGAAATGGGGCTAATAATGATATAGATCACATAGATTTGTCGGGTGGATTAAACAATAGTGCACCTGGAGGGTTTCACAAAGCCTGGCATTAGGTGCTCCGTAAGCGGCAGCATTTCCAGAACAGAGCGTTAGAGTCGATGATAACTTTTCATTCTCACCAACCAAGTGAGACCAGTTTAGGGCCCTATAGCATGGTTGTATATACTCAGACAAAGATCTTAAAGAGATCCTTCAAATTCAGTTATGGTGTCTCATGGGGTTCAGCGGACAATGGTGGTGGCCAGGTCTGTGGGTCCCCAGCCAGCATCAAGCCAGAGCAGCTCCATTTTGCCTGCTTCACATATGAAGTTCTGTGGCATCTTTCTTTTGGATTGCTGCTCTTAAAGTTGGGAAACCACTGACTTAATCCAACCCCTCATTTCATAGATGTGGAAACTAAGGCTCGAAAACTGTAGGTGGTTGTCCCATGCACTCAGCAGAGATCTCCTGACTCCCAGGCCTGTGTGTTCCCAGGACCCTGCCTGTCATAGATGGAAACAACTAACAGTAGAGGAAAGATGACAATGTTGAACCAGCTGTTGAGTTTTCACATGGTTCTTCCAGCCAATGTCTAGTACTAGTAATGTCTCTTAAGAAAGGATATCGGCTGTTTATCTTTTCCCCCATGGCTCAATTTGTAAAACTCCTGGTTTGGGTGTGGAACGTCATGGGTGGCAGGAATCCCTGTAAAAGGGGTATTTGCTTGGAAGCCCTTTATCCTCTTCTGCTAGGGAGTGGCTGCTCCATCTGGTGACTGTGCGCCATCCTGTAGTCACTGACCACACCTCTCTCTATGACCACCATTTTGCAAACATATTCATGGGGCTCCAGTGAGCACGCTCGTAACACTGGGTTCCTAATGCTTCTGTCAGCAGAACATCTGCCAGGACTCCACCAGTGTCCATTCAGTACTCAGGCACTTATTTGCCACTACCTCTGTTTTCCAGCCTCTCAACATTGCCTACAGCCACATCTACAGCTCCTACAGGAATTTCGTGGGGCCACCTCATTTCAAGACTATCTGCAGACTCCTGGGTTATCAGGGCATCGCTGTGGTCATGGAGGAACTGCTAAAGATTGTGAAGAGCTTGGTAAGGAAAGGCCTCAGTGTGGCTTGAGATATGCCCATGTGGGTTTGACATAAACAAAGTTTGCTTTTACTTTTTACCTGGCCTGTAAAAACAAATCCCAGGCACTGCAGCTCTACCTGTAGAAACCACTCAAGGAGTTCCCTTGCCCATATCCCTGGATTGGTCTTACCTATCATTCTGTTACATTTCTGTGCACATTTTGACCTATAGCTGTGCTCCTCATTTTCTGACCCCCAGACTCCTTGTATTTGATGACTGAACTCAGAAATCCTGATATTGTCCTTCAGCGCTTGCCACTGACTGCTCATCCTCCCCAGCTGTGCTCCATTATCTAATTTGAGCAGGGCAAATTCATGACACATGTGCTGCCATTTTCCACGCCCTTACCCATGGCAGACATCTCTAATCAGGCATCATGCTTCTTTCCCTTGGGATTTCTTGCTGAACACTGCTCCCCATACTGCACTGGCTTCAAGAGAGTTCTGTATCCCTTTACCACTATTCTGAATCTGCCCCAAATATGGTCATCTGAATTTCATTTAATTTCCTGCAACACTGCTGAAGGCCAAAACATTTAAGATGTTTATGAAAATTTCAAATGATGAAAGAGAAAGTAATATATAACCAGGTCAGGAATAGCAAATAGGATTAATCTGCTAACTCCAATTCTTTGGCAGTAGCTTTGTGGAACCATGGGTTGTTACAGATTGTGGAGCTAAATCCAGAGTAAAACAAGAAAATGTGGTAATTGATTAAAGATGTCTGCCTTGGGCACAGGAGGGATGAATGTGCCATGAATTTTCCAGGCTGAAATTAAATAGCATGTTTCAATCTGCACAATTTCCTGGCTCCATTTCATTTTAGCTCTTTGTCTGAATCTGCTATAAGCATCCTCAGCCCCAGGAAAGACCCTACACCTAGAAATGTGCCCTCCTTGAAGTCTGTAAGCCCAAGACAACGAGAGAGCTCCTTTTTCAGTCTTATAAAGGCTTATTTTCCCTTATAAAGGTCAAAGGGACTGTTCCCCGCCTTTAGGCAAGAGCCTGCCCCATCCTCTCAGAGGTCTCAGCATAACCTCCATACCCCGCATAGCCCAGAATTCAGCCCACTCATCTGTACTCTTCTTTTGTCAGCTCCAAGGAACCATTCTCCAGTATGTGAAAACACTGATAGAGGTGATGCCCAAGATATGCCGCTTGCCCCGACATGAGTATGGCTCCCCAGGTTGGTGATAGCAAAACAATCCAGACCCCTCCCATGGTGGGGAGGGAGGCTCTGACCATCCACCTTAGAGCGTTTGCTTCTCTAACATGCCAGTGAGCTGGCAGAGTACTGGCTATCCATCCTACCCCGCCACTAGCTAGATAGCCTTTTAATCCCTCTGAGCAATGTTATCATCTTGTCAGTGTAGGGAGATGATGCTTGCGGGACCTGCCTCATGGGACTGCTGGGAAGTTGGAAGAGGACAGCAAATGTAAGCATGTTTAAATAATGCAGAGCCAGGTTATTAGAAAAGGTATTTATGAGCTCAGCACCTCCAGGAGCTCTTCCTCCATCTGCATATTTGGGGAGACTGAGGCTCCAGGCAGTGGTGCCAAGTTGACACATCTAAGATAAGTCAGGAAATGGACATCTTTGCTGTTTGACCGCTGGGCAGAGAAATAATCATTTCCTTCCTTAATAGTGAACTGAAAACAGGGCCTGGAGAAGAGGGAAAAATGGGGACTGTGAATTGGCATCTGATGTTTCTTTCCAAAACCAAGATGTCTAGTGCTGGATCTGTGTGATTCACAATAGGAAAAAGATAAGGCTAAAATTTCTGGTGTTCAGTCCCAGCTGCCCTACTTACTACCTGTGTGACTATGGGCATGCCCCTTACCCTCTCTGAGCCTCATCTGAAACCAGGGTAATAGTGCCTAGTTAGTGATATTGTATTAAATGAGATATTACAGATAAAGTGCTCAGCACAATATCTGACACCTACTAATAAATATTAATTCCTGTCATGATTAGGAAGTCAGGCAACTTTGGAGGGACTGGGAAGGGTCCAATGGTGCCTCATTTGTGTGCCTGTGTTTGTGTGTGTGTGCATGTGTGTGCGTGTGTGTGTTCTGAAAAAGACATGAGCCAGCTACTCGAACTTTGTCCAGTACTGAGCCCTGAAAGAAATCTCACTCTGGGCCTGCAGGTAAGAGGGATGCGTGGTTTGGCTTTTTGCTATCCCAGAGTCAGGTCTGGGGCTGCCACTCAGTCATTGTTTCCCATAGACCCTACTGAGCAGTGTCAACTTCCCACTGACCACCCCGATTCACCTCCCAGGGATCCTGGAGTTCTTCCACCACCAGCTGAAGGACATCATTGAGTACGCAGAGCTCAAAACAGACGTGTTCCAGAGCCTGAGGGAAGTGGGCAATGCCATCCTCTTCTGCCTCCTCATAGAGCAAGCTCTGGTAAGTCCAGAGCCCAAAGGAAGTGGGGTGTCTCCAGGTTGGAGGGGATGCCAACCCCAAGCAGATATTGAGGCTCCTGCAGCATTGATTTGTGCTTTGAGTACAAGCTCACATGCTCTTTTCAGTTCATTTCCAGACAGACATGGATTCTAGTCCTGGCTCCCCCATTCACGATTAGTGCAGTTGTCTAGGTCTCAGTTTGCCATTCCCTCATGTTATGGAACCAAACTGGGGTCCACCTGCCTGGCACAGTAAAAACAAACATCCACGCTGAGGTTTACTGCAGGAGAAAGGAGGGTGTTTATTTTCAGAGTACCAAGCAAGGAGAACTGAGCAGTTCTCTCTTAACACCCCACCTCTCCAATGGCTTGCAAACAAGGGTTTTTAAAGGCAGGGGTAAATTTCAGGAAAGCAGAAGTTTCAGGCAAAGTTATAAGTCATTGTATGGAGGTTACACATTGGTTTAGCCCAAAGGGGCAGGCTATCGTCTTGAAGTGGGTGGGGGCTTATAGTCATAGGTAGATTTCAGAGAGTTTCTGCTTTGCAATTGGGTAAGGAAGAGAAGCTTTGTTTTAAAATTTAGGGTCAGCAGAAAAGAATGTTAGCTCCAGCTTGTGGGTATGGCTTCTTCCAGGCCTCCTAAGAATAAGTTTAGAACAAAGAACTGGAACTGCGGTCAGAGTTCGGCCTGCAGTTCCCTCTTATCTGAGGTCTGCATGCATGCCAGCACATCTGTTTGGTGTGGGTCCAGGTTTCTGAAAAAGAACTCTGGTTCATATGTGAAGATGTTATCTTTAATTTCTGTAGGGAATCAAACATCCCATGATTCTAGCTTCCTTGGCTGTTGTTTTAAGTTAGTTACTATTACCTTCTTGCTTATCAGCTTGCTTATTTACTTCTCAGGGCTAGCTAGGTGCCTGGAATTTCCCTTGAAGAAACTCAAGATTTTATTTCCATGCTTGGCGGGGGCGGTGCTGCAGGGCCCCTAAGAGGGTTCCCTGCTCCATCTCACTCATTAGATAATTATTCCTTGGATATCATAGGACAGGCACTGTTCTGGGGCATGTAGCAGTGTCCAGCCCTGCCTCCTGTCCTGTCCATATTTACACCGAAATCATGTGTCTACTGTTACAGCAAGAGCTAGGAGGGGTGACTGCAGGGTCCTGTGGGAACAGAAGACAGAGAACTCGATGTGTTCTTGAGGTTGAGGAAGGACTTCTCTGGGGAGATGGCCTGGAGAATGAGCAGGAATTTGCCTGGTGAAGCTGTCCCAGGCTGAGGGGAGAACATGCACTGTTACCTTCATTTCTTATGATGGGGGACAGTTGTTTTACCCTGCAGGATAGTTTCAAGGCCAGAAAGATACACCACATGTAAAGCTCATGCAGTAAGAACTAAACCATTGGTAGTGTTGTCATATTGAACAAAGCACACCCCCCGTACATCTCCCTCTTAGGACCCCGCAGAACCAGCACTCTTCTTCCTGCATGACCACTTGTATTTGCTCTGCCTCATGGCTGACTCAGAGACTGTGCTCTCCTCCTTCCTCCCCAAGGCACTCCAGTTTGTCTCTGTTCTCCACATGGTGCTCCCAGTCGGCCCAGTCCTACAGGTGTCGAGGTAACGGAGAAGGAAACAGGATGTTACTCTGGGATGCCTCATTCTCAGAACCTAGTGGGAATCTCTTTTAGCATCCAGCCATCCATCCACTCATTCAGCAAGAGGCGTGGCGAGCCTCTTCATTGCCAGGAGCAGTTCTAGGTTGTGGATAAATGGTCATGAATAAGAGACAGAGTTTTACCATTTTTATTCCAGAGAGGGGAACGAGCAAAGTCGTAACAATCAGAGTGTGGTTGCAGATGGGGAGGGGAGCTGTGAAGGAATACACAGGATAAAGGGAGAGTGGCTGTGTCAGAGAGAGATGTGCTGTTTTTGAAGAGGCTGGAGCTTGGTCTTAAGGAATAGGGAGGACCTCATAGTGAGCTGGTGCCAAGGGGACAGAGGTTAGAGCCGTGGAGGGAGGCAGCCAGGCAGCAGGTCACTGGGGCTTCGTGGGCCACCACAGGATGCCATGTGAGCAGCAGGTGAGGGGGTCTGCCTGGCTGTTTTCAAAGGCCTGGGGGCTACTGGGAGAGTGAAGGACAAGGCTCTTACAGTCTAGAGCCCATCTTGGAGGCAATAGGTGCTTGGAGAATAGACGGGAGGGGAAAGGAGAAGCCTGGAACAAAGGTAGAGAGATAATGGAGCTTCTGAATCAGAGCCAGAAAGGATGCCTTGCCTCTAATTGTCTTTGTGACTTGGGATGAACCAGTTCATTTCATCCCTCAGTGCCCCCGTCCCTAAAATGAGTGACTTGGACCTGCCATTCTCAGACTCTCCCTGAGAGGCTCTGAAATGGGGACTGTTTGCGCTTCCTCTATAAGGAGTAATTGCTTCTCTGTTACCCCTTAAATGGACTCTCCAGACAGCTAATTGATAAGTTTTTTACACAGATCAGCAGACCCAGGTTGCTATAGCAACGTAGCCCTCAGAAGTCGTAGGGATAAATAGGAACAACTTCTGAAGGCCTCAGGGGCACCAGAACAGTGGAGGTGGGGCGGGGTGGCGGGGGGGGGTGGGTCCCTGAAGCCTCAGTCCCCGAGTGTCTCCTGTTAAGCACCTCTTTTCATGAGGAACTGTGACTCAGAGACCATCAATTCAGCTTCCCCTGTTCAGAATCCAGAGGCAGACTATTGATGGGGGCCGCAAGGAAAGGACCACTTCCTCAGGCACCGTCTGGGTGGTCACTCACATGTATCACTGAGGACAACAGGACACTCAATGACCTTCAGAGCTGAGACCTGAGACAGACCCGCTACAGCATGAATCTTTCAACCCCTTCTATTCATAAGTGAGAAAACTGAGAACCAGAGAGAGGAGGAACTCACCTGAGGTCACACAGCATAGCAGCAGCAGAGGTGGAAGAACTAAAGCACAGGTTTCCAATATTGATCCCAGTCCTTGGGGGCTAGGGGTCGGGGAAGGATGGGGAACACAGAGCAGGGATTAGGCTCACTGAAGTCCTCATTCTGCTTTCTACTTAGACAGCTGGGGAGATCTCCAAGCCTAGACAGTGCTTTCTGAGATTAGAATGAGGCATGAGCTTTCTGGAGTTTTTTTAGTTTAGGAAGCTAGAATTAAATTTTTAAATGACATACCAATTCTTCTCAATGAAAGAAGACTACTAATTGCCAAAAAAAAAAAGGAAAGATGCCTAATGGCCATCATAGAGGAAAGGCTGTATAAACTGTGGAATGTCCATTCTCATGGAAAACTCTGAAGCAGGTAAAAAGAATAAGCTGATAAAGTAGTTTTGCACATACCAAGATAAAAAATAGTGAAAGATACAATATTGAGCTTTAAAAAGTTTTAGGACAAGACACACATGATGCCATAGATATAAACCACAAATAACTCTGCATTGAAAAAGATCTAGAAAAAAAAAAGCATACCAATATTTAACAGACATTTTCTCTAGGTATGAGGGAGGAATCCAGGATTAGAGGTCAACAGGGACTTTTTAGCCTTATCTGGAATGTCTTAATTTCTTACAAGGAAAGCACATTCATGTATTATTATTGACCTATAATTTTAAAATAGTATATGCTAGTTTTAGAAAAACTGGGAAATACCAGAAAGTGCGAAGGAAAAAGTAAGAAATCTCTTGCCCATTTTACTTTTCCATTTTTTGTCTTTTTCTGCCTTTTTTTAAAAAACAGATTAATATATCATTGATAGGTAGAGGGATATAAATTTAACAGTTGATCACTTGGACAAAGGTATTTTCCTCATGAAGTTAGTAGGTGCTTATAAATATTTCTCAAAATTCAGGGTGCAATATTAGTACAGAAACCCAGGTACCTGTGCATCATTTTTCTGGTTTTTGGTTTTTATAGGGTGTTCTGGTGGTTTCAATTAATGTATTACAGTCAAATGCATAAATCTTAAGTGTACAGCTTGATGAAGGCACATGTCCATGTAGCCCAGGTCTAGACGCAGAACATTTATAGTACCATAGATGGTTCTTTCATGCCCTCTTCAGTGTTCCGCAAGGAATCGTAGTTCCGAGTTCTATTTCCAGAGATAGTGTTGCTTGTCCTTGAACTTCATGTAGAGTTATCTAGTATGTTTTCCCTTTCCTTTCTGACCTCTGTCATTCAACATTACATTTGAGATTCATCCATGTTGTAGATGATCCATTTTTTATTACCGAATCAGTTACTCTAGTATTCTCATTGCATGAACAGACTAACTGAATCATCCGTTTTACTGTGGGTGGACATTTGGGTTGTTTATAGTTTGGTACTATTATGAATAATGATGTCATGAATATTCTTGTACATGTGTTTTGGTGTATAGATGCTCCTGTTTTTATTAGGGAAATACCTATTAGGTTAGCTTCAAAGCAGTTTTCAAATTGTACCAATTTATACTCCCATTCAGCAGTGTATGAGAGTTATCATTTCTTTGCAGCCTCATAAACAATTTGTCCCTCTTTAATCATAGCCATTCTGGGGGGGCTGTCATGTTTCATTATGATTTTGATTTCCCTAATGATGCTGATTCTCCTTCCACATGCTACTAGCCATTTGGACACCATCTTTTGTGAAGTGCTGGTCAACATTCTTGCCTTTTTAAGTCATCTTTCTTATGGATTTGTGGCCATTATATACTATGGATACATGTATTGCAGATCTATTACTCTGGCTTGTCTTTTGGTGAATAGAAGTTCTTGAGGCTTAGTGTAGTTATTTTTTTCCCTTACGGTTTTGTGATTTGTTTAGAAAACCTTTCCTACTCTAACGCGTGAAGATGGGCTATCCTCTGAAAGTTTTAGAGGTTAGTCTTTCAACGCTAAACAGACCTTTAAGTCCATATTATTCACCTAGAATTGATGTTTGTGTTTAATGGGAAGTATAAATCTTTTATTTCCAGATTGTTCTGGCACCACTTCTTGAAAAGACCTTCTTCCTGCAATCTGTAGTGGTAGTGCTATGTCTGTCATTTATCTTGTATCCATAAATGGTCTGGTCATCGCAGCCTCTTAATATATTTGTTGGATCTTATCTGAAACAAATCAGCATTTGTTAAGTATTTTTATATGTATCAGGTTTTTAAAGGAAATTCTATTAATGTCTAGTGTTTCCTCTAGTATTTCCTTCCCTGGGAAATCAGAAAGTGGTCATTAGGGAAAATAGCAGTCACTAAGTTTTTGTTTAAATTTTGCTTGGTTTTCTAGACTTTCGGCCATTGTTTGTTATGCCAGCATACACCAGGAGAGGGACCTATTTGTACGTGTGAGGGAAGGCAGGCCTGAGTCCCCCGGGAAGGACAGAGCCCTTTAGTCTGCCTTTTACTGCAAGGCCTCTTGCCTGGAGTGTTCTTTGCCTTCATCTCTGTTACTTCTTCTCTCCTTATTAGAGTGGACCACAGAAACACTCCGGTCAGTCATTTGAGAGCATTACTGCCCTCACCAGAGGTGAGGAGAGTCTAGACCCAAACTCACAGATCCGAATGCCAGTCAGATCTGGAAAGGCCCCCAGAGACCATCCAGGGTTGGTTTCTCAACCTCAGCACCACTGACATTTGGAGCCAGATAATCTTTTAGGGGGTTGCCCTGGACTTTATAGGATGTTGAACAGCATTTCTGGACTATATTCCAGTAGTACCCTTCATTGTGGCAACCAATAATGTCTCTAGATATTGTCTGATATTCCTTAGGAGGGTAAAACCTCCCCCTGTTGGAAACTGCTCATCTAGTGCAACCTCAAATTTTGTAGATAGGAAAACTGAGGCCCAAGAGGGAGCTGATTTTCCCAGCATTACAGCTAGTGCAGGAGTCTGGATGAAAACCAGATGTGCCTTGGAGTCCAAAGATCCTTAAGGTTAGCGTATTACAGTACAGACAGATGCCCAGCTGAGCTTTGCCGATTGTTTTTGTTCTTTTCAACAGTTCCATCTCCACATCTGACCTTCTGTCTCCTACTTCTACCTTTTAATGTCTTTCCTCTAATTGTTTTATTACATAATTGAAATAAATTCATTGATTGAAAACTCAGAGAAGCAGAAAGAAAACAAAAACCACTTTGTCACACTAAGATGACCTCTGTTCACTTTTTTTTTTTTTTTTTTTTTAAGACAGAGTCTCACTCTGTTGCCCAGGCTGGAGTGCAGTGGCATGATCTCGGCTCACTGTAACCTCCGCCTCCCAGGTTCAAGCAATTCTCCTGCCTCAGCCTCCTAAGTAGCTGGGATTACAGGCATGCACCACCACACCCAGCTAATTTTTGTATTTTTAGTAGAAGAGATGAGGTTTCACCATGTTGGTCAGGCTGGTCTTGAACTCCTGACCTCAAGTGATCTGCCCACCTCGGCCTCCCGAAGTGCTGGGATTACAGGCATGAGCCACCATGCCCAGCCGACCTCTGTTCACATTCTAAAGGATATTCTTCCAGATGTTTTTATGTTCTAGCAGATTTTCTCATATAAAATTAGTAGTTATAAAAGCAGTACTCACCAAAGTGAGAAGAGTGACTGCCTCTATGGGATGTGATGGGTGACAGGGGCACGGGAGAAGTGTCTCTCACTTTTTAGACTTTAAATTATTGTTTAGATTTATTGCACTAAATATTTATTACTTTTTTCCTTAAAAGGAAAGACTCATACATAGCAAATGTACACAATTCAAATGCATGGAAAGTCAAAAAGTAAAAGCCCCATCTCAGCCACCCCTCTCAGACCGTCACTCCATACACCCACCTGTGCTTGATCCAGGATGATTTTGCCCATCACTCTGAGGGAAAAAAAACTCCTCCAGCTGCCCAAGAAGCGTGTCCTGTCCCTTTGCCCAGGCACCCACAAGTAATGCCTCTGGCCTTTCTGTATGAGTGTTTCTCTTAGCCCAGACACAGATTATGTTTTTGGTTGAAAACGATCCATGCTTTGTGGAATGGAGGCACTTTGACTCCCAATAATACCCTTCCTTTGTGTGACTTTATTTACATCTTTTCAGAAATGGCCTTATCTGAAAAACAACCTGCTAGTGTGAACATATCAGGACTTGGGAAAAAATGGTCTGACAGTTAAGAGTCACTGGTTCCACAGACAAGACCAAGAGCCCCATGAGCCAGAGTGAGAGACTCCAGGGCATATCCCATCCATGATGGCACTGTTCACCACCCACCTGCCGGTTGTCAGCACAGAGGGTTACCCTCCAAGCCCTCCAGTGGTGGGCAAGATGATCCCAGAGGTTTTTTGTTTTTTTGTTTTTTTTTTTTTTGAGACAGAGTCTCACTCTCTTGCCCAAACTGGAGTGCAGTGGCACAATCTTGGCTCACTGCAGCCTCCACCTCCTGGGTTCAAGCGATTCTCATCCCTCAGCCTCCCAAGTAGCTGGGATCACAAGCATGTGCCGCTATGCTTGGCTAGTTTTTGTATTTTTAGTAGAGATAGGGTTTCACCATATCGGCCAGGCTGGTTCTAACTTCTGACCTCAAGTGATCCACCTGCCTTGGCCTCCCAAAGTGCTAGGATTATAGGCATGAGCCACCGCGCCCGGCCATTCCCAAAGCTTTTAACTATTAACACACCATTTAACAATAGCAACAATATAGATTTGACTGATAAACATTTATCAGTTAAAGTTTTGTTCAGAATTTTACTGATGAAAATTTGTAGTCAGAGACCCTCAGCTTAGATACAAAATAGAGTGAAAAATGGCATAAAACAAGAACTGATCCATAGAAACAGGAGACAGAAGTAATAGGAAAGATTTCCCAGGTAAAGGTCATTAGCGTATCCTCAACACCTAACACAAGGCTCATTAACCATAAATCAGGGGAGGGACATTTCAGCTTCCTCCTGGTGTAATGTTTATCCTCTAAAATCCTCAAGATACCACCATTTGAGACAGAGGCAATCCATCACCTTCATCCAAAGCCAGCTCAATTTTTGCTTATTTTGTGAGCCTTACCAGTAACTGCCAAGAAACCAGAGCCTTGGTTATGTAGTTCTGTATCAATGACTTTTCTGTGAGGACACCCCCAGTGGGCAGGGTCATATTACAGTCTGCGCTACTGAGTATTATTCTACAATGGACATCGCCAAGCACCAGGGAGGCAGTGCAGGTTAGTGCAATGGTCTCAACTATGGCTGCTCATTTAAATCACTTGGAAATCTGCTTAAAAATTCTGATCTCTGAGGCCTGTCACAAGGAAAACAAAATCCTTGAGAATGGACCTAGTTTTTTTTTTTTTTTTTTTAAAGACAGAGTCTTGCTCTGTAACCCAGGCTGGAGTGCAGTGGCGTGATCTCGGCTCACTGCAACCTCCACTTCCTGGGTTCAAGCAGTTCTCTGCCTCAGCCTCCCGAGTAGCTGGGATAACAGGCACCTGCCACCATGCCTGGATAATTTTTGTATTTTTAGTAGAGACCAGGTTTCACCCTGTTGGCCAGGCTGGTCTTGAACTCCTGACCTCGTGATCCATGCGCCTCAGCCTCCCAAAGTGCTGGGATTACAGGCATGAGCTACCACACCTGGCCAGACCCAGATGTTTTAAAAGCTCCACACTTGACTCTGATGTGCAGTCAGAGTGGAGGATCTCTGATCTAGAAGCATTTTCTTGGACTAGAGCTGCCAGAGTCTTGACATTGATGCTTAGTTGTCACAGTTCTTGCCACATCTGCAGATCACTGATTCTGTTATTTACATAATCTTTTTACTGAAACTTAATTTTAAAAGGAAACTATCACTTCCATTTAAAAAAATCATCCCTTGCCATCATTAGAAAGCAACCAGAATAATACATTCAATCAATCAAAATACAGCAAAGTCATATAATTCCAGCTGCTGCCTGCCCAGATCTCTGAACACAAGCCCTACTCCCTCTTTGATAAAAACAAGATTAGTAAATATTAGGTGCTAACATGTGCTGGTTTCAAATGGAGACTTTCTCATTAAGGTTGTCAGAAAGATTGATAGGAAACTGAAAAAGGAAAGAACTTGCTCACTGTGTGGCTCACTATGATTAAATCACATTTCCTTGTATGCCCAATTTCCACTTTAGGAAATGCTAACCTTGGAAGACATTGGCATATACTTGAGGGAAGAGAAAGCCCACTTTCTAGGCCACAGTTTCCTGGCTATAGATCTTTTCCAGTTGACCAGACATGATTCTGATCCAGAATAATAATTCTATTATCCCCTTGACAATTCAGGGGACGGAGGAAGGGGTTGGAAGTGAAACATAGTAATATACAGCACTATTCAAGCAAGGCATAGATTGACAGGAAAAGATCACACACAGAATCAGGTAAGATTAAATTACTGATAGATTTAGCAAGGGCTATGAAGAGCTGCTGGAAGTGAGGGACCAGTGGAACAGGAGCAGAGACAGCGTCTCTCGGTTGGGCTTTCCACTGCACCTGGAGTCCCAAATGAGGGCTGGAAGCTGTGGCTTGTACATTCTGTGCAAGGGGAGAGGGTCATGGTGCAAGTGGGAAGCCTAATTTCTTGCCTGCTTCACAGGCTCTGTATCCTCGGGGCTTAACATCAGTATGCGGGAAACACATTATGTGCCTCCATATAAGGGAATGTTTAGAACACTAAGCTCTCTGGTTAGGGCCCAGCTCCCCGTCCCCCTCCTGCCAGAAAATCCAAGCAGCGATCCCTGTGGGGTGCCTGGACCTCCCATTTCCAGCTCCTTTCTCCATACAAAAACATAATGCATTAGTGTTATTTGTCTTTTTGTTGCCTCAAAAATCAGAGTTAAAGGTTAAGAAAATACTGGTTTGATGATGCTCTTTAGGAAATCAGCTAAAAATGGTAGTTTTTCACTCAGCTGTGAACAGAACCCTAAAGGTAGAGTCTAATGCCATTCTGCATAAATCTGGCATTCTTAGGATCATATTGAATCTTTTTAAAATATGTACGCGGAATCTTTATGGTAGCCTGTAGCCAAGAGAAATCAAGTCTCCAGTTAGCCTCATAGACTAAGTGAGTTGGGAACACTTAAGGTTTTTGATATTTGATGGAATCCCTCAGTTTTAAAACTAGTGGTCCATCAGTTTTAAATTAACTATAATATGAAAAGAAAATTAAATTAAGACAGAAAGTAATGCAAAAATAAAACATGAATCCCTTAAATTCTGATGTGAGTTCCTTACAGTAAAATATTTTTGCATCCTGACCCTAAAAACCTTTTTTGCTTTTACTGTCAACACAGCAATTTTACAGTAGACAGACTGTGGTTCTTAATCACCTAATGATTATTTCTCTTGTAGTTATCATATAGTGGGAATAATAAACATTAGCGTGACACTTGGTACATGCAAAACTACTGAATCATAACTTTTACTCATTAACTCCTCCCAGAGAGAAACTTCTGCAGAAGCACAAGCTCCTGGGAGTTCTCCAAGGAGGGATCGTTGAAGTTCGTTGTTTTTGTATAACAATTGCATATTATTCACACTTTGGAAAACTCATCATGGTTAGATCCTGGTTCCACAAAAAAGCTATAAAAGAAACATTTTAAGAACAATTGAGGAAATTTTAGTCTAGACTACATCGTGTATCATATTAAGAAAATTTTAAATATAGGGGAATCACAATTCTGAGGTTGCACAGGAGGATGTCCTTGTTTTTAGGAGTTGCATGCTTAGGTATTTAAGGCTGAAGTGACTCAATGTCTTCCATTTACTCTCAAATGACTCAGTAAAGTTAAAGCAAATATGACAAAATGTTCATTTTGACTGTACATCAAGGTTATAAGGATATTCATTATTCCTTCAAATATTTTATGTGTTTAGAATTTTTCCTAATATGAAGTTGAAGCGGGGGACATAAAACTTCAACAGGGGATCAAAAAGTTAAGAAGGAAAGGGGTTAAACCAGACAAGGTTGTGACATATGAGGAGGAGGAAAGTCATGAGGGTTTTTGTCTTTTCCAGCTACCCTGCTAGTTGGTAAGATCTATTCTTGGTAACATATATCCCGGAGCTACATCTGGCCTCATTAAAAAAATTTATAGACGCATTTGCTAGCATCGAACTTGGCTGTGACTTACAGGCTGACCACCTATTTGATTTACCATGAGGAAATACCAGTTTAAGATCCAAGAAAGACAAATGAAGCCAGGGAAGCTGGCCGGTCCAAATTAGAGGCCAGTGAGAGACCCTTAGAGAACACCTCTGGCAGCCACCCTCCTCCCATTGGCCGTGGTGGGAAGGCTTACCTTCTGCTTCAGGAATACTAACAGAGAAACACACACACACACAAATACACACACAAAGAATGCCTTCTCCCTATGCTCTGTTTAAGAGAAATGTCTCAAACCCAGCTCCACTGAGGGTCACTGCCTTTCCACGCTTGAGCCGAGAGAGGGTCATGCCTTAACATTAACAGCAAAGGGGTCTTCATACATTATAAATTTTATACTCTCCAGCTTAAAACTAACAGGTGGATTCTTGTTATACTTAAAATTCAAACTCCCAACTTTGACCCACAAGGCTCAGAAGATTTCAGCCATGCCTATTCCACCAACTTATCTATTATTACCACTCTCTGCCTGGCTGCACAACCCAACCACATGGCATACTTTGGGGGTCAAGTTACAGAGAAAGAAACTGAGGTTCACTGCAGGTCTGCATCAGGGCAAGACTGAATCCCACTGTCCTTGGCTTCTACCTTAAGGCTTGTTGACATTTACGACCTTGGCCTTGTAATTCAAGGGCACCAAGAACACCCCTTCAGCCCCCCAGAAAGAGCACTGCCACTTTCTATCACAGTGTCTGAAATTCTATTAGAGACTCGCTCCATGGGTTTGGAATGTTATCTGATCTTTAGAAGGCCCCACTAAAATGGGGTTGCCGAGATGTGTTGGGAGAAAGAGCATGCTCTGAGAGCTGGTACTTGAGTGAATATTCATTTATCAAATAATTTTGAGGAGTAGGATGATCATTTTAAAAAGGATGTAGGATAACTAAATATAGGCCCAAAAAAATCCAGATAGAAGCTTTGTACTGCACATGGGAAGATGCTGATAGTATATACTAAATGATAAAAATAGATTACAGAAGAGTAGGTATAATCTGTTCTTATTTTAAAATATATGCTGAAATGGTATGTGCAGAGAAGAACTGGGCAGTTCAAACTCTGGAAAAGGCTATAGCAGTGATGACTCCTGGGTGGTGGAGTTATACATTTTTTCCTCCTTTAAAAAATTTATCTGCATTTTCTAATTTTTTGAAAGCGAACATAAAGCTAGCCAATAAAAAGAAAAGAGGCTAGAGTGGCAATCATTAAAACATATCTAAGCTAGTAATTTTCCAGAGGACAGTCTTTGCCTAGGGGTTGAATTAAGTATTTGGTGCATTCCCAGAAGAAAATGACAAATTTCAAGTCAAATACCACATGTACAGTAACTAGATTATTAATGATGATGGTCATTGGAAATCAAGAACAGCAGATTTGTAGTTTGAATGCCACTGCCCTTTTCTAGTTCACCATGGCTGTCGATCGATCCTGCTGCACCTGAATTGGTGTCAGAATCCTCTCCAAAAGCCACTGCTGCCTCTCAATAGTGGTTGATGTATGAGGTGACCCCAGGGCCATCACTAGCACACATGTTGCCTTCAGGAAATCATAAAATGGTATCCTTCCTCAGGACATTTCACCTCTTTTTAAATATATTAATTTTTAAAGAATAACGTCTGCTAGAAAGTGATTATAAACAATCTCTGATTCTGCAGTGTGCTTGGCATTCCCTAGGATGTGATGCCCTTGGGTACTACACTTGCTACATAAACTATACCCAGCAGCCTTGGGTAATAAACTCCCCCCATACCCCCAAAATAAGCACAAACCCTGACAAGATGGTATCATTGTCTCCCAGCAAAAGCAGCAATGATCTGAGACCCCTGGAAACTGCCCGTTGTTCCAGCATTGCAGGTGCTGGCATTTGTCTTGCTTTGGTATCTGGGCAGCAGCTTTCCTCCTGAAATGCCCACTTCCACCTGGTCAGATGCACAGTCCTGTACGGCAAGGCAATGTAGCAAAGCCCAGGACACTAACTGGATAGGGCTCACCAGTCAGCTGTTCCTTTTTCAAGGCAGCATGGGGAAAGGAGGACTGTGGGTCTCTATTCCAATTAAATTGCGAACTTAATTCATCTTTATTTCCTGTCTGTAAATTTGCTGATTGCACATTCCAGTCACTTGTAATAAACATAGTTAGTTCCTGGGGTCTTTGCTGATGCATCAACTGCGTTGCAAGACCAGCCTCTCCATCCCAGCACCATTATGGTTCTGAAGGAGACTCATTCTAGGGGGCAGAGTCTGCTGCCTAATGACGAGTAAGGGAAACTCATGCTGGGGACATTTACTACCCAGAAGATTCTAAGTGGCCACTTGGAGTTTTAAAATCAGCATTCCCAACTTGAGACTTGTTAAAGGCACCCAGGAATCCTCATGCCTTTGTCCTATCTAGTGCTATAAGACTTATGAAGTAGAACACAGTGAGGTTGATATTAAAGAAGATGATTGCCTGGTAGGCCCAATGGCCACTCAGAGATGAGACCAGGCCTTTGGCAGCAAGGCAATCCTGAGAGGCCATAGCTCTGGTTTATCACCCATTTCTTCATTTAATAAGAAGTATTGCTCTATTATACTCTGCCTGTGTCCAAAGGAAGACACCATGCCTATCAAAGAACTGGTGTCATTAAGTCTGGAGACTCTTACACAGAATGAGGCCAAGGGGAAGGGCAGGGTGAGTTGCATGAGGCTCTCTCAGCCTGATTTCAGGTTGATTTCCATGGTCTCCACTGGAAACCATGTATCTTTGGATTCAGAAATCTTGGGTTCAAGTCTTGCCTCTATACTGGATAGCTATGAGACTCTGTTATATTCTCTAAGCCTAGCTTATCCAACCCATGGCCCAGGACGGCTTTGAATGCAGCCCGACCCAAATTCATAAATTTTCTTAAAACGTTGATTTTTTTTTGCGATTTTTTTTTTTTTTAGCTCATCAGCTGTTGTTAGTGTATTTTATTTTTATCTGTGGCCCACGACAATTTTTCTTCCAGTATGGCCCAGGGAAGCCAAAAGATGGTACACTCCTTCTCTAAGCCTTAGTTTCCACGCCTGAAAAGTGCTGGGACTGAGGAGCTACCTCACAGAGTTCTTAGTGTTAAGTGAGGTAATGAATGCGAAGTCTCCAGCGCTTAAGAAGCAGGTCCTCGGTTACCAAGAGCCCCCTTTCCTCCTCTTGCCATCAGCAAAGAGACTTGAATCGGCCTTTTCTCTAAGCCCCGTTAGAACTGAAAGCCTGGCTCCTGACTGCCCATAGCACTGTGGCCCACACTCCTCACAAGCCCAAGCCAAGGATGCCCCACTCCTTTCATATCAGCCACCTCATTTTATCCCTGATTTCATCCTCCTCCTGAATGGGATGGCACCTTTCCTCCCAGTTCAAAACCCTGCCCCTCCTCTCAGGCCCATCTCACAGCCATCATTTCCTCATCCTCCACAAACCGCTGGTCCTTTTATTCAACACACATTTTATCAAATGCCTTTCTCTGCAAGGAACTTGGTGGTGTTTCTCTCTCTTCTCAGTCTCCAAAGCCCTTTGTCAGCAACTTCTCCTATTGCACCCAATTGATTCTGTTTTATTTCTCAGTCACGGGTGTCCTTGGATCTCTTCTCCACTAGATGGTAAACTTCATTGAAATCTCATTTTTACAGAGCTCTACCTGTTGTAGTGTTTCCCACAGCATCCAGGCCCTTCCCTGGCTCCATGGTGTGTTTCATCTTCATCTCTGTGCCTTTGAGTTGTCTGCCAGATCACAGAGCAAGCACTCAATAGATATTTGGTGACCTAAAGAAAGGAATAAAGAGGTAGCAGCAAATGCAGAGAAGTGGCATCTTCCCTATTTCTGACTTGAAAGGTGTCTTTTTATCCCTGTTTAGGTTGTATGCTAGTAGACATGGAAATGTTCAGAATTTATGTATTCCCTTGAACTCAAGGAGCACTTTGTGCTGTTTTTCTCTTGGGTCTCATATAGTCAGAGGAACTGAAGTCTCCGGAAGGGTCTTGGTCACCCTGAGAAGCACCCACTTATGCAAACCTTGCACTTGCACAGTTCCTTTCCCCTGGGGTCAGCCTCCATCCCATGCTGACTTCCAAGCTCAGATCTACTCTGCAGACTCTGCAGGGCCTAGGCCTCACATCTAGTTGCCTTTTAGACATCTTCTCTTCCGTGTCCACACACATCAGAAATTTACCTTGCCTGAATCTGACCTTGGCTTCCTCCTGCCTGCAGCCTTGCTGTTCTCTGACTCCATAAACGGTACCAACGTCATACAGGTGCCCTGGGCAGGGGTCCTTTTACTCCCGCCCTCAGGTCCAGTCATCAGGTCTCTGGCCTCTGCTCACTTCCTTCTATCTCCTTTGCCGCTACTCCTGGCCCTGCTTTCTCCTGCTTGGACTCTTCCAACACCCCCTTTGCTCTCCCCAATCCTTTCTCCCTTGCAACCAGAAGGTGAAACTGCAGCTTGGCCATTTCCCTGATGAAAACCATCAGGATAATGTCTAGAAATCTAAGAGAGGCTTAGAAGATTCTTCCCAAACCACTCCTGCCCACCCCTCCTTCCTGTCTCACATCACTTTCCTCTAGCACTGAAAGCTTCAGTCTACCTTGGCTCTCAGCCCTGCCCTACTGTGGCCTCTTGCTTTGGGGCCTTTGCAGGTACTGTTCCCCCTTAGCTGTCCAACACTCACCCCTGGTTCAACTTAGCGTCCTTCTTCAGAAAGTCTTCCCTATCATCCTCCCCAAAAGTCTGAATTGGTTGCTCCTCTTTGCATCCCCATAGACCCCAGGCATACCCCAATTGTAGCACTTACTAGAATTGCCCATTCTAGTTTTGACTTATTTTGTCATCATCTTGGTAAGGGTTGTGCATCTGGTCTCCCTCACCTACTCCAGCACCTTGCAGAAAGCCTTGTGCCTATTATTTGCTATATAAATGAAAGAATGACAATCTCTGGCTCAGGCTCTATTCAAGTCAGAATGAAAGTCTTCAGAATTTGGTACAACCTTGTTGGGTATCTAGATCCTATTATACACATGTTCTCTGTATTCTTGCTGGCCTCTCATATCATGCCAATGAGAAAAATATAGAGAACGTGCAGGTCCTGCACATGGGTTGTCCCTCAAGAAGATTCTCAATCAATGTTTACATGAGATGTGGGTCACTGCCCTGGTCCTCCATCAGCAGCTCAGATTTCAGGACCCTGGGCTAGATAAGACAGCCCAATGTGCAGATGGCTTAGTGGAAGCCCTGAATGAATAAAAGCTCTGGTAAGTTTTTAAAAAGCAAAGGCACTGTGGGCTGGAGGGGCTTGGAAGACTCCTAGAAGGTAAAACTTAAATGGGGCTTTATGGGATGGATAAGACTGGGTAGAAAACTTTGGGTGGGGGTAAGAGGGTCAGGGAAGAAGGAATTTTTGGGTACAAACTGACGTGAGTGGTCTAATTATAGACTTGGAATAACATCAACAGATTTATAAAAATTAGTCCATCTGCAAAGAAATTATTTAAACCAATTCAGGATTGAGGCTACCTCTGGAAGTTGGGAATAAAGGTATCAGTAATTTCCTATTTCTTTGTACAGAAGAAGGTAGCTCAGACTCTTGTTCTTCTTCAAACTGCATATATACCACAGTTTCAAGAATGTTAGTTGCTATAACCAAAAACCCAATAAGTCAACAAATGATATGATCCTGTCAGATGTGAGTGAGGCTGAAGTTTCTTAGGTGTTAAGATTTTAAGTGATTTTCTGTTTCTATTCTTGGTAACTTTGCAATTTAATGACATGTATATATAATGAAGGGGGAAAGTCAGGCTTCCCAAGGCTTTGGCTGCATTGGCTGCCATGGAAAAACAACGGGTGTCGAAGTGGAGTGGCTCCTGGATCGAAATGTCAGCCTTACTGCTTATTTAAGCATCTGTGTGCGGACCTAGTTAGGAAAGTTCACCTTACTACCAGCCTTGATGTCCTTGTCCACAGGATGGGGACAGTGAGCCCTATCTCACAGGGCTGTCCAGAAGCATAAAGCAGGCGACTGACAGAAAGCAAATAGCTCATTCGTTAGTGCTCAGTAATGTTCATTGCCTCTCCTTCTCTGAAGAGAAAAGTGGTTGTATTTTACAGACTCTTGGTTCTAGAGACTTGGAGACCATTTAATCCAGCCTCTTCATTTTGTTTAAGTTGCTAATTGCACATTATAACTTAATTCCATTAAGTTCTTAATTGCACATTATAACAAATCAAATACTACAGATGAGCTTTTGATGAAAAACATCCTACTTGGCTCCACTGCACCTCTGCCCACCTGCATTCCCAATTCCCAGGGCAGCCTATCCTGTTTCCAGTTCTTCCAGTTACCTCCATAACACTCATGAGGGTAACCTATTTCTTAATTAGCAACTTTAGACAATACTTACTGACTCCCTACTTGGAAAGATGAGATTTTATCTCATTTATCTCTCTCCCTCTCTTCCTTTCAAAATTTGATTATATTACTGCTTCTGTTGTTTTCTCTTGTCATATCTATATGATTATAGATAATATACTTACATCTCTACTGCTGCTTTTGGTAACAGGATTTAGTATCTTGACTCCTTTCCATGAAAGGACAAAAGACTGAGGAAATTACCCCATAAATTAAACTTAAATGAAAGGAGCCAATTCCTTAAGAGACACAAACCGCCAAAACTCACTTAAAAATTGATAAGCTGAATAGTGCTGTATCTATTAAAGAAATATCATTCCTACTTATAAAAAAAAACTTCCAACAAAAAAAAACTCCCAACTCTGTCTCTACAAAAAAATTAGCCAGCTTGGTGGCACTTACCTGTAGTCCCAGCTATTCAGGAGGCTGAGATGGGAGGATCACCTAAACCCAGAAGGTCAAGACTAGTGAGCCATGATTACACTACTGCATTCCAGCCCAGGCAAGGGAGCAAGACCCTGTCTCAAAAAAAAAAAAAAAAAAAAAAAAACCCACACCAGACGCAGATGGTTTCACTTGTGAATTCCATCAAATATTTAAGGAGGAAATAGTACCAATTCTACATGGTCTCCTCTGTAACCGCCCAGCAGGTTCGCCTTGCCCACTGCCCAGACAGAGCCTATTTATCCAGACAGGGGAATTGCAAGGGACAAAGAGTAATGCATGCAAAGCTGGCCATGCAGGAGACTGGAGTTTCATTATTACTCAAATCAGTCTCCTTGAGCATTCGGGAATCAGATAATTTAAATAATTTAATTATTTAAAGATAATTTGACAGGTAGGAGCTTAGGAAGCGTGGAGTGCTGATTGATCAGGTTGGAGATGGAATCATGGAGGGTCGAAGTGAGTTTCTCTTGCTGTTTTCTGTTCCTGGGTGAGATGGCAGAACTCCTTGAGCCAGATACCAGTCTGGATGGTGTCAGCTGATCCACTGGAGTGCAGGGTCTGCAAAATATCTCAAGCACTGATCTTGGGTTTTACAATAATGATGTTATCACCAGGGGCAATTGGGGAGGTTCAGACTCTTGGAGCCAGAGGCTCCGTGACCCCTAAACTGTAATTTCTAATCTTGTAGCTAATTTGTTAGTCCTGCAAAGGCAGACTGGTCCTCAGGCAAGAAAGGGGTCTTTTCAGGAAAGGGCTATGATCAATTTTGTTTCAGAGACAAACCATGAACTGAATTCATTCCCCAAGTTAGTCCGGCCTCTGCCCAGGAGTGAACAAGAACAGCTTCCAGGTTAGAAGCAAAATGAGGTTCATTAGGTCTGATTTCTTTCACTGTCATAATGTCCCCTGTTATAATTTTGGAAAGGTGGTTTTGTCTCCAAAAAATACAAACAAGGGGAACTCTCCCCATCTTTTGAGGTCAACATTACCCTAATACCAAAACCTAAGGCATTTGAAAATAAAACTACAAATCAGTATCCTTCATGAATACAGAGCAAAAATCCTCAACAAAATGTTAGCAAATAAAATCGAGCAATACATCAAAAGTATAATATAATCAAGTGGGTTTATTTCAGGTATGCAAGGCTGACTCATCATTCAAAAATCATCCAATGTAATTCACCATGTGAATATGAAAGATTAGCCTGAATGATCAGTAAGCAAAGTTTTCAGGTTATATGATGAATCAAAGGATCTAAGCTTAGACATAGCAATGAAGGCCAGGTTATGGGATTTACTAGAAAGGAAAGAAACAAACACCTCACTTAAGAAAGGAGGAAAGGGCCGTGCGCAGTGGCTCACACCTGTAATCCCAGCACTTGGGTAGGCCAAGGCAGGCAGATCACCTGAGGTCAGGAGTTTGAGACCAGCCTGGCCAACATGGCAAAACCCCATCTCTACTAAAAATACAAAAATTAGCCAGGTTCAAACATAGAAAATGATAAACAGAGTGAAATAATACGGACCTATATATCCGACCACCAGCTTAAGAAAGAAAACATTGTAAATAGAATAAAAATTGTGTTTTTCCACCACATACTACCTTGCCTTCCCTTTCCACTGAGACATAACCACTACTCTGGATTTGGTAGTTCTTACTCCCACGAATTTCTTTATTACTTTACTTTGTACATATGTATCACTGAACAATACATATCATTATTGTACATGTTTTTAGATGTAAATAAATGCTATCACATTGTAGGTATGATAAAAAAAAAAAAAAATTAGCCAGGCATGATGGCGAGCGCCTGTAGTCTCAGCTACTCAGGAGGCTGAGGCAGGAGTAATTGCTTGAATACAAGAGGCAGAGGCTGCAGTGAGCCGAGATCATACCACTGCACTCCAGCCTGGGCAACAGAATGGGACTCCGTTTCACAAAAAAAAAAAAAAAAAAGGGGTGAGGGGGAAGTTTCCCCTCTGGATAAGAAACTGAGAATGACAGTCAGATCAGGCTCCTGTGAGGGGACTGCAGAGTGTTCTTCCTCTGGTAGCCTCATTTCTAGGACTGATCTGCAGTTAAACAGGAGTTGGGGCTCCCCTCTTGAACAGCTGGCCTTTCAGAGTCCTGGATTGGCAGTGTTCCATCCATGCCCGGGGTAGAAGAAGGCAAGGACACCTGCAATCTTGATTTTCTCAGATGCTTAGAATCCCAAAGTGTCAGAGTTTGAAATGGAGCCTGGATCCTACCTAATCCAAATGCCCATAGTTGAAGAGAAAGCAAACCCCGGCAGAGGATGGCTTCTCCAGACTCCTTCCCTCCCCTTTGTTCTGAAATCCAGGGATTGTGAGCATGTCCCAGGACAGTAAGCCCATGAGACCCTATCTCCCGTCTTGCCCTAACCAAGCTTCCCCTCCAACCACTGTATGTTTGCTTTTAAGTTTATCTTTGCACATAACAAATAACCATTGAAACCAATCTGGCCTGGGTTCTCGTCCCTCTTTTCTTGCTAGTTGATGTCTGGTGTGGAGAAAACCAATCAGACATAGGCCTTTACACAGAGTCCTAGATTTGTAGACTGGAAGACTGACCTAGCCACCTGCCTTGAGCCTACAGACCTCACAACCAAAAAGACACAGACTGAGGCCCATCATATGTTTGATTCTGTGTAATCCATCCTAATTCAACAAATTCCTGATAAGATTATAGTAAAAATGTATTGAGCTCTCATTATGTACCTGTGACTATTCCACAAGGTTATGCATTTTCTCGTTTGATCCTCACAACCCATTAAAATAGGTACTGTTCTCATCCTTATTTTGCAGATAGATAAAAAGACTCAGAGAAGCTAAGTAACTTGCCCAAGGTCACAGTGAGTAGAAGAGCCAGGATTTGAACCCAGGTCTAGCTAACTCCAGTGCTCAGGTTTTTAGGAATGAAAAATCTTCCTGGTTTAAAATGAAAATTGTTTTCTCTTTCTTTACCCCCATCTCTGCAGTCTCAGGAGGAGGTCTGCGATTTGCTCCATGCCGCACCCTTCCAAAACATCTTGCCTAGAGTCTACATCAAAGGTAAGAAACCACTACAGCAGCTGAATAGCCAACTGGCGTTTGAACCTTATTCTCACTTCCTAATTGCAGTCAACTCAGATCTAGTCAGCAAGGGGGAAGGTTAAAGCTTTGGACACCTATTGAATAGCCACAGAATCACAAATTGGAAGATGGACCTAGCCACCTGCATTGAGCCTGCTGACCTCATGACCAACCAGACAGACTCTGAGGCCTATTATCTTTGATTCTGTCATTCATTCAAATTCTTCAACAAATTCCTTATAAGATTATAGAAATGACACTCCAGGCCCTGTCCCTTGTTCCTTCTAACATATCTCTAGTATAGTGATATCTAGACTTGGAATTTAAATATATATATTAATATATTAAACCACTATACTAGAGATATTCTAGAAGGCAGACGATTCCATTCTTGGACAAATCATAGAACATTTTTCCTTGTAAAAACTACTCACACTTTCCAGAACGAAGGAGAGCAGTTCCACACACTCCATCCCATTTTTGGAATGCAGATACATCATCAGGTCCTTTGGGAGTTTTTCCTTCCCCAGTTGCCCTGTGTTCCCTGAGTCTCATTTTCTGCTCTGCGACTCCTTTTGCAGAGGGGGAGCGCCTGGAGGTCCGGATGAAACGTCTGGAAGCCAAGTATGCCCCGCTCCACCTGGTCCCTCTGATCGAGCGGCTGGGGACCCCTCAGGTACCAATCTTATATAATAAATGGGCTCTGATCACTGACAGGAACTTGAGAGCATTTGACCAAACCCCCTCATTGTACAGGTCAGGAAACTGAGGCTCAGAGAAGGGAAGACAATGTCCAATACCCAAAAACTGGTTAATATTAATAGCAACAGCAGGTCTGGAATGAGATTTGCTGACTCTCAGGCCTGAGTGTTTCTTCTGTAGCCTGTATCATGTATCCTGCCAACAAGTCGTCTGCTTATTTAAACAAGTATCTACTGTGTCCCTGGTAGATATCAAGAATCTGTTACTTTGCCTCTGAAAATTAAAACTCCACATACTCTGTGAGCCAGCAGTTCACTTCTGGATACTTTTGCTAAAGAAACACTTAACGGAACACTAGATGCTTATGTAACATTGTTTGTTAAAGCAAAAACTAGAAACAACCCAAACATCTAATAGTAAAGCATTGATTAAATAAAATGCCAGGTTATTGCATATCACGTATGTACTTAATACATAATGAAAAGGCAAAATTAGATCTTGTTGCATCAGTGTGGATAGATCATAGGCACAGTCAATTGGATGAAGCAAGCTGCACTACAGTTCATGCAGGATGATGGCTTTTTTTAAATGCACACAACAAAACCATATAAAACTCTTCTGAAAATGTCTGGAATGATGTCTACCTAGTTTATCATGGTGGCAACCTCTGAAGAGAGATGAGATAGAATAGAGTGGGAGAGAAAGAAGACTTCAGCCTTTTCTGTAGTGTTCTAACAAGGGTGAATGAGCTTATATGTTATTCTGTAATTGTTAAAAACCAGTACGAGTCACGATGAACATCAAGATGAGTAAGACAGGACCCCTGCCTTCAGAGAATTCAGATTATGCAGGGAGCAGGAAGGAAGAGAAATAGGGGGAGAGCGGAGAAACAAAAGGCATGTGCTATCTCCTTTCAAGTTGATTTCAGCAAGCTTCACATTTTGGGGGCAGGCAGGGGAAGAATTCTAGAAGAGAAACAGGGTATTCTAGTGAGACAAGCCAATGCTGACTGTTTAAGAGATTTAGGATTGAAATCTGCTTTTGAACTCGCATTCCGGCGGTCCTCTTTGGTGTTCTCACCAAGGGCAAAAGGACTCAAATCCTCAGCGGAGGACAGAAGGTGGCCTCTCTTCTGGCAAAACATGGTAAGTATTTTTGGAGCACGATGCAAAGCCTCATCTGCACAGACGTCATGCTGAGGAAGCCACCCCAGCCCGGCCCCCGCATGCCACCAACCTCCTTCTGAAAATGGTGATTAAAAGCTAATCATGGGGCCGGGCGCGGTGGCTCACACCTGTAATCCCAGCACTTTGGAAGGCCGAGGCAGGCGGATCACCTCAGGTCAGGAGGTCGAGACCAGCCTGGCCAACATGGTGAAACCCCAACTCTACCAAAAACACAAAAATTAGCCAGGCGTGGTGGCGGGCACTTGTAATCCCAGCTACTTGGGAGGCTGAGGCAGGAGAATTGCTTGAACCCAAGAGGTGGAGGCTGCAGTGAGCTGAGATCATGCCACTGCACTCCAGCCTGGGCAACAGAGCAAGACTCCATCTCAAAAAAAAAAAAAAAAAAAAAAAAGCAGCTAATGGTGGTTGGGTTCTTTGACTCACCAGAGAGAGAACTCAGATACTGTAGAGCACACACATTTTCTTTTTTGGCCTGCAGAGGCTAAACAGAGGAGATCCTCTCCAGTGATTTCCTTTTAGGGAGAAAACCCAGTGAGTGACATGTGAATGTGTCTGCTCCACTGCTGCTGTCATCCTGCAGGCATCCCGCCTCTCACTCCGAAGTCTGGCATGTGTTTCCACTTAGAGGACTGTGAATTCCTTCCCTGTTCTGGTGAACACCATTTCCTTGGGACTGATAGAAATCTCAGTCTGTCAAATGCCTAGTGTTTAACAAATAAAAGCCTAGACATTCTGTGAGACAGGAAATGCTAGTTTTATAAGTCTCCCATTCCTCAAGAAATAGTCCAAAACTTAGTCATTCCATGAACCAAAGAAAAGTTAACAAAATATTAACTTCTGAGAAGGTTTGGGCACAGGGTACTCGTAAGATATCTAGGAGGTGACAGAGGAAGTCTGCAACATATTTAAAGCCGGGAAGCTTGAGCAGTATTGCATTCTTTGCATTTGTTTGAGACAAATTGAAGTGACCTGGTTTGTTGCCCCACACTATCACCAAGAAGAAAAACTTGGGGCTGGGGGAGGTTAAAAGACAGGGATCCTTGTCCCTTCTCCACCCCTGAATTATCTAGTGCAAGCCATTTTTCTCAATCTTTATTTTACCATCTATGTAATGGGATCATAGCTGCTTTACCTGCCTTTCTTGTTATCACGAGCAAATAATAGAAGCATAAGAATTCAAAAAACATTGAGGTTTTTGAGAAGGAATATTGTTACATATTCCTTCTCAAAGTTATAGAGAAGGAATATTGATGATTCCGGCACAGCTTCACAAATGTTTTCTCTATCCCCTTGTTAAACTCACATAAGAAGGGCAGAAAGAGAAATACTCCCCACCGAGGGGAATAGAAAAGAAATGGATAAAAGCTATGTTAAACACTCCCCTCCCTACATAACACCAAACTGCAAATTGAGGGTATTTGCAGGAAGCGAGCTATAAAGCACATTTTCAAAGCAAAGAGAAAATGATAGACATACCAAAAGACAAGATGTGAAAGAAAACTCACAACATAAAAAAATACAATGTTAACACACACGGAAAAGTATCTGGCCTTACCAGTAATCAGTGAAATGCACATTCAAAGAATGAGGTAAAATTTTTAAAATTTTTCATCTCAAGTTGATGAAGACTATTTCTGAATGGAATAATTTTATTATTATTATTGAGACAGGGTCTTTGCCTGTCACCCAAGCTGGAGTGCAGTGGTGTGATCACAGCTCACTGCAGCCTCAGCCTCCCAGGCTCAAGCAATCTTCCTGCCTCAGCCTCCCGAGAAGCTGGGATGACAGGCGCACAACACCATACCTGGATAATTTTTTTTTTATTTTTATAGAGATGAGGTGTCACTATGTTGCCCAGTCTGGGATACAGGAGTATTCATGAGGGTACAAGGAACAGGCTTCACACAGGTAGATGCACACGGATCAACTTTCCTTGAGAATAGTTTGCCACTGTATAGCAGATGCCTTTTACAATATTTATACTCATTGACCCTTCAGTTACTAAGTATTCATCCTAACAAAATGCTCAGCGGTAGCTCACACGATGTTATGTATAAGGATGGTGGGCTGGGCATGGTGGCTCACACCTGGAATCCCAGCACTTTGGGAGGCCAAGGTGGGTGGATCATGTGAGGTCAGGAGTTCAAGACCAGCCTGGCCAACGTGGTGAAACCCCATCTCTACTAAAAATGCAAAAATTAGTCGGGCGTGGTGGCCCACGCCTGTGATCCCAGATACTCAGGAGGCTGAGGCAGGAGAATGGCTCGAACCCGGGAGGTGGAGGTTGCAGTAAGCCGAGATTGCGCCACTGCACTCTGGCCTGGACAGCAGAGTGAGACTCTGTCTCGAAGATTTAAAAAAAAAAAAAAAAAAAAGGATGGTGTCTTTAGAATTGTTCATAATTGTGAGTTTGTAAACAATTTAAGATAACCAAGTATATACGACTAAATGAATTATATCAATGACCATTAAATGTAGTCATTCCTTCACAATATTGAAAGAAATAAGTTGAAGTTACTGATATATTAAGAAAAAAGCAACATAGTAATATGACTCAAATTGTTAAATATACATGTATACATTCACATACCTAAACAAATCATACATATTTTAAGAATGCTCATCTCTGGGTAATGAGGTTTATGAAATATTTTTATTTTCTTAGAACTTTTTTTTTCTTTTTTCCTAACCACTAGGCCACCAGGAAAGGACAAACACTTTTCAAAGGAAAGGGAGAAAGCTCCTGTGTCATTCAAGGCCCTTTTCATTGGCTGTAGTGGGTGGGGGGCACCAGAGTTCAAAGTCTGTCTGCAGATTGATAACCTCAGTTGCCAGTTTTTCTATTCCCCCTTCCAGGACTGTCTGACCCTGAGGACTGATTCAAATTAACCAAATGCACAGTAGATTAATTAGTAAACCAGAACTTTGCATTAATTTGCAAAATATTCATGGCTTGAGAACAAATTGGGGTCTTTTATTTACTGAGCGTCTCCCCTGTACCAGACATTCTCTTTCTGAAATGGGGAGCCCTTTCTGGGGCCAAATAGAACAGAGTAAGAACAAATAAAGAGAATACAAACAGACTCAAACACAGGCTCAGGATTTTTTTTTTTTTTTTAACACAAGAGATATTTTTAGCTAACTATGGCAATCTGAGCAGTTCCCTCTCTGCTCCCAAGCTGTTCCTGCCAATGAAATCAGGATGAGTCACCGGGAATCAGGGTTCCCTCTCCTTCGTGTTTAAAACACACATTGGCAAGCTACTTCTCCAATTCATCTTTTTCCTAGATTTCTTTCAGTTGGTAGTTGTCATGACAACTACACTCATGGTCCACATTTATAAGAGACTCCTGCATTGGTGTCTCCTGATTTCCTTCCCTTCATGGATTCACTTAAAAGTCACCCTCTCTTCCTGGGGGCCTCCAGGGAGTGAGCTTCCGGGGTAGGTCAGGCAGGTGCCTCCCAGCCACCCTGTAAAATGGCTCCTTGGTGAAACCTCCCACTGGGGAGCTGATCCCATAAGTCCCCTTCTGTGGATCTCTCAGTGTGAGAAGCCTGCCTTTTTTAGCTTTGTTCACAGATTTGGAGACCTTACTTTAACCTCAGATTTTAACATTTACCTTACTTTGCAGATAGCTTTCAGGACCTCTACCCCTACATGTTTTGACTCATAACATGTGTAGTAATGTGTTTTGACATCTAGTCTGTCTAGCCAGCTGCTTATTAGATATGCAGTAGCCAGAACCCAGATGAAAAGCCAGTTTACATTATTAATAGAGGTCATTTGTAACTGTCAAAGAAGCACTTCTAGAGGAAATAATTATCTGAAATCATGGGCAAGTTTTAAAAGTAACATATGCTCATTGTAGCACATTCAACTGTACAGAAGTATTTAAAGTCAAGAGTGACAATCCCACTCACTACTCCAAGCCCATCTGTTCCCACAACTGATGTTAGTCCTTCTAAAATATGCTTTACACACACACATCACACATACTTTCATCTGTGTGATTGTACATTGTCAATGTTTTTAAGTAGAATTGTAGTATACATTCATTTCTGCAATTTGTTCTATTTACTTTACAACTTAACCAATAGATCTAGACTACTGGGTCAAGTGTGAGCTTTAACACTCACTGGCTGCCTCTCTGAACCTTAGTTTCTTCGTCTGTAAAATGGGGAGAGTAATGGCATCTACCTCATGGGATGGAATGGACTCAATACCTATCAAGTGCTTAGAACAGGGCCTGCTTTATTACCCACACTCAGAAAGCATAAGCTAGTAGTAATTATAGTAGAAGCAGTAGTACTACTAGTAGTATCATGTCAGTCTTTTCAATGGCTATCCAGAATTCATTATGTGGGTAAATCATAATTTTAAAAATTAATCCGCTACTGATGGTGCCTGGATTTTACTTAACACCAGTAAGACTTACCATGAAACTTCCCTGCTGTTGCATTCAGGATCATCAATTTTGTGCCCTGCTCTGAACAAGACCAGTTCTGGTGAACCAATTTCAGGTGCAGCCAGCTCCAGAGTTCGGGAATCTGTGGTGGGAGGTGGCAGATGGGCTCTAAGATGTGGATAGAAGGTGTATGTGCCCTTCTGTTTCCAGCAAATCGCCATTGCTCGCGAGGGTGACCTCCTGACCAAGGAGCGGCTGTGCTGTGGCCTGTCCATGTTCGAGGTCATCCTGACCCGCATTCGGAGCTACCTGCAGGACCCCATCTGGCGGGGCCCACCGCCCACCAATGGCGTCATGCACGTCGATGAGTGTGTGGAGTTCCACCGGCTGTGGAGCGCCATGCAGTTCGTGTACTGCATCCCTGTGGGAACCAACGAGTTCACAGCTGAGTGAGTACCCCCCAGAGAAGGCAGGGTTACCCCCAACCTGCCTGTGCTCCTGCAAGTCATGGGGCTGCCAGAGTTCAGCCAGAAACGTGGGCAGGGGGTGGGGGTGGTTGGCCAACAACTACTTTGTTGAGTGTGTTGAGCTGACTGCATTGGCAAGAAAGAGCCCAGTAAGGGTTTGATAGTAAGACCCTCACTGCCTGCCTCACCCCCACTACACTGTACTACTGGAAAATGAGGAGCCTTTAGGAGTCCTTAGAGCAGACAGCAGAGCTAGTTCTTCCTGCCCTCACCCAGCTACATGTCTAGGACAGAGTGGAAAGGCAGACAAGGCCTCCCCTCCAGCAGCCAAGAGCTCTAGGAAAAAGGCGTGGTGGGGAGAGGAGGCTTCCTGGAGAAAGTGGTGTTGATGAAGCTGTTTCAGAGCAGCGCTAGCCTGTAGGCTTCCAGTACAGTGATGGGGAACTGGGGACACCTGCCCGGGTTGGGGCTGCTGCTTGAGGACAAAAGAGACAGCCAAAGGATGACTCTACTGCCATCCAAATTGCCTAGGTCTCTTGAGAGTTGGGGGCCAGGCCTCTTGAGAGTTGGAGCTTTGTCAGAACCAAAAGGACTCAGCCTCAACCCCAGCAGCATCTGCCCACCATGGCCTGTCCCTTCCCTTTCAGCCTGCTTCTGGCCAGTTGGCCTCCTGGTTTGAAATGGCCCCTCACCTGCTAGGTGTTCTTTTAGCTCCTTTAGAGAGTCAAGACAGATTCTCCTTTGACCTGCACGGAGTAATCAGCCACATACATCTCAACAGCTGGGTGGGTTTTTCCTTGCAAATTCAGAGCGTCTTTAGAGCTGATTTTTTTTTTTTTTACATTAGTGATGCAAATGTAATTTGTGGCCGGAAGGACTTATGACATAACTACCATCCCTGCAACTAATGAACCCACCCTCACAGCTTCCTTTGTACCCATTTTATAGGTTAAGAGACTTGGCCCAAAGACAGGCCTGCTTAGTAGCTGTACTCCTGGCCCAAGATGAGGCTCCCTCCCTCCCTGCCCTCCTCCCCCGACCTCTCACTCCAGCTGCTTCCTCCCCCTGCTCCCAGGCAGTGTTTCGGCGATGGCTTGAACTGGGCTGGTTGCTCCATCATTGTCCTGCTGGGCCAGCAGCGTCGCTTTGACCTGTTCGACTTCTGTTACCACCTGCTAAAAGTGCAGAGGCAGGACGGGAAGGATGAAATCATTAAGAATGTGGTGAGCAGGCTGGTGGCTAAGGCCTGGGAGGTGGGGCTGGGCTGACAACCAGGCTTTTACCAGAAAAGCAAACAAGGAGGAGCTGCTTGTGAAGGCCAGCTCCCCACACGGCAAGTACAAAGATACTATAGGCTGGGGACCTGCTTAGAGGAAGTCGTGAGGTCGTGAGTCACCCACTCATCACCTACTGCCATGAATCAGTTCACCCCGAAGGGCAGGGCTGGGCTCCAGACCGGGAGCACATCTTCCCTGTCCCAATCAGACTCTGCTGATGCCAGTTTCTCACCTGTACAAATATTCACCAAATACCAGAGTTGTACGGGGCACCTGGATGGGATAGGTACTGGCGTGGGGTGAGCCAGGCTGCTATGGGAAGGGAGAGAAGGACCCTTAAACCAGGCTGAGGGCAGAGAAAGCTTCCCAGGAGAGGGAGGCTGTGTCTGGGCTGACTCCAGAATGGCCCGCAGCAAAGAACCAAGCAGCAAAGGTGGTATGGGGCGGGTAGGATGCTCCAGACAGCAACAGTGACAGCAGAGGCACTGAGGCAGGAAGGCGGATCGAAGGGTGGGTCTCAGGGACCCAGTGAGAGGAGAGAGAGGTAAGAGCCACCTCACAAAGGGCTTTTTTAAAAAATACACATAAAATAGTTTCAATGGTAATTTTCAGTATATGATTCAGTGGCATGAAGTACACAAGTATTGTACAATCATTCCCAACATCCACCTCCAGAGATTTTTCATCTTCCCCAACTGAAACTCCGGGCCCATTAAAAAATAATTCCATTTTCTCCCCAGCCCCTGGTAACCATCATTCTACTTTCTCTATGCATTTGACTACTCTAGGTACCTCATATAAATAGAATCACACAGTATTTGTCTTTTCGTGACTGGCTTATTTTAGTTAGGATGTCTTCAAGGTTCATCCATGTTGTAGTGTCCAAACTTCCATCCTTTTTATGGCTGTATAATATTGCATTGTGTATATAGACCACGTTGTGTTTGTCCACTCAGGTTGCTGTCACCTTTTGGGTATTTTTGAAAATGGTTAATTTTGGCTACCATGAAACATGGGTGTACAAATAACTCTACAAATTTCTGCTTTCCATTCTTTTGAGTATATACCTGGACGTGGAATTGCTGGATCGTATGGTAATTCTATGTTTAACTTTTTAGAAACTGCCATTCTGTTTTCCATAGTGGCTGCACAATTTTACATTCCCACCAGCAGTACACAAGAGTTCCAATTTCTCCACATCCTCATCAGCACTTATTCTTTAATAATAGTCATCCTGAGGGGTGAAAAAGTTATCTTGTTGTGATTTTGATTTGAATTTCCCTAATGACTGTCACTGCTGAGTGCTATATTCATGTGTTATTGGCCATTTGTATATCTTCTTTAGAAAAATGTCTATTCAAGTCCTTTGTCCATTTTTTTAATTGAGTCATTTTTGTTGAGTTGAAGTTCTTTACATATTCTAGATATTACTTATCAGATATAATTTGTGATTATTTTCTATTTTTCGGTTGCCTTTTCATTCTCATGGTGTCCCTTTGATGCATGAAAGTTTTCAATTTTGATGTAGTGCAACTTTTTGCCTTTGCTTTTGATGTCATACCCCAAGATATTATTGCCAAATCCAACATCATGAAAATTTTTCCCCTATATTCTCTTTTAAGAATTTCAGTTTAATCTCATGGTTACGTCTCTAATCCATTCTGAGTTAATTTTTTGTATATGGTATAAGGTAAGCGTCCATTGTTATTTTTTGTGTGGGTATCCATATTTCCCAGCACCTTTTGTTGAAAAGGCTGTTTCCCCCATTGAACAGTCTTGGCACCCTTGTTGAAAATCATTTGATCATATGTGTAATAGTGTATTTCTGGGCTCTCTATTCTGTTTTATTCATCTGTACATCTACCTTTTTACCAGTGCCACAGTGTTGTTGATTATTGTAGCTCTGTAGATCGTTTTAAAACTTGGAGAGGGTTTTTACGGTCCAGTTAACACTTGATTGCCAGATCCAGGGGATTCCATAAAAGGACTTTAAGAAAGTGACATGATCACTGATGCAGGGGACCCTGGACCTCAGTGACTTCTCCTGTTACTCCCTCTTTCCACCCCCACTTTGTCCTGCCCTAACTTGAACATCCCCTTCCTTCTGTAGCCCCTGAAGAAGATGGCCGACCGGATCAGGAAGTATCAGATCTTGAACAATGAGGTTTTTGCCATCCTGAACAAATACATGAAGTCCGTGGAGACAGACAGTTCCACTGTGGAGCATGTGCGCTGCTTCCAGCCACCCATCCACCAGTCCTTGGCCACCACTTGCTAAGCAGAAGATCCTGCAGACCCTTATCTGGAGGAGGAAGAGAAGCAGGAGAGAGAAAGCCACAGCCAGCCTGCCATAGGATCCAACTGGACAACGTGTGGGATGGACCTGGAAACAAGCACCTCCCCAAACACATCACCACTCCCTAGGGCGGGGCCTGTGCATGCTCTCCCATGACATCTCCATGCTGGTTTCTCCATAGCATAAATGAAAAAAAAAAAAAAAAAGTAAACAGGGCAGTGTGTGCTTTTTCTTTTCTCCCCCCTCAACTATATTAAGAACTCCTAGTTTCACCCTTTCTCCATCCCATCATCCCACCTATCTGTGGTTGCTTCCCAAGACCTCCTCCCAAGATAGACATCTCCTACCCAGTGCCCTTGTGTGACCCCAGGACTCAAGTCTCAGACTGTGAACAGATGTGGCCATGCCCAGAGACGCCAGCCTGGCCAGAAGGGCATGCCTCAGCTTACTACTTCATCTCTCCTGGTTCCCTCCCTGCAGTGCCCCGGGTGTCATCTTCTCCCACTCTGGGTACCAGGGATTCTACCACATAGGCTTCCCAAAGCCCCATTCTAACTCCCCTCTCTCAGGGAAGCCCTAGAGAGAGGTCCAAAAAGCATTCACAGCTGTATCACACTCTATGCAGGTGGGGTAGGAGACTGATCAGGCCTGCTGTGGGGAAGCAGTATGTATGAACACAGCCAGAAATGTCATAGTCCAAACAGGATGCTTTCAGGCCATCTCAGCTGCTTGATGGTGAGATGGTTCCCTTATTCCTTCAGGAAAGGCTTAGCATTGGGCCACATAGGGGAAGCAGCTTTGAACAAATCAGTCATAGCACTGCCTATAGCATTAGCCAGTGACCAAATTAGGGACAACGTCTTGGCACAGAATTGCTTATCAAGGAACATTTCCACAAGAAAGAAAATATTAAGGGGTTATTTCCACAGAAGCCCAAAACGTCTTGGAAACACAGAGGTGAGGAGGAGGAATAGTAATTGTCAATGAGCTTTTAATACCAAGATACACCCCCTGCCCCCAAAGAAGAGTCCTCTTTTAGGGAATCAGAACCTTCATTGTCCTAGAAGCTGAAAGATTCTTGGAACATTTTAGCTTTTACTCTCAACTTGCTGTTCTCTTTACATTCCTTAAGTTAGACTTTCGGGTGTGGCTTCTCTCCCAGGGGTAACATTTACTTCCATTTTCTAGACTGAACCAAAAGTCTTCTGCAGAATCTCCCACCGAGTGTGGTAAGAAGGAAGGACAAAAGGCTTTAGGATATAAATTTCATGTTACAGAGCATGTCATTGTCAAAGGAAATCTGTGGCCCTGAGATTTTAAGAACATAAAATGTGACATTTGATATTTCTCCAGCCCAGGGAAGTAAGATGGTTAGCAATGGTTGCCTTAATCAAATGGTCCCATTTTTAACCCCAAAGGAAGTGCCCACAGCAAGAGGTTTGTGTGATGCACTTATGTCCTCCGGTGAGGAAAGGGGGCCACATATGAAAGGCCCCTTAGGTCAGATCCTGAGAGTAGCACATTTGAGTGCAGATTCCTGGGCCCCACCTCAAACCTACTAATTCTGAATCTCTGGGAATAGGGCCAGGAAATCTGCCCTTTCTACAAACTACCCAAGTTGTTCTGTTGCACATCAATGTTTGGGAACCACTGCTGTAAGGGAATCATTCTGGTCACCTTGAGCTTTGAGCTACCACTAAGCCATGAAAGAAAATACATCATACAGGGAAGAGAGAAGGGAGGAGGTTCCAAGTAGTAACTGGCAGATCCTCCTGTCTGGAGGTACCACCTTCTATTCTGGTTTCTGACTTTTCCTTCTTGATGACCATAGATGTGTTCCAGAGGCAAAAGAGACACATTATCCCAGATGGCAGAACATGCTTTCAAAACATATAAAATGTCAAAGTTCCAGATCCTTCTACATCTTTAGTCCTGTCTGAGGATGGTAGCTGGCTCTCTGTAGCTGATAGATGGCTAGAGTTCCATCCAAATCCTTGACCACGACTTCATGGAGATTTGAATAATCTATTTGATGAGATTTCTATTTCAATAACCCACCTCTCTCACCCCACATTCATATCCCTAAATTTGACCCTCTGGGCCGAGTCACATTACCTTCAGGAGACTTGATCCCAGTAGACTGAGGTCTTCCCTTTCAGCAGAAAGATTTCATTTCCCTGGCTTGCCAGTGGCACTGATTTCCGAACACCCAATGAGTTTAATATTCTTTCCTCCTTGGCATTACTGCCCCAGCCTCTTTTTATTTTTTTTGTGTGTGTCTAATAACCAGGAAAAAAATAAAGCTTAGGTTTTAAAAAGTTTTAAAAATAATCTGTTTCAGAAACTGTCAAATGTACCATATTTGTATTAAGAGTTGTTGGGAATTTTTGTACAATGAATTTACATTTATTTATGGTGACATATTTACGCTTGTGATCAAATAATGATGTTAAATTCTTAAATCATATTTGCTATGCAGCTGAAGATGATATTTTGATTTGTATTTTGGGGGTACCTGTGTTGAGTTGATAAACATTTCCATCTTCATTAAAACTGCTTCCAAACTAGTAAAACCAGCAACTTGGTCTTGATTCCTGGTTCTATTCTAATCCTCATTGACCTGTAGAAGGCCATATTAAAACTAATTACTAAGCAAACAACCTAAAACAGAATCAAAGAAAAATATAGGTTAATGCACAATAAACTAATGGCTTTGCTTGCTTTCCCACGTGGGGGATTACATCTTTAACAAATTGAGCCTCACATTTCACATAGCACAAGCTTTCCTAAAGGTCATCCACTAAGATGAGTCCTAGGGCTGTTTCCTCTTCTGTCAAGTTGGACAAGTTGATCTCTTCTAGCTCTGATATCCTGATTCTAGGTAATTTCCCACTGGTGCACTTTGAGGGGTCTACTTCACACACTCAAAGTCTTTCTCAACGTATGTCATCACCTCATAAAATTGCCATCACAAGGAGTCATATTTGAGCTAGTGTAGTGGGAGGGCTATTAGCTATTAGATGCTCAGTGAAAAAAGGGTTCCAAAGAAGATAAATTTGGGGAACACTTCATGATCTTTCCCTTCGAAGATCCATAAGACTCTGAGGAGTGCTGCAGAACCTTATCAGTCTAGATCAACACCCTATCTCCTAGATGGTTTTATTAGTCTGTTTTCACACGGGGATAAAGACATACCCAAGACTGGGAAGAAAGAGGTTTAATTGGACTTACAGTTGGACATGGCCAGGGAGGCCTCAGAATCATGGCAGGAGGGGAAAGGCACTTCTTACATGGCAGTAGCAAGAGAAAAACGAGGAAAAGGCTAAAGCGGAAACCCCTAATAAACCCATCAGATCTCATGAGACTTATTCACTATCATGAGAACAACATGGGAAAGACGGGTCCCCATGATTCAATTACCTCCCCCTGGGTCCCTCCCACAACACGTGGGAATTCTGGGAGATACAAGTTGAGATTCGGGTGGGGACACAGACAAGCCATATCCTTCTGCCCCTGGCCCCTCCAAATCTCATGTCCTCACCTTTCAAAACAAATCATGCCTTCCCAACAGTCCCCCAAAGTCTTAACTAATTTCAGCATTAACCCAAAAGTCCATTGTCCAAAGTCACATCTGAAACAAGACAAGTCCCTTCTGCCTACGAGTCTGTAAAATGAAAAGCAAGCTAGTTACTTCCTAAATACAATGGGGGTACAGGTATTGGGTAGATACAGCCATTCCAAATGGGAGAAATTGGCCAAAACACAGGGGTTACAGGCCCCATGCAAGTCAAAATCCAGCAGAGTGGTCAAATTTTAAAAATCCAAATTGAGCTCCTTTGACTCCAGGTCTCACATCCAGGTCACACTGATGCAAGAGGTGGGATCCCTGGTCTTGGGCAACTCCACCCCTGTAGCTTTGCAGGGTACAGCCTCCCTCCTGGCTGCTTTCATGGGCTGATATTGAGTGTCTACAGCTTTTCCATGTGCACAGTACAAGCTGTTGGTGGATCTACCATTCTGGGGTCTGGAGGATGGTAGCTCTCTTCTCACAACTCCACTAGGCAGTGCCCCAGTAGGGACTCGGTGTGGCAGCTCCAACCCATTTCCCTTCCGCATTGCCCTAGCAGAAGCTCCTTGAGGGTCCCACTCCTGCAGCAAACTTTTGCCTAGGCATCCAAGAGTTTCCCATATGTCTTCTGAAATCTAGGTGGAAGTCACCAAACCTCAGTTCTTGACTTCTGTGCTCCCTCAGGCTCAACACTATGTGGAAGCTGCCAAGGCTTAGGGCTTCCACCCTCTGAAGCCACAGCCGAGCTCTACATTGGCCCCTTTCAGCCATGGCTGGAGTGGCTGGGACACAGGGCATCAAGTCCCTAGGCTGCACACAGCACAGGGACCCTGTGTTCCAGCCCATGAAACCACTTTTTCCTTCTGGGCCTCTGAGCCTGTGATGGGAGGGGCTGCCGTGAAGGTCTCTGACATGGCCTGGAGACATTTTCCTCATGGTCTTGGGGATTAACATTAGGCTCCTTGCTACTTATGCAAATTGCTGCAGCTGGCTTCAATTTCTCCTCAAAAAATGGGTTTTTCTTTTCTACTGCTTTGTGAGGCTGCAAATTTTCTGAACTTTTATGCTTTTACCCTTTTAAAATGGAATGCTTTTAACCCCACCCAAGGTACCTTTTGAATGCTTTGCTGCTTAGAAATTTCTTCCACCAGATACCCTAAATCGTCTCTCTCAAGTTGAAAGTTCCACAAATCTCTAGGGCAGGGGCAAAATGCCACCAGTCTCTTTGCTGAAACATAACAAGAGTCACCTTTGCTCCCAAGAAGTTTGTCATCTCCTTCTCAGACCACCTCAGCCTGGACCTTATTGCTCATATCACTATCAACATTTTTGTCCAAGCTATTCAAGTATCTAGGAGGTTCCAAACTTTCCCACATTATCCTGTCTTCTGAGTCCTCCAAACTGTTCCAACGTCTGCCTGTTACCCAGTTCCAAAGTCATTTCCACATTTTTGGGTATCTTTTCAGCAATGCCCCACTCCCACTACTAATTTACTGTATTAGTCAGTTTTCACACTGCTTGCTGATAAAGACATATCCGAGACTGAAAAGAAAAAGAGGTTTAATTGGACTTACAGTTCCACTTGGCTGGGGAGCCCTCAGAATCATGGCAGGAGGCAAAAGGCACTTCTTACATGGTGGCAGCAAGGGAAAAATGAGGAAGAAGCAAAAGCAGAAACCCCTGATAAATGCATCAGATCTTCTGAGACTTATTCACTATCAAGAGAACAGCAGGGGAAAGACTGGCCCCCATAATTCAATTACTTCCCACTGGGTCCCTCCCACAACATGGGGGAATTCTAGGAGATACAATTCAAGTTGAGATTTGGGTGGGGACACAGCCAAACCATATCAATGGCCATTACCTTGGAAACCCCTTTCTCTGCAAGGTTAATCATCCTCTCTTGGAACACACTTTGAAAAACATTTGCCTAAGGGTATGCAAATTCATGGTAAGATTTTTTTTTAATTCCCACAGGAGGAGGACCACTGACATGCAGGAAATTATGATATGAGGGCACAATTAGAGAAGCAAGGGCCTGACAAATTATTGAAAGATTTCAAATGGGAAGAGGAAGCATTTTGACAGTGGGATAGAATACCATAACTGGGGGTACAAGTGTGCCAGGGCTGTCATAACAAATACTACAAACCAAGTGGTTTAAGCAACAGAAATTCTTTCTCTCACAGTTCTAGGAGCTGGACATCGATGATCAAGGTGTCAGCAGAGTTGGTTTCTTTCCCCAGGGTCTCTCTTCTTGGTTTGTGGGTGACTTATCTTTCTCCCTGTGTTTTCACATGGTCTTCAACTCATGTGTCTTAACCTTTTTTTGTGTTGTGTGTGTGTTTTTTGAGACAGAGTCTCACTCTGTCGCCCAGGCTGGAGTGCAGCGGTGGGATCTTGGCTCACTACAACCTCCACCTTCTGCCTCCACCAGGCAGAGAAGCAATTCTCTGCCTCAGCCTCCCAAGTAGCTGGGATTACAGGTGCCCACCACCACACCCAGCTAATTTTTGTGTTTTTAGTAGAGACAGGGTTTCACCATCTTGGCTGGGCTAGTCTTGAACTCCTGACCTCGTGATCCACCCACCTTGGCCTCCCAAAGTGCTGGGATTACATGCATAAGCCACTGTGCCTGGCCACTTATTTTTTTATAAGGAGACCAGTCATGTTGGATTACAGCCCACGCTAGTGACCTCATTTTAACTTAATGACTTCTTTAGAGACACTATTTGCAAATACAGCCACATTCTGAGCTACTGAGGGCTAGAACTTGGGCATGGGTTGGGGACATGGCACAATTTAGCCCAGAACACTGGGGATGAATCTGGAGAAAGTGTGTCTCTGGGATCCTTGGACAGTTTGAAGGCTGGGATGCTATTCTTTGTGGAACACCCCTTGCACACTCACTATTTACAAGATTAGGGAAAAAAAGAGAAGTACAGGAATATGGTGGAGTAGAAAGGCCAAGGAATCCATCTCCACACCTATAAGACAATCACACTGGCAGAATGTGATGTAACTATTTTGGAACTCTGGATTTTATTCAAGGCTTGCAACTTCCAGGGGAAGGCTTGGACAGTAAACAACAGTTCATTTTGCTCAACTTCAGCTCTTGGTTCACCAGCCGCTACCCATTTGCCAACCTACCTCCCATACCCCACCCCTGCCCCATGGCAGGAAGCTGTACATGTGTTCCTGCACAAGCCAGGGTGGGCAATAAGGACCCTGTCCTCCAAATATCAGGGATCTATGTTCTGATGGCTGATGGCTGATTGCTGCTTCTGATCATGGAGGTGTAAGCATCAAGCAGGCAGCCATTGTCACAAGCCACTCTCCACCCCAACTGAAGCAACTTCCAAGGGATGTAAAAGGCCAGTGTCCTTTTTCTTCCCTGTATACGCCCACTTCATTTTTCTCTTTTTCCCTTTTTGGGAGCCAGACATTAAAGATGAGGACATTCAAAAACAACTACATAAAAGGAGGAAATTAGAAAGTTACCCTGTATGCACAGGAAAAGGCACAAGCTCAAAAAAGATCTGAGAAGACCTTAAGCTTACACCTCAGGCTGATCTTTAGCATGGAGGCAGCCTACAATGATTTAAAAAAATAAATAAAGACAAAAACAAACAGCAAGGCTTGGAGGAAAAGAAAGAACCCAATTTCCAGAAATACCATACTTTTAGCTTCCCATGTCCAGTTTTTAACAAAATCACAAGGCATACAAAGAAGCAGGGAAGTATAGCTGATTTAAAGGAAGAAAAAAATAGAAACTATCCATGAGAAACATTAGATGGTAGAACTACCAAAGACTTTAAAACATCTGTCTTAGATGCTGAAAGAACTAGAGAAAGACATGGAGAAAGTCAAGAAATAACATATGAATAAGATGAAAATATCAATAAAAAGAGAAAACAAAAATTCTAGAGTTGAAACGTACAACAGAAATGAAAAAATATTCTAGAAGACTTCAAAGTCAGATTTGAGCAGGCAGAAGAAAGAATTCTTGAACTTGAAGATAGGACAATTGAAATTAACAAGTTTGATGAACAGAAAAAAGATTGCAGGGACATTAACAGAGCCTAAGGGACCCATGGGACATCATTAAGTGAACCAATATACCCATTGTGGGAGTCTCAGAAGAGAGACAAAGGGCAGAGATATTTTTTGAAGATGTAATAGCCAAAAAATTCCCAACTTTGATGAAAGATATGGTTATAAATACCCAAGAAGCTCACTACAAGTAGGATGAATTTGAGGAGACCTATAAAGAAAGACATTCTAATCAAATCATTGAAAGACAAAGATGAAGAGAATCTTGAAAGCAGCAAGGGAGAAGTGACTCATCAAATACAAAGGATTCTCAGTAAGATTATGAGATTCTCAAACTACGGAGGCCAGAAGGGAGGAGGCTTGTATTTCAAAGTGGTAAAAAGAAAAAAAAAACAGCAAGATTTTTTCATTCTTTTTTTTAAAAGAAAAAAACAAGAAGGGCTTCAAGATTGCTGACTAGAGGCATCTAGTACTCTCCTCTTCCACAAAGAAGAACCAAACCAGCAGGTAGTTAATCACAATTGAATAGACTGTCTAAGAGAGAAGGCTAAAATTCAACACAGAAGTGATAAGAAACAAGGCAGAAGAAGGAAGCAAAGCAGCCTGCTGGGCTGGAATCAATTAGGAGCCTAGAGGTTCCCCAATGTCGTAAAAGGGGAAGTAAGGGTAAGTAAGAGACCCTGGGTGGTCCACATTCCCACTACAGACTCCTGTAATCCTAGCCAAGGGAGAGCCTCACAACCCACGCACACCCTGAGACTAACATAGGGAGCTGCCTGGAGACCATGAAACGCCATTGCTCCAGAGACAGAGCTCACACTAGGCCCCCACACACACCTTGAGACATAAGCCACGATAACAAAGCATTATTTTGAGAGCCTAGCCCTCATTGGACTGCATTCTTGCCTGGAGCCCAATAGCTCCTATACCTCCATATCCCTGGAGCCCCATTGACATCCTTCTACAGGCAGCCAGGTACTACTATTGGCTGCTGCTGCCAGGGTCAAAATGCCAGCCATGGCTAGCAACCCTGCCACCCCCAGTAGCAGGGCCACCAGCCATTTAAAAGCAGACTGAATCAGGGTGTGCTAACTTATACCTGCAATCCCAGTGCTTGAGCAGGGGGACCGAGGTGGGAGGATTACTTGAGGCCACAAGTTCAAGACTACCCTGGGCAACATAGCAAGATTCTGTCTTTAAAAAAATAAAGTTAGCTACTCATGGTGGTGTGTACCTGCTGTCCTAACTACTCAGGAGGCTGAGGCAGGAGAATCACTTGAGCCAGGAGCTCAAAGTTATAATGAGCTATGATCACACCACTGCACTATAGTCTGAGCAACAAAGCTAGGCCCTGTCTCTGAAAAACTAAAATAAAATAAGAACATCCTGAGGAAAGGCTACCCTGTAAATAGCCACCACCTAAGGCCAAAGCATGAGCTCCTCAGGCACCGATTTATGGCTGCTGCCACTTAAACCAACCCCACACTCCCCAGGAGCAAGGCCACAGTGCAGCTGCCACCTCCACCCAAGCATTCTTCTGGGGGCCTAGGGATCACCCTGCTCCTGCCTATCATAGCCAGCACCTGCACATACCACTGGGGGGCCTAAAGACATGCCTACCCAGCCTGGCTACATTCCCCCCTCAGTGCCCAAGCACACCATCCAGGGGCCTGGAAATCACCCTGCCCCATTCACCACCACTGGCATGTGAGTATTCCTTCCAGGGGGCTGAAAACAGGCTCACCCAACCTGCCACTACCACCACAACTAGCACCCACCCACATGCACCACCTACAAGTGTATCATAGCCACCACCAACACTAGCATGGACCACTTGATAGCCAGAAAATTGTCCAACCACTGCTACTGCCAATTGCTCATGCTATGCCCACTGCCTAAGGGACTTGAGAATCTACTCACGTGCCCTGCCCTCTGCTGCCACGGCTGACACCTGAGCCAGGCCAAAAGGAGACCTAAGAGTTGGCCCACTTGACCCACTAACACTAGTGCCAGTGTACACCACCTTGGGGCCCAAGGACAAGTACATTTGGCCTACAGATGCCACTACTGGGGCCTGAGGACTGGTCCATGTGACATCCTGTCCCCAGCAAAACTTCACCATAGCTACTACTAATAACCATACCCTAAGCCACAGAGAAAATCAAAGATGCAACTGACACTGTTTACACCCAAAGAAATCATATGGAGATTACATGGTAGCATGCACCCAGAATCAAAGCCAAAGTTTTCTACTCAACCAACACTGTAGATACATTTTCAGGAAAAAGTCCTCCCCTATGAAAGTAAATCCAAAAAAGTGGAAGAAGCAACTATTACACCAGTTGTGCTGATAATATAAGGACACAAGAAATATGAGAAAGAAAGGAAATAAGATACCTCCAAAGGAATACAATAACTTTCCAGCAACAGATTCCAATGAAAAAGAAACATAAGAAATACTAAAGAATTCAAAACGATGATATTAAAGTAGCTCAGTGAGATACAAGATAACTTAAATACAATACCAAGAAATCAGAAAAAAAATCAAATTAGGATTTGAGTTTACCAAAGAGATGGATATTTAAAAAAATCCAAAACAAAAATTCTGTAACACAAGAATTCATTGAATGAAATACAAAATATATTCTAAAGCTTCAACAGACTAGATAAAGCAGATGAAAGAATTTCAGAACTTGAAGACAGGTCTTTTGAAATAACCCAGTCAGATAAAAATAAAGAAAAAATTAGCAAAGCCTATGTGATATATGGGACAACATAAAGCAATCAAATATTCTAATATTCAGTGTACCAGAAGCCAAAGAGAAAACCAAAGCGATGAAAAACCTATTTTACAAAGTAATAGCTGAAAAACTTCAAGTCTAGCAAGAAATTTCGACATCCAGATATTAGGAATCTCAGAAATCTCCAGTCAGATACAATTTAAAATAGTCTTCTCCACAGCACATTATAGTCAAACTGTCAAAAGTCAAAGAAGAGAATTATAAAAACAGCAAAAGAAAATGATCTAGTTATTTATTAGGGAGCCCTCATCAGACTAACAGTGGATTTCTCAGCAGAATCCTCACAGGCCAAGAGAATGAAATGATACATTCAAAGTGCTGAAAGAAAAAAACCTGCCAGTCAAGCATACTATATCCAGTAAATGTGTCTTTAAAAAATGAAGGAGAAAAGTCTTCCCAGACAAGCTGAAGTTGAAAAAATTCATCACCACTAGATCAGTCCTATAAGAATTGCTTAAGTCAGTCCTACACCTGGAAGTGAAAGGACAATGCCTTCTACAATTCTGAAGACACATGGAAGTATAAAGCCTACTGGTAGAGCAAACATACAAATAAGGAAAAGAAAAAACTCAAATGTTACCACTACAAAAAAAAAATCAAACCACAATGACAAAAAGAGAGAAAGAAAGGAAGAATATATAGAACAACCAGAAATCAATTAATAAAATGACAGGAATAAACCCTCACATAATAGCCTTGAATGTAAACAGATTGAACTTTTCACTTAAAAGACAGACTGTCTGAATGGATTATTTATTTAAATGACCCACTTGTATGCTGCCTACAAGAAACTCATCTCACTTGTAAAAGACACAGACTGAAAGTAAAGAGATGAAAAAAGACAAAACAATCAGGAGTAGCTATACTTAGATAAAACACATATTAGGTCAAAAACAGTGAAGAAGAGACAAAGAAGGTCATTATCTAATGATACAGTAATGATACAGGGATCAAGTAAGGACCAGGATCAAATAATTCTAAACATATATGCAACCCAACATGAGAGTACTCAAGATATACTATTAGATCTTAAGGAAGAAATAGACACCAACACAATAATAGTTGGGGACTTCAACACCCCACTCTCAGCTTTAGACAGATTATTTAGAAAGAAAATTAAATAAATACTGGATTTAAACTGTACTTCAGACCAAATGGACCTAAGAGCCATTTAAGAACATTGCAACCAAGAACTACAGAATCCATATTCTTCTGATTAGCACATAGAACGTTCTCCAGGATAGACCATTTGTTAGGATACAAAACAAGTCTCAACAATTTTTCTAAATCAAAATCTATTAATTATCTTCTCAGATCACAGTGGAATAAAACTAGAAGTTGATCACAAGAGAAACTTTGGAAAACTATACAAATACATAGAAAGTAAACAATATGCTCCTGAATAACCACCTAGGTCCAATAAGCAATTAAGGAGGAAATAAAAATACTGCTTAAAAGAAATGAATTGATATACAACATACCGAAACCTATGGGACACAGCAAAAGCAGTGCTAAGAAGGAAGTTTATAGCAATAAATGCTTATATCAGAAAAGCAGAAGGAATTAAAACAATCTAACAATGCACCTTGAGGAACTAGCAAAGCAAGAACCAAGCCCAAAATTAGTAGAAGGAAAGAAATAATAAAGATCAAAGTGGAACTAAGCAAAATATAAACTAAAGCTACAAAGGGTCAATGAAAAGATAGTTTTTTTTAAGAAAATAAAAACTGATAAACCATTAACTAGACTAACCGAAAAAAAAAAAAAAAGAAGAAGAAGACTCAAAGTCACAAACAAAAAAAAAGTGGGGAGTGGCCAAGATGGCCAACTAGAAGCAGCTAATATGTGTGGCTTTCACAGAGAGGAATGGAAGGGGCAAGTAAATACAACACCTTCAACTGAAACAACCAAGTACTTGCATTGGGACTAATCAAGGAAACAACCTGACCCATGGAGAATAAAGACAAGCAAGACAGGGCCAGGTGCGGTGGCTCATGCCTGTAATCCCAGGACTTTAGAAGGCCAAGGTGGGCAGATCATGAGGTCAGGAGATGGAGACCATGCTGGCTAACACAGTGAAACCCCATCTCTACTAAAAATACAAAAAAATTAGCCAGGCGTGGTGGCAGGTGCCTGTAGTCCCAGCTACTCGGGAAGCTGAGGTGGAGCTTGCAGTGAGCTGAGATTGTGCCACTGCCCTGCAGCCTGGGAGACAGAGCAAGACTCTGTCTCAAAAAAAAAAAAAAAAAAAAAAAAAAGACAGGACAACAGTCCAACAGGGAGCAACATGGAACTAGGGGAACCTCCCCAACCCAAGAAATCAGTGAGTGAATGAGTGACCCTGGGAAACCACGCTTCTCCCAAGGATCTTTGCAACCCTCAGGTCAGGAGATGTCCTTGTGAACCCACTCCACCAAGGCCTTCAGTCTGACAGACAGAGCTATGTGGAGCCTCAGCATTGCAGCCACTCAGGCATGTGTGGAAACTGAGGCTTCAGATACTCAGGCTTTCCGGCAAAAGTAGCTGCAGCTCCAGCAAAGTGGGAGGTTAGACCCCCATACATAATCCTAGGAAAGAGGCAGAATCCAGGGGGCTGAGCAGCAATAGCCTGCAGGCCCACTTCCACAGCACCTCACAAGGTAAGACCCACTGGCTTGGAATTCCAGCCAGCCACCAGTAGTGGCATTGTACCTCCCTAAGAAGTAGCTCCTGGTGGGAGGGGCAGGCTGCCAAATTTGCAGTTTGGTTGCCTTAGCCATTCCAGCCTTCAGGCTTTGGAGTGTCCAAGCTGACCAGGGATGAAAGGGATCCCCCAGCACAGCACAGCTGCTCTACCAAAACATGGCCTGACTGCTGCTTTAAGCAGGTAACTGATGCCAGACCTCCTCACTGGGCAGGATCTCCTAGGTTGGGCCCTCCAACCAATGCCACCAGTGGTCTCCAGCTGACAGAGATTTGAATTTTGCTGGAGATGGTGCTGTCAGAGCAGGGGACAGTTCACCATCTTTGCTGTTTGAGTGACATAGCTGTTCCAGCCTTCAGACTTCAGAGAACCCAAGCCGACTGGGGATAGAAGGGCTCTCTCAGCACTGCACAGCTCTACCAAAACATGGCCAGACTGCTTTTTTAAGTGGATCCCTGATCCTGCTCCTCCTCATTGGGCAGGACCTCCCAACTGGGTCCTCCAGCCACCCCTCTTGGTGTTTCTCCAGTGAACAAAGATTTTTAATCTCTCTGGGATAGAGCTCCAGAGGGAGGGGTGAACCATTATCTTTGCTGTTTGAGCGACTTAGCCATTCCAGCCTTTGGACTTCAGAGGGTCTGAGGTGACTGGGGAGGGCACTGAAGCAGACCCCCAGCACAGCACAGCTGCTCTACCAAAATGTTGCCAGACTGCTTTTTTAAGTGGGTTCCTGATCATCCCCATTCCCCCTCATTGGGCAGGACTTCCCAACCTGTGTATCCAGCTACTTCCTGCAGGTGTCTTTGGGCCAGCAACAGGCCCATACCTCCCTGAAACAAAGCTCCCAGGGGGAGAAACAGGCTGCCATCTTTGCTGTTTTTCAGCCTTACTGGTGATACCTCTCAGTACTAGAAAATCCAAGGTGACTAGGGACTGGAGTGGACCCAAGCATACTGCAGCAGCCCTATGGAAAAGTGGTCAGACTCTTCCAGGGGCAATTGAAAGCCTCTCTGTCACTGCCTCTGCAGTGGAACTGCCCTTGCCACCATCAGACTAATGAAGGAGCAAAGACCTTAAGTGCCTCATCCACACCTCCAACAAGCTGCAGTCAATCCAAGGAGGGGAGTCCATCCATATCCCATTGATCCAATCCCACCCCCTCTACCCCTCACTGCTTGTCACCAGACAGGGAACCCATGGCTTAGGCCTGTAGCACAAACTCTCCATCCTGGGCTGATTGCACTGAGCCATTGCTGACCTTCATTTCTCTGGGGTAGAGCCCTCAGGAGACAAGCAAATGACCCTTGACCACAACCACTACTAAAATCCCTTCCTCTGCTGCCTCCAAGTTGGGGAAGAGAAACAAACACTGAGATCACCCCAGAGCTGCAGTGGGCAGCCCAGGAGTGCCAAGTTGTCCTTTACAGTCAGTGCTCAAGGGGGAAAGGAACCCACACTTTCAGAACATTGAGAGGGAACACAGCTGCAACTGTGAGGAAATACAACTGAGCAAGAGTCTACCAACTGAGCAATAAGCCTAAGTGCCGCCTGCTGGATTACACCTCAAAGCTTCAACACCAAAGATACCTCACTAACATACCCCCTCTGAAACCAGAGACAAGAAGTCAGTTTCAAATAAAGACCCTGCACAAAGCTTTGGCCTGGTGAAAACATCCAGAAAAGAAGCCTATTTACTGCAGTCAGTCTACACTGCAGTTAAAAGAACACCCACACAAAGAGCTGAGAAAGAACCAACAGAAGAACCCCGGTTACTCAAATGGCCAGAGTGTCATATGTCCTCCAAATGACTGCATCCATTCTCCAACAAGAGTTTTTAACCAGGCCAAACTGGTTGGAATGACAGAAATAGAGTTCAGAAATAGATAGGAACAAAAATCATGAAGATTCAGGTGGACAGAAAAACCCAATTCAAGGAAAATAAGAATCACAATAAAGCAATACAGAAGTTGAAGGATGAAATAGCTAGTATAAAAAAGAACCTAATGGGTCTGACAGAGCTGCATAACATAATACAAGAATTTCACGGCCGGGCGCGGTGGCTCACGCCTGTAATCCCAGCACTTTGGGAGGCCGAGGCGGGCGGATCACGAGGTCAGGAGATCGAGACCATCCCGGCTAAAACGGTGAAACCCCGTCTCTACTAAAAATACAAAAAATTAGCCGGGCGTAGTGGCGGGCGCCTGTAGTCCCAGCTACTTGGGAGGCTGAGGCAGGAGAATGGCGTGAACCCGGGAGGCGGAGCTTGCAGTGAGCCGAGATCCCGCCACTGCACTCCAGCCTGGGCGACAGAGCGAGACTCCGTCTCAAAAAAAAAAAAAAAAAAAAGAATTTCACAATGTGATCACAAGTATTAACAGTAGAATAAACCAAGCTGAGGAAAGAATCTCAGAACTTGAGGACTAAGTCTCTAAAATTTTCAGACAAAAAATTTTTTAAAAATTATAAAATGAAAAAAACCTCTGAGAAGTATGGGATTATGTAAAGAGACCAAATCTATGAATCATTGGCATCCATGAAAGGGAGGGAGAGAAAGCAAACAATTTGGAAAACACATTTGAGATATCATCTATGAAAACATCCCCAACCTTGCTAGAGAGGCCAACAGTCAAATTCAGAAAATACTTCTGAAAGATTCTATACATGATGATCATCCCCAAGACACATAATCAGATTTTCCAAGGTCGCAATGAAAGAAAGAATATTAAACACAGCTAGAGAGAAAGGGCAGGTCACCTACAAAAGGAACCCTGTTAGGCTAACAGCAGACCTCTCAGCTAAAGCCCTACATGCCAGAAGAGATTGGGGGGCTTATATTCAACATTCTTAAAGAAAAACATCTTCAACCAAGAATTTTATATCCAGCCCAACTAAGTTTCCTAAGTGAAGGAGAAATAAAATCCTTTTCAGATAACAAAATGTTGGGGGAATTCATTACCACCAGACCTGCCACATGAGAGATCTTGAAAGCAGCACTAAATATAGAAAGGAAAGACTGCTATCAGCTAATACAAAAACTAGAAGCAAACACACAAAAGCCAACATCTTAAGCAACTAACAGCACAATGACAGAATCAAATCCATACATATCAATACTAACCTTGGATATAAGTGGGCTAAATGCCCTCTTAAAAGGCACAGAGTGGCAAGCTGGATAAAAAAGCAAGACCCTATGGTATGCTGCCTTTAAGAGACATCTCACATGTAATGACACTCACAGACTCAAAATGAAGGAATGGAGGAAAATCTACCAAGCAAATGGAAAACAAAAAAGTAAAGGTTGCAATCTTAACTACAGACAAAACAGATTTCAAACCAGTGAAGATCAAAAAACACAAAGAAGGGCATTACATAATGGTAAACGGTTCAATTTAATAAGAACTAACAATCCTAAATATATATGCAACCAACACAGGAGCATCCAGATTCATAAAGCAAGTTCTTAGATATCTACAAAGAGACAGACTCCTACACAATAATAGTAGGATACTTCAACACTCCATTGACAGTATTAGACAGATCATTGAGGCAGAAAATTAACAAGATATTCGGGACCTAACCTCAACACTGGTCCAAATGAATCTGTTAGACCTTTACAGAACTCTCCACCCCAAAACAACAGAATATACATTATTCTCATTATCAAATGGCACATACTCTAAAATCAACCACATAATTGGATATAAAACAATCCTCAACAAGTGTAAAAGAGTCAAAATCATATGAAACACACTCTCAAACCACAGCACAATAAAAATAGAAGACAATGAAAATCGCTCAAAACCATGCAATTACATGGAAATTAAACAGCATGCTCCTGAATGACTTTTGGATAAATAATGAAATTAAGGCAGAAATCAAGAAGTTCTTTGAAAATAAGAACAAAGATAAAACATACCAGAATATCTGGGACCCAGCTAAGGCAGTGTTAAGAGGGGAATTCATAGCACTAAATGCCCTCATCAAAAAGTTAGAAAGATCTCAAATTAACCTAACTTCACAACTGAAAGAATTAGAGAAGGAAGAACAAATCAGCTCCAAAGCTAGCAGAAGATAATAAAAATCAGAACTGAACTACAAATTGAGACATGAAAAACCACTCAAAAGATCAATTAATCCAGGAGTTGGTTTTTTGAAAAAATTAACAGATAGGTCACTAGCTAGAAGAATAAGGAAGAAAAGAAAAGATCCAAATAAACACAATTGGAAATTACAAAGGGAATGTTACTACTGACCCCAAAGAAATAAAAACAACAATCAGAAACAAGCCAGGCACAGTGGTTCATGCCTGTAATCCCAGCACTTTGGGAGGCTGAGGCAGGTGGATCATTTGAAGTCAGGAGTTTGAGGCCAGCCTGGCCAACATGGTGAAACCCCGTCTCTACTAAAAAACACAAAAATTAGCCAGGGATGGTGGTGCATGTCTGTAATCCCAGCTACTCAAGAGGCTGAGACAGGATAATTGTGTGAACCTGGGAGGCAGAGGTTGCAGTGAGCCGAGACTGCACCACTGCACTCCAGCCTGGGCAAAAGAGCAAGACTCCATCTCCAAAAAAGGGAAAACAACAACAACAACAAAACACCACCCTCAGAAATTACTACAAACACCTCTATGCACACAAACTACAAAACCTAGATGAGATGGATAAATTTCTGGAAACATACAGCCTACATCCTCCCACTTCCGAGCTAGGAAGAAATTGATTCCCTGATCAGACTAATAACAGGCTCTAAAATTGAATCAGTAATAAATAGCCTATCAACCAACCAGTAATAAAAAGCCTACCAACCAGTCCTGGGCTTTCAAAGAAGCATGTGACTGGATGGATTCACAGACGAATTCTACCAGATGTACAAAAAAAGAGATGGTACCATTCCTACAGAAACTATTCCAAAAAATTTGACAAGGAATGACTCCTCCCCAACTCATTCTATGAGGCCAGCATCATCTTGATACCTGACAGAGACACAACAACAAAAAAAGAAAACTTCAGGCCAATATCCTTGATGAACATTGATGCAAAAATCCTCAATACAATACTTGCAAACCGAATACAGCAGCATATCAAAAAGCTAATCCACCATGATTAAGTAGGCTTCATCCCTGGGATGCAAGGTTGGTTCAACATAGGCAAAATCAAAAAATGTGATTTATCACATAAACAGGACTAAAGACAAAAACCACATGATTATCTCAATAGACACAGAAAAGACTTTTGATAAAATTCAACACTCCTTCATGTTAAAACTTCTCAAACTAGGTATTGAAGGAACATACCTCAAAATAATAAGAGCCATCTATGACCAACTTAGAGCCAAAATTACATTGAGTGGGCAAAAGCTGGAAGCATTCCCCTTGAAAACTGGCACAAGAATGCTCTCTCTCACCACTTCTATTTAACATAGTATTGGAAGTCCTAGCCAGAGCAATTAGGCAAGAGAAAGAAAGGACATTGAAATAGGAAGAGAGAAAGTCAAACATCTGTTTGCAGATGACATGATTAGTGTCAGCCCAAAAGCTCCTTAAGCTGATAAATAACTTCAAAGTTGCAGGATACAAAAATCCATGTACAAAAATCATTAGTATTTCTATACATCAACAATGGCCAAACTGAGAGGCAAATCAAAAATGTAATCTCATTCACAAATGCCACAAAAATAAAATACTTAGGAATACAGCTAACAAGGAAGATGAAAAAGCTTTACAATGAGAATTATAAAACACTGCTCAAAGAACTCAGAGAAGACAAAAACAAATGGGAAAACATCCCATGTTCATGAATACGAAAAATCAATACCATTAAAATGACTACACTGCCCAAAGCAATTTACAGATTCAATGCTATTCCTATCACACTACCAATGACATTTCACAGAACTGGAAAAAACTATCTTAAAATTCATATGGAACCAAAAAAAGAGCCTGAACAGCTAAGGCATCCCTAAGCAAAAAGAACAAAACTGGAGGCATCACGTTACCTGACTTCAAATTATACTACAATGCTACAGTAACCAAAACAGCATGGTACTGGTGCAAAAAACAGACACATAGACCAAGGGAGCAGAATAGACAGCCCAGAAATAGGACCACACATCTACAACCATCTGATCTTCAACAAAGCTGACAAAAAACAAGCAATGGGGAAAAGACTCCCTTGTCAATAAACAGTACTGGGATAACTGGCTAGCCGTATGCAGAAGACTGAAGCTGGACCCCCTTGCTCACACCATACACAAAAATTAACTCGAGATGGATTAAAGACTTAAATGTAAAACCCAAAACTATAAAAACCCCAGAAGACAACATAGGCAATACCATCCTGGACATAGGAACAGGCAGGTTTCATGACAAAGACACTAAAAGCAATCGCAACGAAAACAAAATTTGACAAGTGGGTCTGATTAAACTTAAGAGATACTGCACAGCAAAAGAAACTATCAACAGAGTAAACAGGCAGTCTAAAATGGGAGAAAATTTTTGCAAACTATGCATCTGACAAAGGTCTAATATCCAGCATCTATGAGGGACTTAAATTTATAAGAAAAAACAACCCCATTAAAAAGTGGGCAAAGGACATGAACAGATATTTCTCAAAAGAAGACATACATGCAGCCAACAAACATATTTAAAAAGACTTAAAGAATAAAAAACTTTAAAAAAAAGAAAAAAGCTCAATATTACTGATTAGAGAAATGCAAATAAAACCATAATGAGATACTAGTTCACACCAGTCAGAATAGCTATTATTAAAAACTCAAAAAATAACAGATACTGGTGAGGTTTTGGAGAAAAGTGCACACTTATACACTGTTGATGGGAGTGTAAATTAGTTCAACCATTGTGGAAAGCAGTATGTTGATTCCTCAAAGAGCTAAAAGCAGAACTACCATTAGACCCAGCAATCCCATTACTGGGTATATACCCAGCGGAATATTAAGTCATTCTACCATAAAGACACATGTATGCAAATGTTCATTGCAGCACTATTCACAATAGCAAATACATGGAATCAACTTAAATGCTCATAAATGACAGACTGGATAAAGAAAATGAGGTACATATGCACTATGGAATACTACACAGCCATAAAAAAACAATGAGATCATGTCTTTTGTGGGAACATGGATGGAGCTGGAGGCCATTATCCTTAGCAAACCGACACAGAAACAGAAAACCAAATGCTGCATGTTCTCACTTATAAGTGGGAGCTAAATAATAAAAACTTACTAACACAAAGAAGAAAACAATAGACACTGGAGTCTACTTGAGCGGGGAGGTTGGGAGGAGGGATAAGAGCAGAAAAGGTAACTATTGGGTACTGGCTTAATTCTTAGGTAATGTAATACATGTATGACAAACCCCCATGACATATGTTCATCTATGTACCAAACCTTCACATATACCCCCAAATCTAAAAGAAACAAAAAAGGAAACATTACAATAGGAGACATACCACAGAAATATAAAAGATCAGAAATTATAAATAACTAATAGAAAATTGATAAATTCCTGGACACACTAAACCTACCCAGATTGAGTCAGGAAGAAATAGAAAACCCGGACAGACCAACAATGAGAAATGAAATTGAACCAGTAATAAAAGGTCTGTCAACAAAAAAAAAGTGCAGGACTGCATGGCTTCACTGTTGAATTCTGCCAAACTTACAAAGAAGATTTAATACCAATTTTCCTCAAACTGTTGCAAAAAATTGAAAAGGAGGAAAATTTCCCTAATTCATTCAAAGTTTTCCCTAATTAAAAAAAAAGAGAAAACCACAAGCCAATATCCCTGATTAACAGAGACAAAAATCCTCAAAATACTAAGCAAACTAAATCCAATATCAAAAACATAATACACCATGATCTAGTGGAATTTATCCCAAGGATGCAAGGATGGTTCAACATATACAAGTTAAACATAATATATCACACCAACAGAAAGGAAGACAAAAATCATATCTCAGTAAATGGAGAAAAAGCATTTGATAAAATTCAACATCCCTTAATGATAAAAACTTCCAACATAGTAGGCATAGAAGGAACATACCTCAACATAATAAAGGCCATATACAACAAGTCCACATCTAACACCACACTGAATGGGAAAAACCTGAAAACCTTTTCTCTGAAAACTGAAACAAGTCAAGAATGTTCACTTTCACCACTCTTAATAAACATAGCACTGGAAGTCCTAGCCAGAGCAATCAGGTAAGAAAAATAAATAAAAGACATAGGCCAGGTGCAGTGGCTCATGCCTGTAATCCCAGCATTTTGGGAGGCCAAAGTGGGAGGATAACCTGAGGTTAGGAGTTCGAGACCAGCCTGGCCAACATGGTGAAACCGTCTCTACTAAAAAAATACAAAAATTTGACAGGTGTAGTGGCGGGTGCCTGTAATCCCAGCTATCCCAGGGGGCTGAGGCAGGAGAATTGCTTGAACCTGGGAGGTAGAGGTTGCAGTGAGCCGAGATTGTACCACTGCACTCCAGCCTGGGTGACAGGGTAAGACCCTGTCTAAAAAAATAAAAATAAAAATGTGGAAAGAGGAAGTCAAATTGTTCCTCTGCAGATAACATGATCTTTTATCTAGAAAAAATCTTAAAACTTTATGAAAAAACTTATATTCATAAGTAAATTTAGCAAAATAGGATATAAAATCAACTTACAAAAATCAACAGCATTTCTAAACACCAATAATAAACTGAGAAATAAATCAAAAAAGCAATCCCATTTACAATGGCTCCAAAAAAAATAATACCTAGGAATAAATTTAACCAAGGAAGCAAAAGACCTTTACAAGGAAAACTTCAAGACTCTGTTGAAAGAAATTAAAGAGGACACAAATAGAAAGACATCCCATGCTCACGAATCAGAAGAGTTAACATAGTTAAAATGACCATACTACCCAAAGCAATCTACAGATTCAACACAATCTCTATCAAAATACCAATGTCATTTTTCACAGAAATGGAAAAAAAATCCTAGAATTCAAATGAAACCAAAAAAGAGCCAGAATAGTCAAAGTCCTCCTGAATAAAAAGAACAAAGCTGGAGGCATCATATTACCTGGTTCAAAATATATTTCAAGGCTATAGTAACCAAAACAGCAAGTATTGGTATAAAAACAGACACACAGACCAATGGAGCAAAACAGAGAACACAGAAAAAGTCACATACTTACAGCCAACTGATTTTTGACAAAGACACCAAGAACATACACTGGGCAAAGGACATGTTTTTCAATAAGTAATGCTGGGAAAATTGAATGTCTATATGCAGAAAAATGAAACTGGACCCCTATTTCTCACTGCACATAAATGTCAACTCAAGCTAGATGAAAGGCTTAAATGTAACATCTGAAAATATAAAACTACTAGAAGAAAACAGGGAAAACACTTCAGGACATTTATCTAGACAAAGATTTTATGGCTAAGACCTCAAAAGCACAGACAATAAAAACACAAATAGACAAGGAGACTATCATAAACTAAAAAGCTTCTGCACAGTAAACAAAGCAATCAATGAAATGAAGAGACAATCTGTTGAATGTTTGAGAAAATATTAGCCAACTATTCATCCCTCAAGGGGCTATTATCTAGAATATACAAGCAACTCAAACAACTCAGTAATAATAATCACATGAAAAAGTGGAGAAATTACATAAATAGACATTTCTCAAAAGACGATCTACAAGTGGCCAACAGGTAAAAGAAATTTTTAAAAAGTTCATCACTACTCATCAGGGAAATGTACATTGAAACCAAAATGAGATATAGTTAGAGTAGCTATTATAAAATTTTTTTTTAAAAAAAACAGATGCTGGCAAGGATACAGAGAAAAGGCAACTCTTGTACACTGTTGGTGGGAATGTAGATTAGCATTGCCACTATGCAAAACAATATGGAGTTCTCTGAAAACTAAAAATAGAGCTACCATATGACCCAGCAATTCCACTGCTGGGAATTTAGTCAAAGGAAAAGAAATCAGTATATCAAATAGATACCTGCCCTCTCATATTTATTGCAGTACCATTCACAATAGCAAAGATAGGGAATCAACCCAAGTGGCCATCACTGTATGAATGAATGAATGAATAAATGAATGAATGAAATGTGATATATACAAAATGGGACACTATTTGGCCATAAAATAAAGAATGAAACCATGCCATTTTCAGCAACATGGATAGAACTGAAGGTCATTATGTTAAATGAAATAATCCAGGCACAGAAAGACAAATATTGCATGTTCTCACTCATATATAAAGGCTAAGGAAGTTGATCTCATAAAGGCTGAGAGTAGAATGATACATACCAGAGACTGGGAAAGGTATGTCGGTAGAGGGGGGATGAAGAGAGGTTGGTTAATGGATACAAACATACAGTTGCATAGAAGGAATAAGTTCTAATGTTTGATAGCAGAGTAGGGTGACTATAATTAACAATGTGTTATATATGTCAAAATAGCTAAAAGAGAGGCCTTGAGACATTCCCAACCTGAAGAAACAATATTCAAGGTGATGGATACCCTATATACCTAAACTTTATTATTACATATTCTATGCATGTAACAAAATAACATGCACCACATTAATATGTACAAATATTATGTATCAATTCTAGAAATATGACAACCAACAATTTTATATCAAGCAAAACTGTCCTGCAGAAGTGAGGGAAATATTTTATCCCTCACACCCTTCCCACACTTTCTTCAAGCCCCCAAAGTCCATTGTGTCATTCTTATGCCTTTGCACCCTGACAGCTTAGCTCCTACTTATGAGTGAGAACATACAATATTTGGTTTTCCATTCCTGAGTTTCTTCACTTAGAATAATAGTCTCCAATCTCATCCAGGTTGCTGTGAATGCCATTAATTCATTCCTTTTTATGGCTGAGTAGTATTCCATCTCATATATGTGTGTGTATATATATATAAAACATATATTATTCATATATATAAACTGATATATATACATATATGTATATATGTGGTTGATATATAGATATGTGATATATATCATATATATGTATATATATGTATCACATATATGATATATAGATATAGATGTATGATACATATATATGTATACATATGATATATATGTATACATATATGATATATATACACATGTTATTTATACACATATATGTGATATATACATATATATACATGTGATATATACATATACACACATGTATATACATATGTGATATATATATAAATCACAGTTTCTGTATCCACTCATTGATTGGTGGCCATTTACTAAAATCTCATAGATCACCACCAAAGAACTTACTCATGTAACCAAACACTACCCAATAACCTATGGAAATAAAAAATTTTAAAAAATAAACTCGAGGGGCAGTTCCAAGATGGCTGAATAGGAACAGCTCTAGTCTACAGCTCCCGGCATGAGTAATGCAGAAGACAGGTGATTTCTGCATTTCCAACTGAGGTACTGGGTTCATCTCACTGGGGATCCTTGGACAGTGGGGGCAGGACAGTGGGTGCAGCCCACCTAGCATAAGCCAAAGCAGGGTGAGGCATTGCCTCACCTGGGAAGCCCAAGGGGTCAGGGAATTCCCTTTCCTAGCCAAGGGAAGGGTTGACATATGGCACCTGGAAAATCAGGTCACTCCTACCCTAATACTGCACTTTTCCAACTGTCTTAGCAAACGGCACCACCAGGAGATTATAGCCCAAACATGGCTCAGAGGGTCCCATGCCCAAGGAGCCTCGCTCATTTTTAGCACAGCAGGCTGAGATCAAACTGCAAGGTGGCAGCGAGGCTGGGGGAGGGGCGCCCGCCATTGCTGAGGCTTGAGTAGGTAAACAAAGCGGCCAGGAAGATGGAACTGGGTGGAGACCACCTCAGCTCAAGGCGGCCTGCCTGCCTCTGTAGACTCCACATCTGGAGGCAAGGCATAGCCAAACAAAAAGCAGCAGAAACCTCTGCAGACTTAAATGTCCCTGTCTGACAGCTTTGAAGAGAGTAGTGGTTCTCCCAGCATGGAGTTTGAGATCTGAGAACAGACAGACTGCCTCCTCAAGTGGGTCCCTGACCCCCGAGTAGCCTAAATGGGAGACACCCAGACTGACACCTCACACGGCCTGGTACCCCTCTGAAATGAAGCTTCCAGAGGAAAGAACAGGCAGCAACATTTGCTGTTCAGCAATATTCACTGTTCTGCAGCCTCCGCTGCTGATACCCAGGCAAACAGGGTCTGGAGTGGACCTCCAGCAAACTCCAACTGACCTGCAGCTGAGGGTCCCGACTGTTAGAAGGAAAACTAACATACAGAATGGACATCCACACCAAAACCCCATCTGTACATCACCATCATCAAAGACCAAAGGTAGATAAAACCACAAAGATGGGGAAAAAACAGAGCAGAAAAGCTGAAAATTCTAAAAATCAGAGCGACTCTCCCCCTCCAAAGGAATGCAGCTCTTTGCCAGCAATGGAACAAAGCTGGACAGATAATGAATTTGACAAGTTGAGAGAAGAAGGCTTCAGACGATCAAACTTCTCCGCGCAAAAGGAAGAAGTTCGAACCCATCACAAAGAAGCTAAAAACCTTGAAAAAAGAGTAGACAAATGGCTAACTAGAATAACCAGTGTAGAAAATTCCTTAAATGACCTGATTGAGCTGAAAACCATGGCACGAGAACTACATGACAAATGCACAAGCTTCAGTAGCCGATTCGATCAACTGGAAGAAAGGGTATCAGTGATTGAAGATCAAATGAATGAAATGAAGTGAGAAGAGAAGTTTAAAGAAAAAAGAGTAGTGCTCTCCCTCTCCCCACGGTCTCCCTCTCCCTCTCTTTCCACGGTCTCCCTCTGATGCCAAGCCAAAGCTGGACTGTACTGCTGCCATCTCGGCTCACTGCAACCTCCCTGCCTGATTCTCCTGCCTCAGCCTGCTGAGTGCCCGGGATTGCAGGCGGGCGCCGCCACGCCTGACTGGTTTTCGTATTTTTTTGGTGGAGACGGGGTTTCGCTGTGTTGGCCAGGCTGGTCTCCAGCTCCTAACTGCGAGTGATCCGCCAGCCTCGGCCTCCCGAGGTGCCAGGATTGCAGACGGAGTCTCGTTCACTCAGTGCTCAATGGTGCCCAGGCTGGAGTGCAGTGGCCTGATCTCGGCTGGCTACAACCTCCACCTCCCAGCCGCCTGCCTTGGCCTCCCAGAGTGCCGAGATTGCAGCCTCTGCCCGGCCGCCACCCCGTCTGGGAAGTGAGGGGCGTCTCTGCCAGGCCGCCCATCGTCTGGGATATGAGGAGCCCCTCTGCCTGGCTGCCCAGTCTGGAAAGTGAGGAGCATCTCTGCCCGGCCGCCATCCCATCTAGGAAGTGAGGAGCGCCTCTTCCCAGCCGCCATCCCATCTAGGAAGTGAGGAGCGTCTCTGCCCGGCTACCCATCGTCTGGGATGTGAGGAGCACCTCTGCCCCGCCGCCCCATCTTGGATGTGAGGAGCGCCTCTGCCCGGCCGCGACCCCATCTGGGAGGTGAGGGGCGTCTCTGCCCGGCCGCCCAGTCTGAGAAATGAGGAGCCCCTCCGCCTGGCAGCCACCCCGTCTGAGAGGTGGGGAGCCTCTCCGCCCGGCAGCCGCCCTGTCTGGGAGGTGAGGAGCGTCTCCGCCCGGCGGCCACCCCATCCGGGAGGGAGGTGGGGTTCAGCCCCCCGCCCGGCAAGCCGCCCCGTCTGGGAGGGAGGTGGGGGGTCAGCCCCCCACCCGGCCAGCCTCCCCGTCCGGGAGGGAGGTGGGGTTCAGCCCCCCGCCCGGCAAGCCGCCCCGTCTGGGAGGGAGGTGGGGGGTCAGCCCCCCACCCGGCCAGCCGCCCCATCCGGGAGGGAGGTGGGGGGTCAGCCCCCCGCCCGGCCAGCCGCCCCGTCTGGGAGGTGGGGGGCGCCTCTGCCCGGCCGCCCCTACTGGGAAGTGAGGAGCCCCTCTGCCCGGCCACCACCCCGTCTGGGAGGTGTACCCAACAGCTCACTGAGAATGGGCCATGATGACAATGGCGGTTTTGTGGAATAGAAAAGGGGGAAAGGTGGGGAAAAGATTGAGAAATCGGATAGTTGCTGTGTCTGTGTAGAAAGAAGTAGACATGGGAGACTTTTCATTTTGTTCTGTACTAAGAAAAATTCTTCTGCCTTGGGATCCTGTTGATCTATGACCTTACTTACCCCCAACCCTGTGCTCTCTGAAATATGTGCTGTGTCCACTCAGGGTTAAATGGATTAAGGGCGGTGCAAGATGTGCTTTGTTAAACAGATGCTTGAAGGCAGCATGCTCGTTAAGAGTCATCACCACTCCCTAATCTCAAGTACCCAGGGACACAAACACTGCGGAAGGCCACAGGGTCCTCTGCCTAGGAAAACCAGAGACCTTTGTTCACTTGCTTATCTGCTGACCTTCCCTCCACTATTGTCCTATGACCCTGCCAAATCCCCCTCTGCGAGAAACACCCAAGAATGATCAATTTAAAAAAAAAAAAAAAAAAAAGAGGATCAACAAATGGTGGGACTGTAACCTACAAGAGAAATGAGACTCTTTGAGTACCAGAGTGCAGTCTGTATTAAGCTTTTAAAATGTGTCCCACATAAAGATGGGAACAACAGACCCTGAGGACTACAAGAGTGGGAAGGGCAGGAGGGGGGGAGGGTTGAAAAACAACCTATTCAGGACTCTGCTTACTACCAGGGTGACAGATTCAATTGCACCCCAACCTCAGCACCCCAACCTCATACCCCAATATACCCACGTAACAAACCTATATGTGTACCCCCGAATCTAAAAGTTGAAATTTAAATAAAATCTGACCGAAAAAAAAATAATAATAAATAAATAAACAAATTTAAAAGCAAAAAAGAAAAAAAAAGAAAAAAGAGTAAAAAGAAACAAAGCCTCCAAGAAATATGGGACTACGTGAAAAGACCAAATCTATGTCTGATTGGTGTACCTGAAAGTGATGGGGAGAATGGAACCAAGTTGGAAAACACTCTACAGGATATTATCCAGGAGAACTTCCCCAACCTAGCAAGGCAGGCCAACATTCAAATTCAGGAAATACAGAGAACACCACAAATATACTCCTTGAGAAGAGCAACTCCAAAACACATAATCATTAGATTCACCAAGGTTGAAATGAAGGAAAAAATGTTAAGGGCAGCCAGAGAGAAAGGTCAGGTTACCAACAAATGGAAGCCCATCAGACGAACAGCAGATCTCTTGGCAGAAACTCTACAAGCCAGAAGAGAGTGGGGGCCAATATTCAACATTCTTAAAGAAAAGAATTTTCAACCCAGAATTTCATATCCAACCAAACTAAGCTTCATAAGTGAAGGAGAAATAAAATCCTTTACAGACAAGCAAATGCTGAGAGATTTTGTCACCACCAGGCCTGCCTTACAAGAGCTCCTGAAGGTAGCACTAAACATGGAAAGGAACAGCTGGTACCAGCCACTGCAAAAACATGACAAGTTGTAAAGACCATCGAGGCTAGGAAGAAACTGCATCAACTAACGAGCAAAATAACCAGCTAACAACATAATGACAGGATCAAATTCACACATAACAATATTAACCTTAAATGTAAATGGGCTAAATGCTCCAATTAAAACACACAGACTGGCAAATTGCATAAAGAGTCAAGACCCATCAGTGTGCTGTATTCAGGAGACCCATCTCACGTGCAGAGACACACAAAGGCTCAAAATAAAGGGATGGAGGAAGATCTACCAAGCAAATGGAAAACAAAAAAAGGCTGGGGTTGCAATCCTAGTCTCTGATAAAACAATGAGAACACCTGGACACAGGAAGGGGAACATCACACACCGGGGCCTGTTGTGGGGTGGGGGGAGGGGGAAGGGATAGCATTAGGAGATATACCTAATGTAAATGACGAGTTAATTGGTGCAGCACACCAACATGGCACATGTATACATATGTAACAAACCTGCACGCTGTGCACATGTACCCTAGAACTTAAAGTATAATTTTAAAAAAATTAAAAATGAAAAATAAACTCATGAGTCAACAAACTGCAGCCCTTGAGCCAAATTCAGCTTGCTACTCATTTTTCTACAGCTAATGAGCTAAGAATAATTTGTACAGTTTAAAATAGTTGAAAAATTAACAGGAATAATATTTCATGATATGTGAAAATGTTATGTAATTTACATTTTAGGGTAATAAATTAAGTTTCACTGGGGGAAAAAAAGTGAGGGAGATATTAAAAGATTCCCAGATAACGCTTTTGCAGCCATCACCAAAGTGGGAGCAACCAAAACAAAGTTCAATCCCTTTGTGACTTCCAACCGAAGGAAGAATTGCAAAAGGCATTTCAAAGCACCTTCCCACATTCCCAGAAAGATGTCTTCCCCTCTTTCCAAACAGCTGAGACAGAAGTACAACGTGTGGTCCCTGCCCATCCGAAAGGATGATGAAGTTCAGGTTGTATGAGGACACTATAAAAGGTCAGCAAATTGGCAAAGTAGTCCAGGTTTATAAAAGAAATATGTTATCTACACTGTATGGGTGCAGCAGGAAAAGGCTAATGGTGCCACTGTCCACATATGCATTCACCCCAGCAAGGTGGTTATCACTAGGCTAAAAACAGACAAAGACCACAAAAAGATCCTTGAATGGAAAGCCAAATCTCACCAAATGGGAAAGGAAAAGGTCAAACACAAGGAAGAAACAATTGAGAAGATGCAGGAATAAAGTAATCTTATACACAAGCTTTGATTAAAATTTAACAACTGAAAAAAAGAGATTCCCAGATAAATAGAAGTTGAGGGAGTTTGTGACCACTAGACCTGTCCTGCAAAAAAAAAAACTAGAGGGAGTCCTACAGGTTGAAATGAAAGGACACTAGACAATAACATGAAGCTATATGAAGAAATAAAGATCTCAGCAAAGGTAAAACATGGGCAATTTTTAAAGCTAATATTCTTGTAAGAATTATCTGTAACCACATTCTTTGTTTCCTGCATGATTTAAGAGACTAAAAATTATTACTAGTCCAAAAGCTAGTACAGTTAACCCTTGAACAACATGGGTCCACTTATATGTGGATTTTTACTTTTTTTTTTTTTTTTTGAGACAGGGTCTCACTGTGTCACCCAGACTGGATTGCAGTGGCACAATCATAGCTCACTGCAGCCTCAACCTCCCAGGCCCAGGTGATCCTCTTACCTCAGCCTCCCAAGTAGCTGGGACCACAGGCATGTGCCATCATGTCTGGCTAATTTTTTTGTATTTTCTGTAGAGACAGGGTTTTGCCACGTTGCCTAGGATGGTTTATGAACTCGTGGACTCAAGGGATCCACCCTCCTTAGCTTCCCAAGTGCTGGGATTACAGGCATGAGCCACCATGCCCAGCCACATATGGATTTAAAAAAAAAAAATTATTGGAAAACTTTTTTGAGATTTGCAACAATTGGAAAATAATCACGGATGCATTGCATAGTCTAGAAATATAAAAAAGTAAATGTTATGAATGTATAAACTATAAATAGGTGCTATTTTATCTCTTCTACCATAAAATATATAGAAATTAGAAAAAGGTAAAATTTATGAAAACTTACACACTTACATGCCATACATTGTGCCATTTGCAGTCAAGAGAAACATAAATAAAGATGTGGTATGAAATCATAACTGCATAAAATTAACTGGAGTACATACTGTACTGTTGTAATAATTTCATAGACACTTTCTGTTGCTGTTGCAGTAAGACCAAGTATGGTGAGTATCTGCTTAAAATGTTGTGTGATGCTTTGCATCTCCATGTGAACAGTTTGTCCCTCTAGTAAATTGCATATAGCAGTAAAAAGATCTCCAGCAGTTCTCATGTATTTTTCCTTATGTTTAGTGAAATACTGTAAACCTTCAGTAACAACCTGAGGCCCATACAAAATGCCACTAGTGATGCTGGAAGTGTTCAAGAAGCTGAGAAAAATCTTGACATTACAAGAAAAAGTTGAATTACTTGATACGCATAGATTGAGGTCTGCAGCTGGGGTTGTCTACCACTTCAAGATAAATGAATCCTACATTAGGACTACTGTTTAAAAAAAGAAGCTAAAGCTGCAGCTATGCCAGGAGTCATGAAAACCTTCCTCTCTGTACAAAATATTTTATCTCATGTTGAAAATGCAGCTTTTATGTGAGTACAGAGTTGCCAGAAGAAAGACATACATGGATATGGTTCCAAGATGGCCGAATAGGAACAGCTCCAGCCTACAGCTCCCAGCATGAGCAGAAGATGGGTGATTTCTGCATTTTCAACTGAGGTACTGGGTTCATCTCACTGGGACTGGTTGGACAGTGGGTGCAGCCCACAGAGTGTGAGCCAAAGCAGGGCGGGCATCGCCTCACCTGGGAAGCGCAAAGGGTTAGGGAATTCCCTTTCCTAGCCAAGGGAAGCCGTGACAGATGGTACCTGGAAAAATCGGGACATTCCCTCCCTAATACTGCACTTTTCCAAAGGTCTTAGTAAACAGCACACCAGGAGATTATATCCTGCACCTGGCTCAGCGGGTCCCATGCCCACGGAGCCTTGCTCACTGCTAGCACAGCAGTCCAAGATCAAACTGCGAGGTGGCAGCAAGGCTGGGGGAGGGGCGTCTGCCATTGCTGAGGCTTGACTAAGTAAACAAAGTCATTGGGAAGCTGGAACTGGGTGGAGACCACATCAGCTCAAGGAGGCCTGCCTGCCTCTGTAGACCCCACCCCTCTGGGGGCAAGGTATAGCTAAACAAAAGGCAGCAGAAACTTCTACAGACTTTTAAACATCCCTGTCTGACAGCTTTGAAGAGAGCAGTGGTTCTCCCAGCATGGAGTTTGAGATCTGAGAATGGACAGACCACCTCCTCAAATGGGTCCCTGATCCCCCAGGAGCCTAACTGGGAGACATCTCCCAGTAGTGGCTGACTGACACCTCATACAGCCGGGTGTCCATCTGAGATGAAGCTTCCAGAGGAAGGATCAGGCAGCAACGTTTGCTCTTCTGCAATATTTGCTGTTCTGCAGCCTCTGCTGGTAATACCCAGGAAAATGGTCTGGAGTGGACCTTCAGCAAATTCCAACTGACCTGCAGCTGAGGGTCCTGACTGTTAGAAGGAAAACTAACAGAAAGGACATCCACACCAAAACCCCATCTGTACATCACCATCATGAAAGACCAAAGGTAGATAAAACTACAAAGATGGTGAGAAACCAGAGCAGAAAAGCTGAAAAATCTAACAACCAGAGCACCTCTTCTCATCCAAAGGATTGCAGCTCCTCACCAGCAACAGAACAAAGCTGGACGGATAATGACTTTGACGAGTTGACAGAAGTAGGCTTCAGAAGATCAGTAATAACAAACTTCTCCGAGATAAAGGAGGATGTTTGAACCCATCACAAGGAAGCTAAAACCTTGAAAAAAGATTAGACAAATGGCTAACTCTTCAGCACAGAGAAGACCTTAAATGACCTGATGGAGCTGAAAACTGTGGCATGAGAACTACGTGATGCATGCATAAGATTTAGTATCAAGTGGAAGAAATGATATCAGTGATTGAAGATCAAATGAATGAAATGAAGTGAGAAGAGAAGTTTAGAGAAAAAAGAGTAAAAAAAAAAAAATGAACAAAGCCTCCAAGAAATATGGGACTATGTGAAAAGACCAAATCCACATTTGACTGCTGTACCTGAAAGTGATGGGGAGAATGGAACCAAGTTGGAAAACACTCTTCAGGATACTATCAGGAGAACTTCCCCAACCTAGCAGGGCAGGCCAACATTGAAATTCAGGAAATACAGAGAACAGCACAAAGATACTCCTCAAGAAGAACAACCCCAAGACACATAATCATCAGATTCACCAAGGTTGAAATAAAGGAAAAAATCTTAAGGGCAGCCAGAGAGAAAGGTCAGGTTACCCACAAAGGGAAGCCCATCAGATTAACAGCAGATCTCTTGGCAGAAACTCTACAAGCCAGAAGAGAGTGGGGGCCAATATTCAACATTCTTAAAAGAATTTTCAACCCAGAATTTCATATCCAGCCAAACTAAGCTTCATAAGTGAAGGAGAAATAAAATACTTTACAGACAAGCAAATGCTGAGAGATTTCATCACCACCAGGCCTGCCTTACAAGAGCTCCTGAAGGAAACACTAAACATGAAAAGGAATAACCGGTACCAGCCACTGCAAAAACATGCCAAATTGTAAAGACCATCGATGCTAGGAAGAAACTGCATCAACTAATGAGCAAAATAACCAGCTAACATAATAATGACAGGATCAAATTCACACATAACAATATTAACCTTAAATGTAAATGGGCTAAATGCCCCAAATAAAAGACACAGACTGGCAAATTGCATAAAGAGTCAAGACCCATCAGTGTGCTGTATTCAGGAGACCCACCTCACGTGCACAGACACACATAGGCTCAAAATAAAGGGATGGAGGAAGATCTACCAATCAAATGGAAAACAAAAGAAAGCAGGGGTTGCAATCCTAGTCTCTGATAAAACAGACTTTAAACCAACAAAGATCAAAAGAGACAAAGAAGACCATTACATAATGGTAAAGGGATCAATTCAACAAGAAGAGCTAACTATCCTAAATATATATGCACCAAATACAGGAGCACCCAGATTCATAAAGCAAGTCCTTAAAGACCTACAAAGAGACAGACTCCCACACAATAATAATGGGAGACTTTAACACCCCACTGTCAATATTAGATCAACAAGACAAAGTTGACACGGATATCCAGGACTTGAACTCAACTCTGCACCAAGCAGCTCTAATAGGCATCTACAGAACTCTCCACCAAAAATCAGCAGAATATACATTCTTCTCAGCACCACATCGCACTTATTCCAAAATTGACCACATAGTTTGAAGTAAAGCACTCCTCAGCAAATGTAAAAGAACAGAAATCATAACAAACTGTCTCTCAGACCACAGTGCAATCAGATTAGAACTCAGGATTAAGAAGCTCACTCAAAACTACACAACTACATGGAAAATGAACAACCTGCTCCTGAATGACTACTGGGTACATAACGAAACGAAGGCAGAAATAAAGATGTTCTTTGAAACTAATAAGAACAAAGACACAACATACCACAATCTCTGGGAGACATTTAAAGCAGTGTGTAGAGGTAAATTTATAACACTAAATGCCCACAAGAGAAAGCAGGACAGATCTAAAATTGACACCCTAACATCACAATTAAAAGAACTAGAGAAGCAAGAGCAAACACATTCAAAAGCTAGCAGAAGGCAAGCAATAACTAAGACCAGAGCAGAACTGAAGGATATAGAGACACAAAAAACCCTTCAAAAAAAAAAATCAATGAATCCAGGAGCTGGTTTTTTGAAAAGATCAACAAAATTGACAGACCGCTAGCAAGATTAGTAAAGTAGAAAAGAGAAGAATCAAATAAACACAATAAAAAAATGATAAAGGTGATATCACCACCAATCCCACAGAAATACAAACTACCATCGGAGAATACTACAAACACCTCTACACAAATAAACTAGAAAATTTAGAAGAAATGGATAAATTCCTGGACACATATACCCTCCAACCAGAAAGAAGTTAAATCCCTGAATAGACCAATAACAGGCTCTGAAATTGAGGCAATAATTAATAGCCTACCAATCAAAACAAAGTCCAGGACCAGATGGATTCACAGCTGAAGTCTACCAGAGGTACAAAGAGGAGCTGCTACTATTCCTTCTGAAACTATTCCAATCAATATAAAAAGAGAGAAGCCTCCCTAACTCATTTTACAAGGCCAGCATCATCCTGATACCAAAGCCTGGCAGAGACACAACAAAAAAACAGAATTTTAGACCAATATCCCTGACAAACATTGATGCAAAAATCCTCAATAAAATACTGGCAAACTGAATCCAGCAGCACATCAAAAAGCTTATCCACCATGATCAACTGGGCTTCATCCCTGGGATGCAAGGCTGGTTCAACATATGCAAATCAATAAACGTAATCCATCACATAAACAGAACCAAAGACAAAAACCATATGATTATCTCAATAGATGCAGAAAAGGCCTTTGACAAAATTCAACAGCCCTTCATACTAAAAATTCTCAATAAACTAGGTATTGATGGCACATATCTCAAAATAATAAGAGCTATTTATGACAAACCCACAGCCAATATCATACTGAATGGGCAAAAACTGGAAGCATTCCCTTTGAAAACTGGCACAAGACAGGGATGCCCTCTCTCACCACTCCTATTCAACATAGTGTTGGAAGTTCTGGCCAGGGCAATCAGGCAGGAGAAGGAAATAAAGGGTATTCAATTAGGAAAAAAGGAAGTCAAATTGTCCCTGTTTACAGATGACATGATTGTGTATTTAGAAAACCCCACAGTCTCAGCCCAAAATCTCCTTAAGCTGATAAGCAACTTCAGCAGTCTCAGGATACAAAATCAACGTGCAAAAATCACAAGCATTCTTATACACCAATAACAGACAAACAGAGAGCCAAATCATGAGTGAACTCCCATTCACAATTGCTTCAAAGAGAATAAAATACCTAGGAATCCAACTTACAAGGGATGTGAAGGACCTCTTCAAGGAGAGGTACAAACCACCACTCAACAAAATAAAAGAGGACACAAACAAATGGAAGAACGTTCCATGCTCATGGGTAGGAATAATCAATATTGTGAAAATGGCCATACTGCCCAAGGTAATTTATAGATTCAATGCCTTCCCCATCAAGCTACCAATGATTTTCTTCACAGAATTGGAAAAAACTACTTTAAAGTTCATATGGAACCAAAGAAGAGACTGCATTGCCAAGACAATCCTAAGCCAAAAGAACAAAGCTGGAGGCATCATGCTACCTGACTTCAAACTACACTACAAGGCTACAGTAACCAAAACAGCATGCTACTGGTATCAAAACAGACATATAGACCAATGGAACAGTACAGAGCCCTCAGAAATAATACCACACATCTACAACCATCTGATCTTTGACAAACCTGACAAAAACAAGAAATGAGGAAAGGATTCCCTATTTAATAAATGGTGCTGGGAAAACTGTCTAGCCATATGCAGAAAGCTGAAACTGGATCCCTTCCTTACACCTTATACAAAAATTAACTCAAGATGGATTAAAGACTTAAACTAAGACCTTAAACCATAAAAACCCTAGAAGAAAACCTAGGCAATACCATTCAGGACATAGGCATGGGCAAGCACTTCATGACTAAAACACCAAAAGCAATGGCAACAAAAGCCAAAATTGACAAATGGGGTCTGATTAAACTAAAGAGCTTCTGCACAGCAAAGAATTACCAGAGTGAACAGACAACTTACAGAATGGGAGAAAATTTTTGCAATCTGCTCATCTGACAAAGGGCTAATATCCAGAATCTACAAAGAACTTAAACAAATTTACAAGAAAAAATCAAAGAACCCCATCACAAAGTGGGCAAAGGATATGAACAGACACTTCTCAAAAGAAGACATTTATGCAGCCAACAGACACATGAAAAAATGCTCATCATCACTGGCCATCAGAGAAATGCAAATCAAAGCCACAATGAGATACCATCTCACACCAGTTAGAATGGTGATCATTAAAAAGTCAGGAAATAACAGGTGCTGGAGAGGATGTGAAGAAATAGGAACACTTTTACACTGTTGGTGGGTTGAACGAACACTTTTACACTGTTAGTTCAACCACTGTGGAAGACAGTGTGGCGATTCCTCAAGGATCTAGAACTAGAAATACTATCTGACCCAGCCATCCTATTACTGGGTATATACCCAAAGGATTATAAATCATGCCACTATGAAGACACATGCACACGTATGTTTATTGTGGCACTATTCACAACAGCAATGACTTGGAACCAACCCAAATGTCCATCAATGATAGACTGGATTAAGAAAATGTGGCCCATATACACCATGGAATACTATGCAGCCATGAAAAAGGATGAGATCATGTCCTTTGTAGGGACATGGATGAAGCTGGAAACCATCATTCTGAGCAAACTATCGCAAGGGCAGAAAACCAAATACCGCATGTTCTCACTCATAGGTGAGAATTATACAATGAGAACACTTGGACACAGGGTGGGGAACATCACGCACCAGGGCCTGTCGTGTTGGTGGGGGTAGGGGGAGGGATAGCATTAGGAGAAATACCTAATGTAAATGATGAGTGAATGGGTGCAGCACACCAACATGGCACATGTATACATATGTAACAAACCTGCACATTGTACACATGTACAGTAGAACTTAAAGTATAATAAAAAAAAGAAAGGCATACATATAGACTCTAATATGATTTGAGAAAAAAATGAAGTCATTACATGACAACTTAAAGCAAAAGGAAGGCAAAGGATCTAATGCTAGAGTGTTTAACACCAGCAAAGGATGGTTTGATAATTTTAGGAAGAGGTTTGGCTTAATTGTCAAGGTAACAGAAGCAGCAGCTTCTGCCAACCAAGAGGCAGCAGACAGGTTCCCAGGTGCCATTAAGAAAATCCCTGGGGAGGATGGGTGTGGTGATTTAAGCCTGTAATCCCAGCACTTTGGGAGGTCAAGGCAGGTGGATCACCTGAGGTCAGGAGCTTGAGACCAGCCTGGCCAACATGGTGAAATGCTGTCTCTACTAAAAATACAAAAATTAGCTGGGCTTGGTGGTGGGCACCAGGAATGCCAGCTACTCGGAAGTCTGAGGCAGGAGAATCGCTTGAACCCAGGGGGCAGAGGTTGCAGTGGGCCGAGATCACACTACTTCACTCCAGCCTGGGCAAAAGAGCGAGCCTCCGTCGAAAAGAAAAGAAAAAAGCAGGAACAAAACCAACCTGGGAAGAAGTGATAGTGTCTGAACAGGTTTTTAAAGCATACAAAAGTGCTCTATTCCGGAAAAAAAAAAAAAAAAAGCCACAGAGGACATTTATTAGTAATGAAGAGAAGCAGGATTTAAGGCAGGAAATGATAAGCCAACTCTACTGTTTTGTGCAAACACAGTCAGGTTTATGATCAGGAATTCCCTTTTCTATAAAGCTGCTAATCCCTGAGGCTTAACAGGAGCAACAACAACAACAACAAAACAAAAAACAAAACAAAAAAAAGAAAACACCAGCTGCCATTCTTTTAGTTGTATAACAAGAAGGCCTAGACAATACAAATACTTTTTCTAGACTGGTTCCATCAATGCTTTGTCCCTGAATTTAGGAAGTACCTTGCCAGTAAAGGACTGCCTTTTAAACTACTTTTTAAAAATCTTTTTTCCCCTTTTTGTGGAGTACAGGGTCTTGCTATGTTGCCCAGGCAGGTATCAAGCTCCTCGGCTCAAGCTATCCTCCCACCTCAGCCTCCCTAAGTGCTGGGATTACAGGCATGAGCCACCATGCCCAGCCCCTTTCAAACTCTTTTGATATTGGACAATGCCCCCGGCACCCAAAACCCCTAAGTTCAACACTGAAAAGTTGGTCTACTTCTCCCCAGACACAACATCTCTAATCCAGTCTCTCTAGATCAGAGGGTCATAAGGACCTTTAATGCTCATTACACATGGTACTCTATGGAAAAGATTGTTGAACTACCAGAGAGAACCCTGCTAGAGAGAACATCAAGAAAGTCGAAGGATTACACCATTCATGATGCCACTGGTGTTACAGAAAAATCTGTTAAAGCCATCAAGCCCCAAATAATAAATTCCTACTGGAGAAAACCATGTCCAAATGTTGTGCATGACTTCACAGGATTTACAACAGAGCCAATCAAGGAAATCATGAAAGAGATTGTGAATATTACACAAAATTTAAGCACCAGTAGATGTCACCCCAGAGCAATTAACAGAAGATGACTGGGAGATGAGTGCTTCAGAACCAGGGCCAGGCAATGAGGAAGAAGACACAACAGTAGCTGCGTCAGAAAAGAAATTGACATTAGACCATCTGGAAGAAGGGTTTTGATTATTCAAGACTGCTTTTTGACTTCTTTTATGACACGGGACCCTTCTATGATACAGTCACTGAAACTAAAGCAAATGGTGGAAGGAGGATTGGTACCATATAGAAACATTTTTAGAGAAATGCAAAAGCAAAAAAAAAAAAGTCAGAAACTACAATGTATTTTTGTAAAGTTACACCAAGTGTGCATGTGTCTCCTACCTCCCCTTCCACCTCCTCCACCTTTCTGCCTCTGCCATCCCTGAGACAGCAAGACTAATCTGTCCTCTTCTTCTTTCTCCTCAACCTACTCAAAATAAAGTTGACAAGAATGAAGACCATTATGATGATCCATTTCCACTTAACAAACAGTAAATGTATTTTCTCTTCTGTATTTTTTAGCTTACTTTAAGAATATAGTATATAATACATATACAAAGTATGTGTTAACAGTTTATGGTACCAGTAATGTTTCTGATCAACAGTAAGGTACTAATAGCTAAGTTTTTTGGGAAGTCAAACTTATATGGAGATTTTTGACTCCACAGATGTCAGCACCTCTAACCCCCACATTTTCAATAGTCAACTGTGTTATTGCAATGTAAGTTTGTAATGCTACATTTTGTTTTCTACATAATTTAAGAGACTAATGCATTTTTAAAACAATTATTAGTTTACATTTTTGGACACAATGTACAAAGATGCATTTTTTTTTAACTTCAATAGCTGAAAGCAGTGGGGATGCAGCTGTAAATGAACAGAACTTGTATGTTATTGAAGTTATTAAAGCTGACATAAATTCAAATTATAGTGTTAAACTTTAGAATGTTCAGTGTAATATTCACAGTAACTGCAGAGAAAATAGTTATGGAATTTACACAAAAGGAGGTAAGGAAATTGAAATATCTCACTATTTAAAAAATTAAATATAAGAGTCAATGCAGAAAAAGACAAAAGAAGTTATAAGGCATATAAAAAACAAACAGCAAATGACAAAAATCCCTCATCAGTAATTACTTTAAATTTAAATGGATTAAACATTTCACTCAAAAGACAGTTTGGCAGAATAGATTTTTAAAAATGATCTAACCATATGCTGTCTATAAGAAACTCACTTTAGAATCCAAAGACATAAATAGGTTGAAAGTGAAAAGATATTTCATGCACATAGCAACCAAGAAGGGCAGGGATGGTAATACCATCAGATAAAACAAACTTTAAATTGGAAGAATCATAAGAGACAAAGAAAGAAAGGTGTTATATATTAATAAAAGATTCAATACAGTAAGAAGACATAACATAATAAACATTTACATACCTAATAACAGCTAATCAAAACATATGAAGCAAAAGGTGGCTGAACTGTATGGAGAAATACATATTTCCACAATGATAGAAACTTCAATATCTCATTCTCAATAATGGACAGAACGACCAGACAGAAGGAAATAGAGGACTTGAACAACACAATAAATCAGCTAGACCTAATAGACATATAGGACACTCTACCAACAAGAGAATATATATTTTTCTCAAGTACACATGGAACATTCTCCTGGATAGACTATAGCTTAGGCCATAAAGTCTCAACTGATTTTTAAAAGTATCATACAAATAATCTTCTCCAATCACAATAGGGTGAAGTTAGAGCTCAAAAACAGAAGGGAAATTGCAAAATTCAAATTCTCTAGAAACACAAAACTTACCAAGACTGAATCACCAAAAAAAAAAAAAAAAAAAAAAAAAAAATCTGAATAGACCTTATAACTTGTAAGGAGATTAAATCACCAACTGAAAACCTCCCAGTTAAGAAAAGCTCTGGACCTGATGGTTTCACAGGTAAATTCCAAACATTTAAAGAATAATTAACACCAATTCTTCTCAAACTTTTATCAGACATTTGAAGAGAAGGGAACATTTCCTAACTCATTCTATGAAGCCAGTATTGGCCTGATATCAGCAGGACAGTTCTCTGGGTGGCCTTGGACTGACAGAGTTCTTCTTTCTTAATTGTAGTTCAAGAATAACTACAGAATGTGCTGGGAGTGTAATATTCTGAGACAGGGAGGAACCGGCCAGAAAAGCCCAGGTCCTGATCCAGTCCCTACCTCCAGAGACAAGATGTCCTTCAACAGTTTTGCTCAGCATGTCACGTCACCCCAGTATGTCACGTCACCCCAAGGAAATCAAACCCAGGGTGGGCTACATGCCAGGTTGCCTCAGCTGCAGTGCAAAAGGAGCACACAAAGATGAGACTCCATGCACCCTGAGCAGCTTTTCTGAACTTTGGAAGACCGGCTCATAATGAATGTTAGTCTTTTGTTGTCCCTTGCTGCTTTTCTGTAAGTAATAAGCCCACTTCATGTAACTTGTATGTGTGTGTTCTGTCTTATCAGACTCAGACAAGCTGGTAACTAGTGCAGTGAACCTGCTTCACAATGCCAAAGCCAGAGAAAGACACCACAAGTAACGTGCAGACCAATCCTCCTTAATAACTTTGATGCAAAAATTCAACAAAATACTATTAGCAGACAGAATTAAGAAGCATTTTTAAACGAGTATGTGCCATGTCTGTATTAATTCATTCTCACATTGCTATAAAGAACTACCTGAGACTGGGTAATTTATGAGGAAAAGAGGTTTAATCAGCTCATGATTCCACAGGCTGTACCGGAAGCATGGCTGGGGAGGCCTCAGGAAACTTTTAGTCATGGTGGAAGAAGAGGAGAAAGGAGGCTCATCTTACATGACCAGAGTGGGAGGAAGAGAGAGAGAGGGAAGGGGGAAGTGTTACACACTTCTTTTTTTTTTTTGAGACAGAGTCTCACTCTGTCACCAGGCTGGAGTGCAATGGTGCGACCTTAGCTCAACTGCAACCTCCACCTCCCGGCTTCAAGTGATTCTCCTGCCTCAGCCTCCCAAGTTGCTGGGACTACAGGCGCACACCACCACGCCCAGCTAATTTTTGTATTTTTAGTAGAGACGGGGTTTCACCATGTTGGCCAGGATGGTCTCGATCTCTTGACCTCATGATCTGCCTGCTTTGGCCTCCCTAAGTGCTGAGATTACAGGCGTGACCCAACGTGCCTGGCTGCCACACACTTTTAAACAACCAGATCTCATGAGAACTCACTATCATGAGAACAGAAAGGGGGAAGTCCACTCCCATGATCCAATCACCTCCCACCAGGCCCCTCCTCCAACACTGGGGGTTACAATTCAACATGAGATTTGAGTGGGAACACAAATTCAAACGATATCAATGACCAAGTGGGACTTATTCCTAGAATTCAATGAAGACTCAATATACAAAAAGAAAAATCAATGTGATATACTGCATTAACAGAATGAAGGGGAGAGAAAACAAATGGTCATCTCTATTGGTGGAGAAAAATTATCTTACAAAATTCAACACCCTTTCATGGTAAAAACAGACCAGAAATATAAAGTATCTCAAAATAATAAATGCCATATATGAAAAATCCACAGCAAACATAATACTTAGTGGTAAAAGACCAAAAGCTTTCTGTTTAGGATGAGGAACAAGGCAAGGATGCTTGCTTTCACTTCTATTCAACATAATACTAGAAATGCTAGACAGAGCAATTAGTCAAAAAAAAAAATTACGTAAAGGCATCCAAATTGGGAAGGAAGAAAAATGATCTCTATTCACAGATGATGCAGTCTTCTATGTAAAAAACCCTAAAGATTTAACACAAAAAATGTTAGAACAAATTCCAATTAGCAGAATACAAAGTCAATATACACAAAAAGTGACATCCCTGCACACTAACGAGGAACAATCTAATCTGAAGAGGAAGTTAAGAAAACTACATTTCCAGTAGCATCAAAAAGAATAAAATACTCAGGAATTAACAAAGGAGGTGAAAGACAAGCACAATGAAAACTACAAAACACTGCTAAAAGAAATTAAATAGCACACAAATAAATGGAAAGGCATACCATGTGATATGGTTTAGCTCTGTGTTCCCACCCAAATCTCATCTTGTAGCTCCCATAATTCCCATGTGTTGTAGGAGGGACCTGGTGGGAGATGATTGAATCATGGGGTCAGGTCTTTCCCATGCTGTTCCTGTGACAGTGAATGGGTCTCACGAGATTTGATGGTTTTAATAAAATGTTTATCTGCACAAGCTCTCTCTCTGCCTGCTGCAATCCACATAAGATGTAACTTGCTCCTCCTTGCTTTCCGCCATGATTGTGAGGCCTCTCCAGGCATATGGAACTGTAAGTCAATTAAACCTCTTTCTTTTGCAAATTCCCCCATCTTGTGTATGTCTTTATCAGCAGCATGAAAATAGACTAATACACCATGTTAATGAATTGGAAGACTTGATATTGTTAAGGTGTCTATACTACCCAAGTCGTCTACAAATTCAATGCAATCTCTGTAAAAATCCCAACGATGTTTTTTGAAAATAGAAAAATCTATTCTAATATTCATGTGGAATTTCAAGGGACTCAATAACCAAAACAATCTTGAAAAAGAACAAAATTGGGAGACTCACACTTCCTGATATTAAAACTTTTTATAAAGCTGCAGTATTAAAAACAGTGTGGTTCTGGCATAAAGACAGACATATAGACCAATGGAATAGAATACAGACCCTAGAAAAATATCTTTGTACTTATGGTCAAATGATTTTCAACACGGTGCCAAGACCATTCAATAGGGAAATGACTGTCTTTTCAACAAATGGTGCTCAGAAATTGGATATCCACAAACACCTCTACGCAAATAAACTAGAAAATCTAGAAGAAATGGATACATTCCTCGACACATACACTCTCCCAAGACTAAACCAGGAAGAAGTTGAATCTCTGAATAGACCAATAACAGGAGCTGAAATTGTGGCAACAATCAATAGTTTACCAACCAAAAAGAGTCCAGGACCAGATGGATTCACAGCCGAATTCTACCAGAGGTACAAGGAGGAACTGGTACCATTCCTTCTGAAACTATTCCAATCAATAGAAAAAGAGGGAATCCTCCCTAACTCATTTTATGAGGCCAGCATCATTCTGATACCAAAGCCGGGCAGAGACACAACCAAAAAAGAGAATTTTAGACCAATATCCTTGATGAACATTGATGCAAAAATCCTCAATAAAATACTGGCAAACTGAATCCAGCAGCACATCAAAAAGCTTATCCACCATGATCAAGTGGGCTTCATCCCTGGGATGCAAGGCTGGTTCAATATACACAAATCAATAAATGTAATCCAGCATATAAACAGAGCCAAAGACAAAAACCACATGATTATCTCAATACATGCAGAAAAAGCCTTTGAAAAAATTCAACAACCCTTCATGCTAAAAACTCTCAATAAATTAGGTATTGATGGGACGTATTTCAAAATAATAAGAGCTATCTATGACAAACCCACAGCCAATATCATACTGAATGGGCAAAAACTGGAAGCATTCCCTTTGAAAACTGGCACAAGACAGGGATGCCCTCTCTCACCACTCCTATTCAACATAGTGTTGGAAGTTCTGGCCAGGGCAATCAGGCAGGAGAAGGAAATAAAGGGTATTCAATTAGGAAAAGAGGAAGTCAAATTGTCCCTGTTTGCAGACGACATGATTGTTTATCTAGAAAACCCCACAGTCTCAGCCCAAAATCTCCTTAAGCTGATAAGCAACTTCAGCAAAGTCTCAGGATACAAAATCAATGTACAAAAATCACAAGCATTCCTATACACCAACAACAGACAAACAGAGAGCCAAATCATGAGTGAACTCCCATTCACAATTGCTTCAAAGAGAATAAAATACCTAGGAATCCAACTTACAAGGGATGTGAAGGACCTCTTCAAGGAGAACTACAAACCACTGCTCAAGGAAATAAAAGAGGATACAAAGAAATGGAAGAACATTCCATGCTCATGGGTAGGAAGAATCAATATCGTGAAAATGGCCATACTGCCTAAGGTAATTTACAGATTCAATGCCATCCCCATCAAGCTACCAATGACTTTCTTCACAGAATTGGAAAAAACTACTTTAAAGTTCATATGGAACCAAAAAAGAGCCTGCATCGCCAAGTCAATCCTAAGCCAAAAGAACAAAGCTGGAGGCATCACACTACCTGACTTCAAACTATACTACAAGGCTACAGTAACCAAAACAGCATGGTACTGGTACCAAAACAGAGATATAGATCAATGGAACAGAACAGAGCCCTCAGAAATAACGCCGCATACCTACAACTATCTGATCTTTGACAAACCTGAGAAAAACAAGCAATGGGGAAAGGATTCCCTATTTAATAAATGGTGCTGGGAAAACTGGCTAGCCATATGTAGAAAGCTGAAACTGGATCCCTTCCTTACACCTTATACAAAAATCAATTCAAGATGGATTAAAGATTTAAACGTTAGACCTAAAACCATAAAAACCCTAGAAGAAAACCTAGGCATTACCATTCAGGACATAGGCATGGGCAAGGACTTCATGTCCAAAACACCAAAAGCAATGGCAACAAAAGCCAAAATTGACAAATGGGATCTAATTAAACTAAAGAGCTTCTGCACAGCAAAAGAAACTACCATCAGAGTGAACAGGCAACCTACAACATGGGAGAAAATTTTCGCAACCTACTCATCTGACAAAGGGCTAATATCCAGAATCTACAATGAACTCAAACAAATTTACAAGAAAAAAACAAACAACCCCATCAAAAAGTGGGCAAAGGACATGAACAGACACTTCTCAAAAGAAGACATTCATGCAAAAGAATTCAACTGGACCCTTATCTAATACCATATACTAAAATTAACACAAAATTGATTGAAGACTTAAATATAAGAACTAAAACAATAAAACTCTTAGAAAAAAACGGGAAAAGTTTCATGAGATTAGATTTGGCAATGATTTCTTGGATGTGGCACCAAAGGCTTGGGCAACAAAAAAGACCAGTTGGACTTCACAAAAAGTAGGTTTCTGTGCCTCAAAGGACACCATTAAGAGAGTGAAAAGGCAACCTATGGAATAAGAGAAAATATTTACAAATTATATGTCTGACAAGTGAGTGATATCCAGAATACATAGAGAACCACTGAAACTCAACAATCCAATTCAAAAATGGACAAAGATCTTAAACAGATATTTCTTTAAAGAAGATATACAAATGGCCAATAACCACATAAAGACATGTTCAACTAATAGGGAACTGCAAAGCAAAACCACAATAAGATATCATCTCACATCCACTAGGATGACTGTTACCAAAAAAAAAAAAAAGAGAAAATAAATGTTGGTGAGGATGTGGAGAATCGTAACCCTTGTGAACCATTGGTGTAATATAAAATAGTACCACTGCTATGGAAAACAGCATGGCAGTTCCTCAGAAAACTAAGCAGATTTATCATATGACCCAGCAATTCCACTTCTGGGTACACGCTCAGAAGGATTGAAAGCAGGGACTCGGACAGATATTTGAATACTCACATTCATGGCGGCATTATATATAACAGCCAAAAGGCAGAAGCAACCCAAGAGTTCACTGATGGATGAATAGATAACAAAATGTGGTATATTCATATATACAATCGAGTATTACTGAGCCACAAAAAGGAAAGAAATTCTGACATACACTACAACATGGATGAAACTTGAGGACATAAAGTCTAATAAGTGAGTCACAAAAGGACAAATACTATATGATTTACTTGTATGAGATATCTAGAGTAGTCAATTTCACAGAGACAAAGAATGGTGGTTGCCAGGGGCTAAGGAGAGGGGAGTAAGTTATTATTTAATGAGTACAGAGTTTCAGTTTTGCAAGATAAAAAGAGTTCTGGAGATGGATGTTGATGAGGGCTGAATAATAACATGAATTTAGTATCACTGAACTGTACAGTTAAAAATTTGAGAAGGCCGGGCGCGGTGGCTCACACCTGTAATCCCAGCACTTTGGGAGGCCGAGATGGGCGGATCATGAGGTCAGGAGATCGAGACCATTCTGGCTAACATGGTGAAACCCCGTCTCTACTAAAAATAGAAAAAAATTAGCCAGGCGTGGTGGCGGGCGCCTGTAGTCCCAGCTACTCGGGAGGCTGAGGCAGGAGAATGGTGTGAACCCGGAAGGCAGAGCTTGCAGTGAGCGGAGATCGTGCCACTGAGCTCTAGCCTGGGTGACAGTGCGAGACTCCATCTCAAAAAAAAAAAAAAAAAACAAACCAAAAAAAAAAAAAATTGAGATGGTAGATTTTGTGTATTTTACCACAATAAGAACAATGGAAAAAATCCATCATGACCACAGACCTGAGGGAACTTAGGGAATTATAGGAGGGATAAAACATGCACACATTGTACTAGAATGTGAAGGAGAATATGGTGAAATCTAATAATCACTAGCATTTATTATGCTTTCTCCATTCCACCTATCAGAAAATGAGCTTTAAACACTTTAAACATCACAAAAACTTGTAGAAGATAAGTACTATTATTTACTCCCATTTTACAGATGGAGATACTGAGGCACAAGTCTCACAGCTGGTAAAGAATGAAGCTAGGATCCAAAGTCTAGTGAATTTGGATCCAGGTCCAAGCTCTTAACCACTAAAGTATGTAACAACACGTACAGTAACTCTATCCTATGGGATCCTAACAGGGCCAAATCAAATATTTTGGAAGACCAAAGAAAAGAGAAAGATATTCCAGCTGGGCTAAGATTGACAGGGTGAGGCCTGTATCAAGGAGGCCTTCATGGAAGAGGTTTCATTCGAAAATAAACCTTAAAAAATGAGAATTTGAACTTATGGACACAGAGGGAGAAGCATGAGAGCACCAAGAAAAGTGAGCTACCAACAACACATGGTGGCCCTGATCAACACCAGTCTAGATTAGGTTAAACACGTTTCTGCCAAGCCCCACCCTTCACCAGGCCCTAAAGGTAACAACAAGTTTATCAAAGAATAGTGGGCATCATTGTCACTCAGCATCTAATGCTCAATGCTGGCTTAGTACAATCTGTAATCCTAAACATCTGCTCTGCGACACACCATTCAGGCCCCCGTGGAATCTTTTTAATCTCTTGTGTGCATCCTTGAGACAAAATGCTACTGCATCTAAGAACAGGAAAGGTTTGTGGATTGTGCCACCACTAATATCAGGTATGAGCGCTCCCTGGAACTGTGGAGCAGTTTGAGCTGTGGAGGCACTTGGGTAAGAGAAAAGACAAAGACAATCATATAAAGGAGAACTGGAAAAAAAAAAATCAACTTTCAACTTGAGGAATTTATTTAAAAGACTGTCAGGGCAAGCCCGTGGAAATGGCATTAACTTTTAGCTGAAAATCCAGGGGTATTTTTTCTACCACATATGGCACATAGTTTAAATTTGTTACTAGGAGACATAGTTATAACTGTGCCTAGAATTATGTCAATTTTTAGAATAAAAAAGATTAACATTATTTTATGGATCTGCTAAAAGAGAACATTTGAGGAAACATCAGATTTCGCACTGAAACCACTTTCACATACTCAAAGGACTGTTGACAAAATGCCGTTAAAGTATTTAGATTTAGTTTGGAAAAAGTAAAAGATGCATTACATAAGTAAAACAGGATCCTCAAAGAGTAAAATTGTGGGAAAAAAATTTAAAAAAACATAAAAAGAATGAAATTGTGATCTTGGGAGAAAATAAAAATAATTTTGAATAAGCACCATCTATAATTATTTAGTATGAACTATTTTTTACTATTATTACAAAAAAGGAATCTACGTTTGTCTAATTTACTTTAGCAATTAAAGTATTACAAGTTTTAGAAACTGCTTTTCCCAAATAAAAATGCATGTGAAATATACAACAAAAATGGCATTCCAATGAAATATAAAGAAACCAAAACAATAAAACAAAAATGTTTTACATGACTATGTAAGAGAAGATTCACATGCAAGTACTCCCAAACTAACTTGTTTATAAACCATTTTTTGACCATAACAGGTTAGGGTATAATCTTGATTGAAGGAGGTCAGAACAAATTGAGGAAAATACTGCTTTTAAGGAGGTTTCCTTATAATATCTGAGAATTGAAAAATTTGAAAGAACAGTTCAAGAAATACTGTATGATCTAGATAGTAAGAGACAGGGAAAATTGTAATATAATATTTATATAATAAGGTGAAGATATAATTTTCTGTGATAATGTTTTCAGTAAGTCTCACTAATCATCAGTAGGTTCTTGGAAACTGCAAGTTTAAGCAAAACTACAAAAACCAATTTTTTTTTGTCCTCATCAACATTATAACAAAATGATGTTGAACCAATGAGGACATTTGAGGACCTGTATATTTTACCTAAAGCTGCAGTTTCCAAGAACCTCTCCACAATGTTAATTGAGGGCTTTCTGTACATGTAGCCTCATTACAGTAGGTGAACGTAGTATGTAAAATGAATACTTGAATGTGAATATTTAGCCTACCTACCACAGGCCTTTTAGATTCAGAAATGAATCTACATGTTGCTTGACAATTCCAGGTGCAACTTATCAGAGCAGTTTCTCCAAATCAAAGTTGATTTAGAAAATAAATGGATAGAATCATGTAAATTACAAGTGTCTTTATTCAAACATCACTGACACATAAACAGAACACCCAGAAATATACAATGATAATTAAATTCAGTGATCTTTGATATTTTTGCCAACTTCCAGTCATATAAAAACCATGACTTTAAATATATCTTATGTTGTGTTATAATGGTCTATTTTGTCAAGTTAGGAAGATAGAGCATCTTTTAAACAGTTTATTGGTGCGATATGGAACTTTCATTTGGAGACATATGGTATGTGGTACTTCTGCCCCAGACACTAGAAACTTTGGGAGGGGGCTGGCTCTCAATCTGCATTCAGCACCCCTGAAGAGAATAAAGCCCACGGTGGGAAAGGGATAAAGACATATTTCCCCTCTACGCAAGCAGAAAAGTAAGCAGCCCCCAAGCCAGTTCACTTCCCATATGGTTTGATTTACTCTGATTTTCTCCGCCTGGGCTCCATTCTGGGCTGAGTCCGGTGGGATCACAGATACATCACTGTCTGGCTAGCCCACAGCTTCCGGCAGAACAGGGATAGGGGAGGGTTTTCCTGGGAAAATACGCTGTGAGATGCTATCCAAGTGAAAAATATGCAGCCCCCAAACTCCACCTTCATTAGCCAGAATAAAACCCAGGGATTTCTGCCTACTGGAGTTTCAGACTGACAGGAAAAGAGGAAATTAAAGAGTCCCTGGTTGGAACTTTTCTAATAGGCTTTCTGGCAAACAGCCAAACCCAGGAATGAGCTGGAGAAAGCAAACTGGGTTAAACTGTAATGGGGATGGGGCTGACCCTAGGCAGGGCAGCCTGGGTTCAGCCCGTCTACTAGCTACCACATAGTCTCATGTCATGTCACTCCGCCCATCCCTGAGGTGAAAATATCATCCCCATTTCATACACAAGGACTCAAAATTAGAACACAATAGAGGTTAAGCAACCACACCGCCTGCTCCCCTCCTCCTAACATCTCTCCCCTTCCCTCTCCCCACCTCCCCCTCCTCACATACCAAGGCCTTCCATCATCTTTATAATGCCTTTTCCTCCTGGAAGCCTGGGTTCCAGTTTATCTGTGAAATATTCTCTAAGCATCTGTCTTTGACCTTCTTACCTCTTATCAAAATTATAATTCAATGTTAATTGTGTGATCATTTAATGAATACAGTCTAGTAGTATAGGGACTGCCTGTCTTGCTCACCATAATAGTGCCAGTGCCATTCACAGCAGGTGACACGTAAGTGCTCCATTTATGTCATCTAAATGAATCCATTTCTGTCTCCTTCCCCTAAAATACAAACAACAAAAAAAACCCTGCCTTAAAACAGCAGCTGGCATAAAAGAAGTGAGTAAAGGGCTAATCGGCACTGACTGTAATTATTATGGATATACTATATTGGGCTGCAGAAAACAGGACTATGGAGGTAGGGCTGAGGCAGGAGGGACACAGAAAGGGACAGAGTCAGGGCTGAGCATGAGGTTTGGTGGTGTTAATTTTCTCTTTTGGAACCCTCCTCAACCAAGAATGCAGGCAGAAGAGAGTAACTGGTTAAGAGCTGGGTTGTTGAAAACCCAGCTCTGCCAGGAACTAGCAAGTTCTTAATCTTTGAGCATCTTTTTCCTTATCTTCAAAATAATAGTAACAGTGATAATACCTGCTTCTTGGGTTGTTACAAGTCATGAATGGTAATATGTATGAATTGCCTTGGCACGGTGCCCGGCACACTGTCAGTGATCAATAACTGGTGCTGATAGAGAGAAAAGGGTTCAGTCAGCTCATTGCACTTGTTTTTACCCTCTGCAGCCAGGTGTCAGTGCCCCGTTTCCTGTTTCCTCCTCTCCAACTCGGGTTTCCATTCAGGATTCCCCAGGGAAGGTGGAAGTATATCTTGGAAGATCTTCATCACCCCTAATCCCCATTCAGTCCAAAGCTATTTCCAACAGATTCAGGAATCAAAAAGCCTAGATGAGGAAGCAACAACCAGTTGGAGGGGACTATGGCAGAGCCCAGGAAGCCCAGAAGTGGGAAAGGGTCGTACCTGAGACCAGTGGGGAGAAGATCAATTTCTCCATCTCAGCCCCTCCTTGGCAAACTCTTTAGCTCTTAAGAACCCAGAGTTCATTCTCAGGACCTGAAGCCTGAGGCCAGGAGTCTCTGGATAGGTCTTCTATGTGTGCATCTCCCTCCCCAGAAGAGGGGAAGATGAGCCCGTGGGAGGCCTTTATTGCCTGGGGTTGACTGGTTACTAAAACTGGACTCACCTGTGACATGAGAGCTCGCCCAAACCTCAGCCCAGACCCGGATGCTTCTGTCCTTCCTCCTCCCTTGCAGAGGAGGATGTATAGGCAAAAATAAAAATAAAAAATAAAAATACACAGCACTGGGAGTCATGAAACTCACATCTCGTTCCAGTTTTTCTACTTTTTCTCCGTCTTTAAAATGGGCATAGTACCCCAGATGATCTCTAAGGACTCTTCCTGCCCTGGCAGTTTGAGATCTTCTGCACTGGAACCATGGATGGGAACCACAGCCTGCCTTGGGGGAGATGGCAAGGGAAAGGGAACCCAAAGCCCTAAAAGGAAATTTCTAACCTTAGGGGATCCGTGAGCACGCGCAAATTACAGGCACATATATATGTATTTTGCTTTACTTCTTCAGAAAACAGTGAGTAGTAGACAGCCTCAGATTCTCAAACTTCTGCTCTAAACTGGCAACATTTAAAGAGTCTATTTGGGAACTTTGGGGAACCCAGTACTCTCCTATTGGTGAAAATGAGAGAGGATGCAGCCCTGTTTCCTGACGCTGATGTAACGAATTACCACCAAATTAACAGCAACACAAACGTATTATCTTACAATTATGGACACCAAAAGACATAAGTCTCTTAACTTAGTCACCAGACGAGAATCAATGTGTCGGCAAAGCTGGTTCTTTCTGGAGCACCAGGGAACAATTCGCTTCTCACTGTTTCTTGCTTCTAGAGGCTGTTGGCTCTTGACTGCATCACTTCCATCCCCGCTTCCGTCCTCACATGACCTTCCCTGCTGACTCCGACCCATCTGCCTTCCACTTATAAGGACCCTTGTGATTACATTGGGTCCACCTGGAAAACCCAGGGCCCTCTCCCTGTCTCAGGATTTTTAACTTAATCACGTCTACAGAATCTCTTTTACAACGTAAGGTAACAAATTTGCAGGTTTAAGGGTCAAGACATGGGTGGGGAATGTGAATATTCAGCCTACCAGAAGCGCTTTGAATAGTCATATCCTTTAACCCAGCAATTCCACTTGCAGAGTTTATCCTACAGGCTAAACTGTATAAAGAGGTAATGTCCACACAGCAGAGTTTATAATATTTAAACCTGGAAACAACCTGTTCTACTGATAATCAGTAGAAACGTAATTAAATAAGCTAGCAATATTTGTACATTAGCATATTCTAAAAAGATGCAGTATTCTAAAAATAAGTATATTCATATGTACTAATATGAAAAAGTCTCTAAGTCAGTTGCTAGGATAAAAGCAACCTGAAATAAAAGCTGTATAATGTGACTCCGTGTTGTGGTATGCATATATAATTTCTGGATGTATATCACAGAATCTGTTAATGGTGGTGACTACCTCTTGTGTGTAGGATAGCCAGGGTACTTTTATGCTTCATTTTACACCCTTCTGAACTGCAGTTTATTTTTTAACCAATTATAACATACAATTTTAAAATTTTATGATTTGGCTGGGTGCAGTGGCTCACGCCGGTAATCCCAGCACTTTGGGAGACTGAGGTGGGCATATTACTTGAGGCTAGGAGTTTGAGAACAGCCTGGCCAACATGACAAAACGCGTCTCTACTAAAAATGCAAAAATTATCTGGGCATGGTGGCACACGCCTATAAACCCAGCTCCTAGGGAGGCTGAAGCAGGAGAATCACTTGAAGCCAGGAGGCAGAGGTTGCGGTGAACCAAGATTGCGCCACTGCACTCCAGCCTGGGCCACAGAGGGAAACTGTGTCTCAAAAAAAAAAAAAAAAAAAAGTCTTGCCAAATTTCTTTTGGTCATTCTGAGGGCTGGAAATGTTCCATATCTTATCTGAATGGTAGTTACGAGGGTGTATGCATATATGAAAACCCACTGATCTCCACACTTAACATTTCTGCACTATTCTCTGTGAAGTTCTGGTTCAATAAAAAATGCGCATTCAAAAATATAGGATGTTCTCCCCCCTTTGGCCAAAAACCAAGGGTTATTGACCTGTATCCTTCTGAAATTCAGTGCAAAAGTGATGTGTGCCTCTTTCTGGGCAAGTGTTGACCCTTTTTGTCAGATTCTTAAAGGGATTTGGAGCTCCTAAAAAGTTAAAAATTACCAGTGAGGGCCTTCCCTAAAATAAAGACCACTTACTTCTGGTTTTGTTGGGGTTTGACTAAAGGTCAGACCGCTCTGTCAGAACAGGCTTTCTGGAAATGCAGACCTTGAGATAGGTAAGCACCAACGTATTTAATGGGCTGGCTACAGAATAAACAGCTACATTTTTCTTTGGGGAGCAAAATGCAGATAATTATCACCACTTAAGCTTTAGTGCAACTGTGTAAAAAGGCGCGGCTTTTTATTGGCCCAGCGCCTTTGTGTGCAACCAATCCTGAGGTGGGCGGCTGTGTCCCCGCCCTGGTGGGCGGAGCTCTTCCCAGCCCAGGGGCCTTTGCCCATCAGGCGGTTCCGCCTGGCACTGGCTGGGCGGAGGTCCTTGGTAGCAGAGGGGCAAATTAACCCTCTGCCTCACTTGACAAGCCTGAAGAAAGCTTAACCCACGCTCTGGATTCCTCTGGGGTCCCTTATCCAGGCCAGGCCCGCAAACCAGAATTTCCAGTGTGACCGTGTTGGCAGAGAGTTAATGAGCAGCCAAGGAAGCTGTGGCTGTTGCTGTTGTAGACTTGCCCCAGAGGGAAGGACAGAAGAACGCCAGGTCCTTCCTTAGCCTCTCTGCTTGGAACGAGGCAGGTGGGAAGGGTGCATCTCAGTAAGTGGAGGCTAGACATGAGATTGGAAGCCTCAAGGGAAGGGAATCGGGAAAGTGAAACCCTAACCGCATATATTGAGTTTATTTGGATGGATACCAGTCCCTGTGCCACATAAATGTTTTACATAAAAGAATGGGCTCTGAAGCCAGGCTCAGCCAATTCGTAGCTGTGTCGACTCCGGCAAGTTGCTTATCTTCTGTATTAGGATCCCCCTCCATAATATGGCATAACAGTAGTGCCACCCCCAATCTCCAGTTTAACTTCTAAGCTGGCCCCTGCCTCACCCTCTGATTTTTTTTTAAGATTGAGATATAATCCACTTACCATGAAGTTTATCCTTTTAAAGTGTACAATTCAGTGGTTTTTAGTATCTTCACAAAGTTGTGCAACGATTTCCACTAATTCCAGAACTTTTTTTTTTTTTTTTTTTGAGACAGAGTCTCACTCTGTCACCCAGGCTGGAGTGCAGTGGCGCAATCTCAGCTCACTGCAACATCCGCCTCCTGGGTTCAAGCAATTCTCCTGCCTCGGCCTCCTGAGTAGCTGGGATTACAGGCACCCGCCACCACGCCTGGCTAATTTTTTGTATTTTTAGTAGAGACGGGATTTCACTGTGTTGGCCAGGCTGGTCTTGAACTCCTACCTCGTGATCTGCCCGCCTCGGCCTCCCAAAGTGCTGGGATTACAGGTGTGAGCCACCGCATCTGGCCCAGAACACTTTTATCATTCCAAAACCAAGGGTCCCCCCCAGCAGTCACTCTCCATTCTCCACTCCCCTCATCCCCTGGGGCCATTCATTTACTTTTTGCCTTTGTTGATTTTCCTCTTCTGGAGATTTCATAGAAATGAAATCATATATGTGGCCTTCTGTGTCTGGTGTCTTCCACTTAGCATAGTGTTTTCAAGGTTCATACATGTTGTCTCCCATGTGCGTCTCAATACTTCATTGCTTTCTGTGGCTGCCATGGCACGGATGTGCCACATTTTGTTTCTTCATTCATCAGTTAATAGATATTTGGGATGTTCCCATTTTTTGGCTTTTATGAATAATGCTGCTATGAACCAACATTCATGTACAAGTTTTTGTGTGGACATAGGTTTTCATTCATTTAAGTGTATAGTAGGGTTGGATAATTTTATCTTATACTATTCTCCCCTTCTGCATCATAAGGACCTTCTTTCTGTCCCTCAAGCAAACCACGCTCACTCCCACCTCAGGGCCTTTGGCCTAGCTGTCCCCTCTGTCTGGAAGTCTATTCCCCCAGATTGCTGCATACAGTTCACTCCTTATCAGTCAGATCTCAGTTTAAATATCACCGCCTCAGTGAGGCTTTCCCAGACCATTTTATTCATTCTCTGACCCTTACCCTATTTTATTTTCTCTATATCCATTATTACACTCTGATCTTTTTTTTATTTCTTTACTTGTGTCATATCTGCCCCTTCTATTAATAGAAATGAGCTCCATGAGAGCAGGTAACTTGTCTATTATGACATTAGCTATCCCTGGCTGCTAGAACAGTGCATGGCATGTAGTAAGCATTTATTAAACATTAGCTGTTATTCATACTTCACAGCACACTTAGAAAGTAGGTACCATTATTATGCACGTGTTACAAATGAAGAAACTGAGACTCAAAGGAATTAAGTGACTTGGCCAAAATTATGCAACTGGGAAGTGTCATAGCCTGGGTTTGGTGCCAGTACTATCTGGCTCAAAAGCTGGTGCTCCTTGTACGATGCTATACTGCTTATTTCAGCTCCTTCTTCCAGACTGATCTAGCCTCAAATTGTCAGTTCCAACAAGGATTCCTCTGGGCGTCGGAGACAGGGAGAAGAAACAGAAATGTGGATATTGTCTGATCTGGCCACACCCAAGAGGCCTGGCCCTGGAACTGGTAGGGGAGGGAGGACAGGAGCTGTCACCTCCTGGGAGCTTTGGCTGGAAAACAGCCCTCTCCAGAGCTGCAAGCCAAGGCCTGGCCTCCCTCCAGCAAGGCCCTGTGAGCCCCGGCAGGCAGCAGGCGCTCTCAAACAGCAGGCCTCCGGTACCATGTATACTCAGGTGGACTTCCTTTTATGCAAAATTCCAACAGGCATACTGATAACTAACTTCATGTGTGGTGCTGTTCTAAATACTTTTCATGTATTAACTCACTGGTTCCCCAAATTAGCATCATGAGGTATGTATCATATTACCTCATGTAACTGATGAGGAGATTGAGGCCCAGGATGGTTAAGCAAACTGCTCAAGGTCACAAGGCTCAAGAATGGTGGAGGCAGGATATAAACTCACGTTATTTGACTTGAGTTTCCTTCTTTTACTTGCCACTCTACCCTGCATCTCAGCAATGGATTTGAGAATAAGTCTTCATTTACAAAAGTATTTACTACTGGATAGCTGTGCGACCTAAGCTCTAAACTCAAAGCTTTCTGGCCCTTAATTGCCTTATGTGCATAAATGGACAAGAATCAGCTTCTCTTCTATGTGTGTTCTTTAGAAAAACATGCTAATATGTATTATGGCGGGGGGCAGGGTTAAGCTAAATTAGGTGGAACTCTTTGCAGCAGGATTTATCAGTGCCTTTAATATGCTAATGTACAATGGGCCTCTTCAAGAGAGGAGCTGAGGATATAGCATTTCTCAAACTTTATTGAACACAGAACGATGTGGAATAGTATTCCATGGAACACAGATTGGTAAACACTCATTTTAGAAGTTTATTTGGGCTAGGCACAGTGGTTAATCCCTGTAATCTCAGCACTTTGGGAGGCTGAGACAGGAGGATCACTTGTGCCCAGGAGTTCAACACTAGCCTGGGCAACATAGCAAGACCCTGTCTCTTCAAAGAATTAATTTAAATAAAAAATAGCCAGGTGTAGGGGCACTCGCCTATAGTCCCAGCTACTCGGGAGGCTGAGGCAGAAGGGTCACTTGAGCCCAGGAGTTAGAGGCTGTAGTGAGCTATGATTGCCCCACTGTACTCCAGCCTGGGCAATATAGCAAGACCCAGTCTAAATATTAAAATAAAAAGAGTTGTTTGCAGGAAAAAAGTCATATTTCCTGAAATCGGAGAGAATTCTCTTCTTTCTCCCTATTTTCACCTGCTAGAAAAAAAGGAACTTATAAACAATCATCAACTCCTTCAAGCCTGCAGGAGACTTTTGGTTAATATGGAGATGAGGAAAGGGAACTCATTTGCTGAGCATTTACTATATGCCAGCTCTGTGACTAAGACTTAGATTTTTTTTCATGATTCTCAAAACAGCCCTTTGAAGGAGGTTTTATTTGAAGAAGGTAGGATAATGTTGCAGATGAAAATGTAGGCTTTGGAGTCTGATAAACATGAGTTTGCATCTTAGCTATGTTACTTGATAGCTATAGCTGTGTGAACTTGGGCAAGTTGCTTAACTGTTCTATGCTTCAGTTTTCTCCTTGGCAAAATGGATAACACAACATCTACCTAATATGGTTATCATGTGGCTTTGCTGATATAATGCATGAGAGGCACTTACATAGAATCTGCACATAGTAAGCATACAGTAAGAAGTCACTGCATTGCCGGGCGCTGTGGCTCACGCCTGTAATCCCAGCACTTTGGGAGGCCAAGGCGGGTGGATCACCTGAGGTTGGGAGTTCGAGACCAGCCTGACCAACATGGAGAAACCCCATCTCTACTAAAAACACAAAATTAGCCGGGCGTGGTGGCACAAGCCTGTACTCCCAGCTTCTCGGGAGGCTGAGGCAGGAGAATCGCTTGAACCCAGGAGGCGGAGGTCGTGGTGAGCCAAGATCATGCCATTTCACTCCAGCCTGGGCAACAACAGCAAAACTCCATCTCAACAACAACAACAACAACAACAAAAGAAGTCACTTTATTATATCATTATCCTCATCATTATTCGTGTTTTACAGATCATAGAGCAGAGACCCAGAAAGGGTAAGTAACTTACCTAACGCCACACAGCTATTGTGTGTGGCTAAATTGAGACCCCTACACAACCCCAAACCTGCTCTTTCTCTCCAGGATCCCTGAAGGAGGCTAAGCCAATTTTATCTGAACTTGCAAATAAAACCTCTCTTCCTCTCCATGCCTCACATCACATGCCACTCAGGAGTGAGTGGGAATTTCCCCTTGGAACTCAGACCCTACCACCCATGCATAAGCATTCAGACCCACTTGGCAACAGCATGCCCATGGCCTAAGGCCCTGACAAATGGGTCTGGAGAACTGAGAAAGTCCTGAACCTATAGGCAACCCTTTATGAGCCTCTCTATACAGGGAGCATTCCATAAATGCCATGGCCAGTGCACATGCTGTATGCATAAGAAGCCACATGGCCCCTGCTGTCAACCTGGGATCTTCCAAGTCCTAGCATAGGTGGGGGATGCCTCCGCGGCTGTCACAGGGGAGGGGCAGCAAAGAGACAACATGGAGGCCGAGGGGGCAAGGTTCTAGGCTCTGGGCCTGAATCAATGAAAGCAGTTGCTCTTGAAATAAGTTCATATGTTGCCCTTCCATGTAACTTTCTATTTGAAAAAAAGGCTTGCTGTCTACCCCCATATCACCAAAAAAAAAAAAAAAAAAAAAAAAGTTTTAAGCACCACTGATCTAGTTCTTCATTTCCATTGGGTATATTGGGAAGATAGGCCCAAATGGAAAGGAACTGCCACAGGTCCCAGTGTGTTAGTGACAGAACAGGGACCGGAACTGATATCTCCTGTCTGTTTTTATACCAGCCTGTCAAACAGCAGAGTCTGAGATGGTTGTTTGTTTGTTTGTTTGTTTGTTTGTTTGTTTTTAACTGAAAGGGAAAACAGAGCCTAAGTTTGTTGTTCATGTTCAAGTTAACTTTAGAATCAGTCTTCCCTCTGGCCACATTCAAAGCTCACTGTGTTCCCACCCTCCCTGTTCCCGTATACCAAATGCTGTAGGTCCACACAGGCCCAGGGGACGATCGTTAACTACAGTCCTCCTCAATCCTCCACCGGGAGATTTCTGCCCTTACGGTTGCCAGTGAGAAGCAAACGTCAGGAAACAAGGAAGACAGAGTGGCAGGTGCTTTGGGAACCTGCTTGAATCCCAGCTTAGCTACTTATTCTCTGTGTGAACCTGAGCAAGTCACTTCACCTCACAAAGTCTCACTGCCATCGGCTGTAAAATTTGGGTAACTTTATGAAGTTACCATGAAGGTATCCTAACATGGGGTTGCTGTAAGGCTCAGAGGCAATACACATAAAGAACCTGCAACATGGAAGTTGGGCAACAAGTAATAGTTCATATCAATATTATTGTTTTAACTATAGCTGGTTTTCGACAAGATCTGAAGTTCTTATACATACTTTAAGTGCATTAGGCTCTGTGCACACCCACATCAAGGCCAAGCAATGCTGCACTTCCACATACATGCGTTGACGTGAGCCCTGCCTTCTACAGTAATTTGACAGTCTTCCACCTGCAGGCAGATGTTCTGATGGGAGAATCCCATAGATGCAGTTGGATCAGCCTGAGAAGAAACTGGCTCTAGAATTAGTCTGCTGGGTTTTGTTATGGCTCCACTATTTAATAGAAGACAAGTTTCTCAACCTCCCTGAGCCTCAGTTTTCTTATCTCTAAAATGGGAATAATAGCAGTCCCTAATTCTTAGGCTTGTTTTGAGGATTAAATGGGATAATACCCGTGAAAACCTTAGTGCATTGGCTTATCTTTTAAAAGTGGCCAAAAACTATTAACTCATGACTTGTCCTAAAGTCTGTCCTTTCTTAGAAAGAAAGCAAAGAAACAGGCCAGGTGCGGTGGCTCATGCCTGTAATCCTAGCACTTTGGGAGGCCGAGGCAGGTGGATCACTTGAGGTCAGGAATTTGAGACCAGCCTGGCCAACATAGTGAAACCCTGTCTCTACTAAAAGTATAAAAATTAGCTGGGCATGGTGGCACACACCTGTAATCCCAGCTACTCTGGAGGCTGAGGTGAGAGAATTGCTTGAGCCTGGGTGTTGGAGGTTGCAGTGAGCTGAGATCACGCCACTGCACTCTAGCCTGGGTGATAGAGTGAGACCCTGTCTCCAAAAAAAGAAAAAAGAAAGAAAGCAAAGAGAGAGATAAAAGTGCTGGGTTGGGATTCCAGTGACTTTGAGTCAAGTACTGATTCTGCCACAAATTAGCTGAGTGGTGTTGGACATAACCTTGCCCCTCTCTGTATCTCAGTTTCCCCACAACTTCAAACAAAGGGGGTTGGATTAGGTGAGCCTCTTCAACTCTGACTCTGGCTAAGGGCCGACGAGAAGGTTATATAGTTGCCCCATGTTGTGTCTGGCTGGCCCCAGTCTTCCCATACAGAGGAGGGTCAGGAAGGGGACTAATCTTCAAACCAGTGGCCTCATCAAACCAGTGCCTTAGTTAAAGGAACTGCTGTGGGAATGCACAATCCCAGTTTGAAATTCTCTGTCACTGTGTGTGACCTTATGAAAGTCACTTCACGTCTCTGAGCCTCAGTTTCTTCATCTGTAGGATGGGATTTAAAGTGGTACCAGAGTAAGGAATTGTAAGAGCACATGAGGTAATATCTGCTAAGTGCTTAGCACACAGAACTCGGTAGAGTGGTGGGTTAGTAATCATTATCGATGCCAGTGGATCCCATCGTTAGGCATGGTGCTCTTCTTAGAACCAGAGCAAAAATACACTTGTCCATTCCAAGCCTTATTTCTGACGTCAGCAAAGCTATTTATGAGGACAGCAGCCATCCCAGGGACACACCTGAAAAGGGGTGGGCCAGCCTCTGCATGCTGACCATCCAGATTCCATGACTCCCTGTCAGCCTGAAGGAGGTGACAACCATCTGTCTTTCCCCACCCTACCCAGAAGACCAGCTCAGCAGGGCTGGGAAGGACTTCAGACTATATCTTGCGCGGTCCTCTTATCCAGGTTGGATGTAAGGAGAAGAGGTGAGACCTATCCAGGTCTCACTAGACCTAGGACTGCACGACAGTATGTGTAGTATTAAAAGAAGTATTTGGGTTTGATTCTTAGTTTCTCAACTTGCAGGCTAAGAGTCCTCACAGGACTTCAGTTTCCTCATCTGGAAAACAGGCTTAACAACAAAGTCTCTTACTAGGGTTGTTGCAAAGATTAAATGAAGATTAAACATAATGTGAGCCGCAGACGTAATGTCTCTCCTCTCTATTCCTGCTGTAGTGCTCTTTGACCATAGCACACTGGAAAGACGCAATGCACTGATTTCTGGATTTCCTTTCCATTGTGAAGCTGTATGGAGCAGCAGAGTTGTTCTGGAGTGCTATTGTGCCGAACTCCTATTCACCTCAATAGGGAAGGCACCAGGTTCAAGGGGCTGAAGAAGAGACCCAGAGCCAGCAAATGAGAGGTGGGGTTTGATTGGCAGCTTACATACAGGGAAGAAAGTCCAGTGGTGGTGAGCTGGACAGGAAAACCCGCCCACTGACAACAGGCTAGGACAGGTAAGGACACCACATCATCTTTACCTACAGAAAAGGTCCACTGGTGACAGGCTAGACACGATGTCCTCTTTACCTACAGTCCGGCCGCGGTGGGCTGGACAAGATAACCCAGTGGCGAAGGGCTGGGCAGGAAAACCACAACCACTTGCAAACCACATGCAGTTTATATTCCATCTTCACTTAACACCCTCCCCTTAACGACCTCCACCTGGCAACCTTCATCCAACTCAAACCTCAGGGCTTGGATCTTCTGTACAGCCCATATTCCATGGGATAGGCAAGGGGCTCAGATGTTCCTCATAGACAAGAAACGAGTCTCCAGGTTGGCTACTCCCAGATTCCCGAGCTTAGAACAGACATTCAGGTGTGTCTTCTGTACAGGCTCATTGTAAGCGTATGCTTAAGTTATTGCTACCAGGTGCATTTATCCTACAGGTGCCAGTCTGAAAACCTGACTGGGGCCCGGACTGCCTCTCTGTTGCTCTGTGACCTTCTGTTGGTCACTTTCCCTCTCTGGCACTCAGTTTCTTCCATTAACAGCACTGCCCAAAAGAAACATAACATGAGCTACATATGTAATTTTAAACAGTTTAGTAGCCACTTTATAAAGAGTGAAAAGAATAGGAAAAATAATTTAATAATGTTTTTACTTAGCCCAATGCATCCAAAATATTATCATTTTAACATGTAATCAATATTTAAAAATCATTAATGAGATTTTCCTTTTTTTTCCTTACTAAGTTTTTGAAATCTGAGTGGTTCTCAACCCAGAGTGATTTTGGCAATTGTCTGGGGGTGTTTTTGATTGTCAAAACTGGGGTGGGTGTCGGGGTGCAGGGGTGTGTGTGCCGCTGGCATCCAGAGGGTAGAGGCCAGGGGTGCTGCTAAACATTCTACGAGCACAGGACAGCCTCCAGCAACAAAGAACGATCTAGTCCAAAATGCTAACTGAGCCTGTTTTCTACTTATAGCACATCACGATTCAGATTAGCGGCTCATCAAGTTCTCAAAAGCCACATGCAGCTGGTAGCTGCCATATTGGACGGCACAGCTCTGTAACCTAAAACATCTGGACATGCACTTGGAAAAGTCAAGTTTTTAAAAACTTGGGTTTTGGTGAATTTGTTTTCCTACTCATCCCAGAATAACTGACCGAAAGAGCTGCGGCTGGGTCACCAGTCGCTGGCTGGCTAAGGGCAGAACCCATCTGTCCCTGGCTTGTTAGACCCTTCGTAAGCCACCCACCCTCCTCAGGGAGACTGAGCCTGGAACAGACAGTGAACCCTGTTGTTCTTTTCTGGGGAGACAAAGCTGCAGGCCCTGCTACCTGCCTGACAGGGCCATTGTGGCTAGAGGAGAAAAGGGCTTTGTCAGGAAGCAGCCGAGAAGACTGCAGTTCAATGGGGCCCTTTATGTCTACACTGGCAAGATGCTCTGATGCCAGCCCTGTTGAGGCCCAGCCCCCTTTTAGAACAGATGGGGAGCCTGAGGCCCAGTGAGGTTGTGAAAGTCCCTGCAGTGGATCCTAGCCTCCTTCCCCTCATGCCACTGCCCTAAAACATGAGATTCTCCTGACTCTGAAAAGGCCGGTCTTGAAGCATAGGATAAACTCAATATTGCCCTTAACCCCTGACAAGGAGGCCCCTTCCCTGACCCTAAAATTTAGAGGTTCCACAAATCACAAACACATACAAAAATAAATGCATTAAAGAACATATATGTGCATCTGTCTCTCAGGATCTGGGCTTAGCTCTGGCAACTACAATCTGAAACATCCTCTCTTGTGATTCAAAAAGGCCACTAAGAGAAGCCACTATTTAAAGTGTTCTCAACATACACGCATGTATGCACACACACGCACAATATAACTAAGTGAGGTGATAGATGTATTAATTAGCTTAATCGTCGTTATCATTCACGATGTACACCTATATCAAATCATTATGTTGTACATTTTAAATATATATAACTTTCATTTGTCAGTCATACTTCAATAAAGCGAGGAAGAAAAAAGGTCAGACCAGAGGGAAATACTCCGAATCTCTCACCCTATGTTCTTGGAATAAAAGCAGTCAAGTTTGAATGCAGTGAGGGTTTGAGGACTGTACCACTCCAGGTTCAGTGCTGACTCCGTTTTATAGCACAAGGAGGAGCTGAACAGCAGAAATGCTTAGAGAAGAGAAAGATAAGTTGAATTCTCTTGTCAAATTCTCCCTTGCAGGTAGCATGGATGCATATATTTTTTCATCATGAAGTCTCACTTCCGAATAGGGCCAATCATCTAGTGTCTTGCTGCTCTGTGTTCAAATTCATATAGTCTTGGAGGTGTTCCCCTCTACCTGAACGGTGGTACCACACACCTCCAAAGTTAGAGGCGGGCCTGGGCACACTCACCTGCAGACTTGGATATATTCTGTTGGCAATGGCTATGACTTCTGTCAACTAAAAGAAAATCAAGCTTTTAAGGAATTAAAGTTAGTTTTATTCAGAAGTCTTACTGAGGTTCTGTAATCCCAGCATTTTGGGAGGCCGGGGCAGGTGGAACACCTGAAGTCAGGAGTTTGAGATCAGCCTGGCTAACATGGTGAAACACTGTCTCTACTAAAAATACAAAAATTAGCTGGGCGTGGTGGTGGGCGCCTGTAATCCCAGCTACTCCGGAAGCTGAGGTGGGAGAATCGCTTGAACATGGGAGGCGGAGCTTGCAGTGAGCCGAGGTCGAGCCACTGCACTCCAGCCTGGGCAACAGAGTGAGACTCTGTCTCAAAAAAAAAAAAAAAAAAAAAAGCAGAAGTCTTACTGAGGACTAGAGACTGAAGACAAAGTCTGGGAGGAGTCTTTCAGAGAGGTCCTGTCCCACTGCTCTGAAACAGTGTTTTAGCTCATAGCTGATATACACGTAGCAGAAGTGCAGTATGTGCTCAAACATTACATCAAACTTGCTCAGAAGTTACAGTAAAGCAGAATCACATGAAAGTCTGGGTGCAAGAGTATATCTGGTTATAGATGATAGAGGCATAGTCACTAACCTTGTCAAACATTATCCTATGTGTAGGAATAGGCAAGGTCTAGGGTCATTTATCTTTTAAGAAATATAGTGTCTCAGGCAAAAGTTGTGGGGGCCTTGTGCTGTATCCTGCTTTGTTTTCAAAGCATTTTTCCAGAGAGGTGCACATCATTACAGAATCAAGGGCTTGTGAAATTATGCAGCAAGTAAAATGAGCAAACGTGGCTTGTTACATTTGCTGTGTCTCACATTTCCCTTTCTCTTTTAACCTCTCCCTTCCCCAACCCGATCCCGACCCCTTGGAGAAGGGGCTGTTGCATTTGACAAAGAAATTGATCCTTATGTAGAGTAAGCAACTTGTTTAAAGTCATCCAGCAAATTAGAGGAAGCCCCATGCTGGGAGAACCCATCCTTAGAGGCCCAGCTAGAGGTCCGCAAGTAGACAGTGGAGGGTCGTAGGTAGGAGGACAGGCTTGGGGTCAGAGCAGCTCGGTTTACACCTGGCACCCTCGTTCACTAGCTGTGCAACCTTGGGAGCAAGTGTCTCAGAGTATTTAAAGGACAGTTTTTTCTATTCCTATACAAGATGTTAACATTAAGGGAAGCTGGTGACAGGTATATGGGAACTCTCTATACTATTTTCGTAACTCTTCTATAAGTCTAAAATTATCTCATGATAAAATTTTTAAAAATAACAGTTTCCTCTTATCTGTAGCATGGAAAGAGTAAGGATATCTGTCTCCTAGGAGGCTTCGATGAGACAGTGCCTGGAAAGGGGTTAGCACAGTGTCTGGCCCATGCTGACGACTCCATACATAACAATTCTTAAAAGCTGCCTCCTCCAGGAAGCCGGTGAGCACCACTGGCAGAACCAATCACTGCTTTCTCAGTAGCCCCACACCCTCACTGCCCAGGAGCAGTTTATTTCAGTGTAAAATGCCAGGCGGCTTAATGTGACCACTGACAGCACGAGTTTGATCCTGGCTTTTCTGCTTCTCAGCTGAGATCCCCAGCAAGTTACTTGAGCACTTTGTGCCTCAGTTTCCTTTTGGTAAATAATAAAAGTCTGTACATTATAAGGCGGTCATGAAGATTAAATGAACTGGAATTTTTCAGCACTTAGAACTCTGCCTGGCCTATAGCAAACTCTACATACCTATTTTTATGCTCCAGGTCAGTGGTTTTCTAACTTGCTTTTTACTGTTACCCATAGTAACAAATATGCTTTCCATCACAACGTGTGTATGTGTGTGTGTGTATAAATAATTTTAAAGTGGTAATTTCAAAAACATTGGTCTCTAAGAGATGATCACATTTTGTTTCCCCCATTAAAATATAAGGTACTTGGGGGACAGGGAATAGTCTGACTCATTTTGGTCTCCAATCACTTCATTTCCTTCTTTCATTTAATTTACCAAGCTCCTATTATCTATTCATTAGACATAAATATATATTGAGCATTAACTCACTATGTACCTGTTACCTACCAGCACAGATCAGACCTGGGTTGAATCAATGAACGGGTAAGGCAAGGAAAGGAGGTCGCAGGGCAGAAGGCAGGGAGGAAGGGCAGGAGGGTGAAATGGAAGGAAGGGAGGAAAGGTGGAGGGGAGGAAGGAGAGGGGGAGGGTAGGAGGGCGAGAAGGAAGGAAAAGAAGGAACCCAGGTTCCCAATTGGCAGCAGTACCCACTTCCAACCCCTATGTTGCCACTTCCACCTCGGCAGGAAAGTTGCCCCTTCTCCAGCCATCTAGGTCCCCTGTACTCTTTCCCTGGGGATGGAGCTGGGTGCCGGTGCAGGCATCGGAGGAGCGGTGCCGGGGAACCCGCCTCCTCACCTCTTGCCCCTAGCACGGGGCGGTGACTCCAGAGCTGGGAGCCTGGCAGCGTCCTCACCCCAGGAAGGCATGCGCCCCTCTGCGGGCGGCCCCAGCCCTGGGCCCCCTGCCCCCGGAATTGCCCAAGATGCCGGGTGACTCCTCCCCGGGGACTCTCCCACTCTGGGACGCGTCACTCTCCCCACCCCTGGGTCCGGACCCCGGCGGCTTCTCGCGCGCGAGCCACGCGGGGGACAAGTCGCGGCCACCTGCTCCGGAGCTGGGGAGCCCGGGCGCCGTCCGCCCGCGCGTCGGTTCGTGTGCCCCGGGCCCCATGGAGCTGCGGGTCAGCAACACCAGCTGCGAGAACGGTGCGTACGGCAGGGCTGGGGACCAGGCGGGCTCCGCGCTTCGCGCCCTCCCCTCCTTGCCACCGCTCTCCCTCGCATCCTCTCCTCCCAGGGGGGCCAAAGCTGGGGAGGGGCAGGGCCAGCACGAGGTGGCTCCCACCCAGCTTTGAAGATCTGGGTTCTGGCTGAGACTTCACTTTCATCTTCGCAGCTGGGATGGCTGAGAGGAGTCAGGGAAGGAAAGTATGTCCCCTGGGTTGAGATGGGGGGTTAGTGGGGGGCAGGCATTTTGACGACAGCAGACACCCTGAGAGGTGGTGGGGGCGGGGGGAGGATTCTGTGTTTTTAATGTGTAGTTGCTTCAGGTTTTAGTACCTGCGCAGTTTGGGCTTTCTCTCTGGGTCAATGGGAGGACCATCACAGGACGGTCTTGTCTTTGGAAAAGAAAAAGAACCACAGGAAGGGGTAAAGAAAGACCCCTGACTTCCTATTGCGTTCTGACCATAAAGCAGGTAGTGGACTAGGCCCTTTACCCGCATTATCTCACTGAATCCTTAAAACAACTCTAGAAGGTAGGTAGGTATTATTATTTTACTATCTTGCTATCCCCACTCTAAAGATCCAGAAACTGAGGCTCTGAGCAGCTAATAATTTGCTCAAGGTAATACAGTGAGGAAATGGAATATAGATCCAAGGCTGGTGGACAGTAAAACCTCAACTCCTTCCTTGGTGTGGCTCCACTTTCCTACCTTGTCTTGGAACTGCAGGCTGTGGCATGTCCCTGTTTCTCTAACCTCTTCCCTTCTACAGTGAAGCTTTCAAAGCCAGCCTGTTAGGTGTCTGACTTTGGTTTCCTGAACAAGGCAGGCATTTTCAGCCTCACCTTTTCTCTAGGCCAGAATGTGTTCCCCAGTCCTAGCATATTCTGGAAGAGATAACAGGAATCATCTGGCCCATGCTCAGAATTGGATTACTTTGGCCATCAGCCCTCTGTCTTTTACTTTTCACTGCAGTGGGAGAACTTGACTCAATGGAGGATGCTCAGCCCTTGGGTGTTGCGGGCTTTACTGTGACAGCCAAGTCCATCCACAGAGGGTTCGTTGGCTCCATCTGCTAGAGGTGCACCTTCAGGGAGCAGGGGAAGGGCGTGGGGATGAGTTTGGTCTTCCTCTCAGGAGTCACCTCCCCTAGCCCATGTTCTCCCAGGTTCTGGCTCATTTCCTGGGCTCAGGGAACTCCCCAGATTCAGCTCTTGGGCAAGGAAGCCTGAGCTGGAGAAACAGGAATGAGCAGTGCAGAACAAGTCTGATTAGGGACTGAGATGCCTCTTGTCTCATCTTCCCTTGATTGTGACACGAGTTTTGGAAAGAGAGATATCACACTGCAAAAGACACATGGATGTGCCCCAGTGGGTGCTGGATCCAGATCTTTCACCAGATGTTGGGGTGACTTAAGCAAGCTCTTCCCTTTCTCAGGGCCTCAGTTTCCCCAGAAAAAATAAGAATTTAGACTGCTTTCTAAGGGCTCTTCAAGCTCTGTTATTCATGGGTCTGTGTCGTGGAAGAAAGGTCAACATTGCCTTTAGTCTGTTCCACCAAGATGCCACTCTGCCCTGCAGATGTGCCAGAGCCAGAGTTGCTTGACCATGGACTTTGGGGCCCTTCCAGGCACTGCCTGGGAGTTCTAGGTTGGTGGGAGAAATACTTGGTTGAGGCTTACATCCTTGGCATAGGGACCTGGGCCTTGGTGACACACAGCTTGAAAAAGGCTACCTCCAGAGGTAACAAACTCAGATGCCTACAAAGGCCAAGCACGTGCTAGAAATTACTGAAAGGAGCCAGATAAGACTCTTGGGGAACTGCAGAGAGTATGTCCTATTTTAGGGGGCAACACTGCCCAGCTGCAGCCAGTTGTTGCCTTAGAAGAGGGCCCAATATGGTAAGCAGATCTGATTTTTCACCGTAGCCTCCCATCTGAATTTTCATGGAAAATCTCCCAATTTTTAAATGTTTTCTATTTTAAAATACCTCTTAGGGCCAGGCACGGTGGCTCACGTCTGTAATCTTAGTGCTTTGGGAGGCTGAGGCAGGAGGATAGCTTGAGGCTAGGAGTTCAGACCACCCTCTGCAACATAGCAAGACCCCCATCTCTACACAAAAAAACAAAAACAAAAACAAACAAAAAGCCTCTTAGGAGGCCAGATGCTACCTGCTTTATTGAGGTGTGTGTGATGGTTAAGAGCCTGGGCTTTGGCATCAGATAAGCTTAGAATCTGACACTGGCTTCACTATTCAGTACCCATGTTTTGGCTTTGGGCAGGTTACTAAACTTATCAGAGCTTTGGTTTCTTCAACTAAAAGCCTATAAAAGATTGTTGTGCCTGCTTCCAAGTGGTCATTAGAAACCCTCCTGGAAAACCCCAGAGCAGAGGACCATGTGAGTAGTAGCACTGAAGAATTATTGGCTATTCTTTGCAGTTTCATTGAACTTATGTACTTCTTCTGACTGAGGGTCTGCCCTTGTGCCCAGGTTTGTTATCTGGCACGTGGTGGTACAAATTTGTTGTGGTCATGCAAAGAAAGCCCCTAACTAGCGTAAGCACTCACTGAACATAATTATTTTTAGGTGGAGGCACGGTATATGGGTATAGCCCTGCAGTAGCGGAAGCACAGGGTTTGAAACAGTGGCCAATTCCAATATTTTAAAAGTGTGCAATTGTCCCCAGTGTGACTCTCTCACTGTGGTCTTCCCATCCAGGTTCCCTGCTCCACCTCTACTGCTCCTCCCAAGAAGTCCTGTGCCAGATTGTCAATGACCTCAGCCCTGAGGTGCCCAGCAATGCCACCTTTCACAGCTGGCAGGAAAGAATCAGGCAGAACTATGGCTTCTACATCGGCCTGGGCCTGGCATTCCTGTCTAGCTTCCTCATCGGCAGCAGCGTCATCCTCAAGAAGAAAGGCCTCTTGCGACTCGTGGCCACGGGAGCCACTCGAGCTGGTAGGTTCCTGGGCCAGGAGAGGATAGGGCCCAGGGCAGCTGAGCTCTCACAAGGTCCGGGGCTGTAGTCTAAGAGGATGGCCTCAGCAAGGTACAAAAGGCTCATTGTCAACCCTATCTGGAATCCCACCTGCCAACAGGGTTAGGGTTTAGGGTTATAAAGGAAGGCCTCCAATAGGAGGTCTCAGTTTAGAGAGCAAACAGGATGCCTTCCTTTAGAATCCAATCTTTCCTGAGACCTTCATGATGTGTTTATTAGAGGAGGGAAGGGACAAGTCTCAGGACCAAGAATCAGATATGCATGTCTGGTCTTGGTCTTACTTCCCACCAACGTCATCACAGGCAAGTCACAGCTTCTCTGCAAAATGGGAATAGATACTTCTGCTCAGAACAATGTCAGACGCTGGTGTGCCCTCACTTAGCATCCAATTGAGCTCCCTTCTGGGCTGCCAAAAAATGGTGAACTGTCTGACCCCAAGGGATTTGCTTGTTTGGAAAATAAGATGTTTTTCCGTGAAACAGTGCTTGAGAAAAGGAATCCTGTGCAAAATGACTCATTCATTTAATCACCATTTATCACATGCCTGCTGTATGCCAGGGACAATGCTAGACATGGGGATTCAGTGTCCTCGTGGAACCTTCAGTCAAGTGGAAGAGACAGATGAGTCAATAGGCAGTTGTTTTATCATGTGTTAAGTGCCATCATGGGGAAAACACAGCCTGCTATGGGGGAATATTTTGGAGGGGTGTGTAAAGCCCAGACTTGGGGGATTAGGGGAGGTTTCTCTAGAAGAGATGATCTCTAAACTGAGACCTAGATTATGAGGAGACAGCAAGGTAAAAGGGGAAATAGGGAGACAGTGTTCCAGGCAGAAGGAATAACACGTGCAAAGGCTCAGAGGTGAGAGAACTTGAGTGATACTAGAAATCGAAAGTCATTCAGAATGGCAGGAGCAGGAGGGGTGCATGGTGAGTGAAGGGCCAGCTCATGAAGGGTCTTGTAAATGGAAGTACAGAGGCTGAGTGCAATTGTTAAGTGACTGAAAGGTTTTAGGAAGGCGAGTGACACAGTCTAATTTGCAATTTGAAAAGATCCCTGGTTGCTGGGTGAAGAACGGATTAGGGGACAAGCCTGGAGCCTGGGAAACCAAGTAGGTGAGTGAAAGGACAGAACTTGAGCCCGGGAGACGGAAATGGGAATGGAGACAACTGGTGGATTCCAAAGCTAGTTTTTGAAGGTAGAATTTACCAGCTTTGATACAGACCGGCTTCAAGCAAGGGAGGAGGGGCGGGGGAAGGAGTCAAGGATGACTCATGCTTTTGACTTGAGCAACTGGGGTGATGAAAGTGCTATTTCTTGAGATGAAGAGTGTAGAAGGAGGGACAGGTTTATGGGAAGATGATGCATTCAAGTTTGGACACGTTCAATTTAATGTTTTTGTGGGATATTGCACTTAGGAAGCAGACTATTAGGGTTCTAATTCTGGCTCCTCAATTCCTGGTGATTCAATTCTGGGCAAGAAAAGTATCTATTTCTATGCCTCAGTCTTCTCATCTATAAAATGGAGATAAGAATAGTACCAGCCTAAAGGGTTATAAGAAAATGCAACATAGTTAGAATCATACCTAGCACAGAGTAGCACTAGTATTGGTATTACTGTTATCTCAGTGAAAGGTTCCCACAGTTAGAGGTACTAGTGCACAGACTAGCACTAGTATTGGTATTACTGTTATCTCAGTGGGAGGTTCCCACAGTTAGAGGTACAGGTCTAGAGCCCATGTGTGCTGCAAAATGAATAGCTGTGAGGTGCAGAGATGAAGTCAGGAACAATGGTCATTGCCATTCCACCCTTCACTTCTAGACAAGTGTTGGAAAGGCCAGAGACCTTCCAGAGTGCCAGGGAAATTTCTGCTTGTGTTCAGAGAAGGTATCATTGACCATTCAGAAAGACAACTTCCCTGGAATCCATTTTTTTCTCCAATCTACTATTTCAGTATCTTCTGTGATTTCAACCCTTAGAGTAAAATGTTCTCAGAGTTCTTAACATTTATGGGAAATTCTGACCTTTTTAGGAACCTAATGAAAATAGGACACCTCTTCCTTAGAAAAGTGGGCATTCCCAAAAGCAACATAAATTTTTGGATTTTTATGAAACTGTCTCAAACCCATCTATCATCATCCATTATTATCATCATCGTTGTTGCTAATGTTACTGAGTATTGACTACGTGCCAGGTCCTGAACAAAGCAGACACAATTCCTGGCTTTGTGGAGCTTCCATTTTACTGGGGGAAATGTCATAAAATAAGAAGATCAACTAAAATTAAGAACAACAATGCCATGAAAGAGAAGAGCTGGGTGTTATGAGAGAACCCCAGCTGGGCACAGTCACTCACACCTGTAATCCCAGCACTTTGGGAGGCTGAGGTGTCAGGATCACTTGAGTCCGGGAGTTTGAGACCAGCCTGGGAAACATAGCAAGACCCCCATCTGTACAGAAAATTTTTTTCAATTAGCCAGGCATGGTGGCATATGACTAGTCCCAGCTACTCAGGAGGCTGAGGTGGGAGGATCCCTTGAGCCCAGGAGTTTGAGGCTTCATTGAGCTATGATCATGCCACTGCACATTCCAGCCTGGGTGACCGAGGGAGACCCTGCAGTGGAGGAGGGAGGGAAGGAAAAAGGTAAGGAAGAAAGGAGGGAGGAGGGAGGGAAGGAAGAGAGAGAGAAAGGAAGGAAGGAAAGGATGGTGGGAGGGAGGGAGAGAAGGAACTCCAACAGGAAATAATAGAAATCAGGGAGTCAGGGATGGCATCGTAGGGGAAGCAACATTCACACAGCAACCTGTAGAGTGAGTGTAAGTTTAGGCAAATAATAGAGTATTCTGGACACAGGGAAAGCATGTGCAAAGGCCTCGAGGCAGAAAAGAGCTCATCGTTTTTGGAGAGCTAAGAGAGAGGAGAAGAGTGGCAGGAGATGCACTTGGACAGGTGAGCAGGGCCAAAAGTATGCATGCTCTTGTTAAGGATTCTGGTCTTTATCCTGAGAGCACTCAGAAGCCATTGCCAGCCATAAGTTGCGGAGTGACATAATCTGATTTGCATTCTTAAAAGACGACTGGCTGCCATGAAAAGAAAAATAGGTTATTAAAGGGCCAAGAGTGGAACCAGAGTAACTATGAAGGAGGCTGTTGCCTCAACCTGAAGCAGGGATAACAGTGCCTTCGTGTAGCAGGTGGCAGCGGAGTGGACACATGCGAGATCTTTTTGGAGACAGAGTTATCAGGATGGACTGGATGCAGAAGGAGGGAGAGAAGAGTCAAAGAGCAATTCCCTGGTTTCTGGCTTAAGCAACTGGATAAATGAGAGTGCCACTTACTATGTTTCATTTGGCAGGTGGGTGGGGAACATTTAAAACCAAGAGCTCCATTTAGGACAGAAATTGAGATGCCTGTGAGGAATCCAAGAGGAGATGTGAAGTAAGCAGTTGGATATACACCTGGACTCAGAAGGAAGGTCCAGGCTACAGATATAGAGGCATCAGATATAGATGGTATTTAAAACTTTAGGAACAAATGAACCCACCCAGGAGAAGGCCCAGAACCAAGCCTCAAGGAGCAGCCCTTAGAGGCCGGGGAGTGAGCAGAGAGTTAGGAAAGGTACCTGAGAAAGTGTGGCCAAGTTCCATCCTAACTTTGTGTCCATTCCCTCCACAGTGGATGGAGGCTTCGGCTACCTGAAAGATGCAATGTGGTGGGCTGGATTTCTCACCAGTAAGTGGGTTGTTTGTTACTAATAACAGTGGCCTATTGATAGCAGGGCTGGAGACAAAGGGAGGGGTGGGTAGGGCATTTTTGTCTCTAGTATGGCAAGTGTGAATCTGAGGCCCAGATTCCCAGGGGAAAACCTTGACAACCTTTACAGGGAGAACATCTTACCATCAAAGTCAGTCTTCATCCATGAAGCGTCTACTCCCAGAGAGGTTTGCACAGAGCTGGCAACCATGAAGGTGTATTTTCTCAACTTGCCTTTAAACATAGCTCGATAATATCACTGCCTGTTGGTAGTGGACTCTTGACTTCTACATGGTAGAAGCTGGAACTCCTAGGCCAACTTCCCCCAGTCCGCAGGCAGTTAATGTGTTGGCCCACTTAGAACATAGCTGGTCCGTTACTTAAAGTTTGCCCAAATTTGCATACTCACACATTTCCCCCACTTTCCACCCACCCTCTCCTGCTATCAAACCCTGACTCTTTTAGGTGGAAAATTAACCAGGTTTCCATTCATAATCCCCTATGTCAAGTTTTGATCCTCGTCTCAGCCAGAGCTATCCCAGTGACCATCTGCTTTTAAAGGGGAGACCCAGGTGGTTCTCTATCAGCAGAGAGATGGAAAAAGACACTTTTCTGATAACCACACACAGCTATCACATATTGAGGGTTTACTGTCTGCTAAACTTTCTAAGTGTTATCCTGTGTATTAACTCAGGAGTTTACAAACTGGAAACTCAGATAGAGAGAAAGAACTTAGGCCCCTTGGGAATGTCAGATTTTTCTTTTCCTGCTAATTAATTAATTAATTTATTTATTGAGACGGAGTTTCACTCTTGTTGCCCAGGCTGGAGTGCAATGGTGCAATCTCAGCTCACAGCAACCTCTGCTTCCCGGGTTCAAGTGATTCTCCTACCTCGGCCTCCCGAGTAGCTGGGATTACAGGCATGCACCACCACGCCTGGCTAATTTTTTTTTTTTTTTGTATTTTTAGTAGAGACGGGGTTTCTCCGTGTTGGTCAGGCTGGTCTCGAACTCCCGACCTCAGGTGATACACCTGCCTCGGCCTCCCAAAGTGCTGGGATTACAGGTGTGAGGCAACGCGCCCAGCCAGAAATGTCAGATTTTTCTAACCACCTGCCTCTTAGTCCAGACTGTTGAAAATTCCCCTGGAAAAGAGGGGAAAAGTGGGGTCCATGGACCAATTGGTACCTGGAGAACCAATAATTGTAACTGTTTCTTCCTTTGATAATTAACACTTCCTAGAATTTAAATTAAAAATCTAGTCCAAAATACTGGCAGTCCCTGAGACAAATTTAACTGTGCCTGTCAGACTAGAAGCCAAGAGGCCTAAAGAACAAGAGGGCTTCTACACCATAAGCATGTCACGTGACCTTGGGCTTGGGGCCTTAGCTTCACCATCTTTAAAGTGGAAGGATCTGATCTGGACAGACTGGGACTGACCTTCGATCAGACTCTCCAGGGAGAGAGCGTATGGATCAAGATTTTAAGGAATGCTGGTCTGGGATTCTCCAGCTTGTTGCACACGGAATTATTCGTCTGGAATGGAGATGGTGCTTCTGCGCCATGCTAGCCTCTTTTCTCCCTTCGTTTCCTAGTGGCTGCTGGAGAAGTTGCCAACTTTGGAGCCTACGCATTTGCACCTGCAACAGTCGTCACGCCTCTGGGAGCGCTGAGTGTCCTCATAAGGTTATTGTCCCCTCTCTAGCTCTCTCTTTTTCTATTCCGTTTTCAGTTTGTTGAGGCCTGGAATTGCCAAGTGGGATCGACTGCCACTTGGCAATCAGGGACCTGGGTTGGTCTCAGCCTCCAGAAAGAGGCAGTGTGCTGTCCAGAGCTATAGACCCTGGGAATGTTTGCTGCCTCTTGCCCTAGCATCCCCTTGACTGGGTAATAGAGAGGCAGGCCAAGCCCAAAGCAGTTGGAAGGGCTTCCACCGTCACCAGGGTGAACGGCGCATGTCACTATTTTGGTGCCGTGATAGATGCAGCATACAAGTTAAGAGCATGTGCTCCGGATTAATGCTGCCTGAGTTCTAATCCTCGCTCTGCCACTTAGTAGTCACGTTACCATAGGCAAGTCATTTAAGCCACTTAGTCACTCGAAGCCTCATTTTTCCCATCTGCAAAATGGGGATGCCAATAATACCCACTGGGGGGCATTGTTCTGAGGATTTAATGAGATAATGCACAGAAAATGCACAGTACAGAGCTGGGACCAAACAATAACCACAGCTATCACATAGTAGGGGCTTAGTATGTGCTGAACATTCTGAATGTATCATGCATATTAACTCATTTAATTTTCACAGCATCCCTAGCTGAGCCCAACAGAGGTTAAGCAACTTGGCCAAAGTTACCAGCTTCTAAGAGGCCAGGCCAGGATTCTAACCCAGGCAGTCTTAATTCCAGAGTCAGTGGGCTTAATTGCTATGCCACATTGCCTCTCAAGTAAACACTCAACAAATGTTTGATAGTTTTAAAAATAATTGATACTAAATGTCTGTGCTTCCCACTGCCCCTAGTCCCCCTGAGCTACAAACACAGAGCCAGCTCCTCTGTGGGGGTCCTGGAGCCCTATTTGAAGGAGACTCTGATTGTTGGCGTAACCTTGGAACGCCGGTAAATTGTAGCAGACCACACCCAGTACCCATCATTTGTTTTACCATCTTGATGAAAATTTTGCAACATTTACACACTCAAAAAACAAATAGAACTCATGCTGTACAACTCGCCTGATTCATGCTGTATAACTGGCCTAACACAGCTGATGTAGCTGTGGTACCATAATTGCATATCTGATTAGTTTGCAAATTCCTACCCGGGGGAAGTTGGGAGAGCCATAAAATCCTCCAGTGTGTGGCCCCTGCCTGCATGAATAATCTCTTGAATGGGACATTGCGGCCAAAATATTTTTGGTAGTTTCAGAGGAAAGACGGAAGACAGACAAGAGAGCTTAGATATCAATCTCCTCTCTCCTGACAACTTGAACCAGGATTTTTAAGGCTAAAAATAGCCAATGTCCTGAGATAGCCAATAGGTTTTTACCCTAAACTAAGCCACCTTCATGAAGAGACAGAAGCATGCCCCCGTGATTATACGAGGCTTGCCTGTGATTTTTTTTCCCTTCCTCTCTTGCTTCTGCTGGCTCGCCTCGAGGATATGAGGGGAATAGAAATCATGTCACCACGGTGCAGCAAGGAACTGGAGATAATTTGCCCAGAAATTGAAGACTCAGGGAAGTCACAAGGATCCTCTTCAACGAGGCATAGAAGAAAACCCATGAGCTTTATAATTAGAAAGGACTCGAGCTCAATTCCTGGTTCCACTACTTGCTAGTCATTTGACCTTGCCAAGTCATTTTAACTTCTTTGAGATTCAGTCTTCTCATTTATCAACTGGAGATAGTATATTTCACTTTGCAAAGAGTTATGAGATGCTAGTGTGATAGACGGGAAGTTCCTAGCACCATACATAGTAGGTAATAAATGCCTAAGACATGGTACCTGTGATTGTCACTGAGGTTGTTTACACTGGCTTATACAAATGAAATAATAGGTGTGTTATGAATGACCCGAGGAGCAGAGATAGAGCAAAAAATAGAAATTACCAGAAGGCATATTTTTGGTAAATGATTAGAGCAAACCTACAATGGCCTCATTTGGCTTGTGAAGGGGTGGGCTCCCTGCCACCAGAGGTATCTATAAGCCAAAGCTGAGAGCCATCTGTTGGCAGTGCTAAGAGAGGATGTGTCCATTGGGAAGGCAGTTAGACAAGAGCATTTTGAAGTGTTCTTCCAACTCTTCTGTTTGGGAATACTTTCAGTCTCTAAAATGGAAGAAATTCACCTGCATTTCTATTCCTCCAGCAAATATTGTAACACTCCCAGAAATGAGTTTCTATATCAAACATTTTTTGGCCCCAGCTCAGGAGGACTGGGGGCAGTGGGAAGCACAGATATTTCGTATGAACTGTTTTTAAAACTATCAGACATTTGATGAGGGTTTATTTCAGTGGCAATGTGGCATAGCAGTTAAGCCCCCTGACTCTGGAATTAGACTGCCTGGGTTAGAATTCCAGCCTGGCCTCTTAGAACCTGGTGACCCTGGCCAAGTTGCTTAACCTCTCTTGGCCTCAGCTAGGGATGCTGTGAGGATTAAATGAGTTAATATGCGGGATACATTCAGAATGTTCAGCACATACTAAGCCCTCCATATGTGACAGCTGTGTTTATTCTTCAGTACCAGCTCTGTACTGTGCATTTTCTGTGCATTATCTCATTTAGTTCCTGAGAACAATGTCTCCCGTGGATATTATTAGCATCCCCATTTTGCAGATGGGGACAATGAGGCTTAGGGAGGTCACATGATTTGCCCATGGTAACGTAAGTTTTTTTGGAAGAAAACCTTCCACGTGAGAAACTAGTGAGTTCTGATCTGTTGTTCTCTGTGAGTGCTTGCTCAGGCCCCATTTTCTTTGGGACTCTGGGACAGGCATGGCTGCTCTAATCCCCTTCTCCCATTTCCACGTGCAGTGCCATCCTCTCCTCATATTTCCTGAGGGAGAGTCTGAACCTGCTGGGGAAGCTGGGCTGTGTGATCTGTGTGGCCGGAAGCACAGTGATGGTGATACATGCTCCTGAGGAAGAGAAGGTCACTACCATCATGGAGATGGCTTCCAAGATGAAAGACACAGGTAGACTCCAAGCCCCTGAAGAGCAGGAAAATACTGGAGGTTGAACACCCCCTACTACCCCACAAAAGGTCAGGTTGGGTTCTGACCACCTCAGGTGCTGCCACCTAGAGGAGAAGGCAAGCTAAAGAAGAAATGTTAATGGGCTGGTACTTGTTAGCAAGGCTAGCTTAAAGGCTTCCTGGCCTGATATGTATGGGTACCATTAATAAGTGTTTATTATGTGCCAGGCACTGTTATGAATGCTTTATATACATTATCTCACTGAATCCCACAGAACAGCTTTATGAGGATGATCCTATTGTTGGTCCTCTTTTACAAATGGGGAAACTGAGTTTTTGGGGGTTTAAAAACCTAACCAAGTTATTAGGAAGTCATGAAGCTGGGACTGGAACCCGGGTTTGTCTGACTCTAGAGCCCACGATCTTAATGCTACCTCCCACTGCCATGAGTCTGGGCCCTAGACATTGCCTGCACCCTCCACAGCCAAGTGATCCTTCTCTCTCTCCTCCCAAAGGGTTCATCGTGTTTGCTGTGCTTCTGCTGGTGTCATGCCTCATCCTCATCTTTGTCATTGCCCCACGTTACGGGCAAAGGAATATCCTCATCTACATCATCATCTGCTCTGTGATCGGGGCCTTCTCTGTGGCTGCTGTCAAGGGGCTGGGCATCACCATCAAGAACTTCTTCCAGGGGCTGCCAGTTGTCCGGCACCCGCTCCCCTACATCCTGTCCCTCATCCTGGCACTGTCCCTCAGCACTCAGGTCAACTTCCTCAACAGAGCACTGGACATTTTCAACACTTCCCTGGTGTTCCCCATCTACTACGTGTTCTTCACCACGGTGGTCGTTACCTCGTCCATCATCCTCTTCAAGGAGTGGTACAGCATGTCTGCTGTGGACATTGCAGGCACCCTCTCGGGCTTTGTCACCATCATCTTGGGCGTGTTCATGCTGCATGCTTTCAAAGACCTGGACATCAGCTGCGCCAGCTTGCCCCACATGCACAAAAACCCACCCCCTTCTCCCGCCCCGGAACCCACTGTTATTAGACTGGAAGACAAGAACGTCCTTGTGGACAATATAGAACTTGCCAGCACCTCATCACCAGAAGAGAAACCCAAAGTATTTATAATCCATTCCTGAAGCTTGGAATATGTGAGTGAGAGGATGAGTCCGATGGTACAGCCTGCCCTCCCAATTTCAAAACCACCTGGTTATTTTCCAGTGCAACTGTTACCAATGGGCTCTCTTTTCTTGAGAAGTTCATTTATACCTCATCACTGTTTCCAGGAGAAAAATCTTTACCCAAATAGCAATGGTGGCAGAACTTCCTGGAAACAGATTCAGTGACCAAATACCCAAGTTTACATCAGTGCCTGCAGGTTCCCTGGACCTTCCTTCTCATTCATTCTTTCGGTGCCATCTCTATGCCGTTGGGAAGAAGATGGAGTCTGACCCACTGAATGTAGCACAGTCCAAGGACTTCTCTAAGATATTGGTCATTGGAAGTTCCTTCACACCAATTCTCCTCCTGAGACGGAATCTCCGTTGTTGTTGTTGTTGTTGTTTTCTAGCCCAAGGATGACATAGAGCTGGCTCCCAGAGGCCCACAGAGCAATTGGCCATGCCTCCCTATCCAGAGCTGACAGGGACACAACCAGTGTAAAATATCCTGTTGCCTTTGTCACTTCCTCTTTGGAGGCAGAAGCAAGACCTCAGCTGACCTTCTTACTGTGAAAGCCACTTGATGTCTCAGGGAAAAATTTCAACCAGCTCATTCCCCGAGCACTCCAGCCTGGCAGTCAGCACCTCGGCATCCACCCAGTCCATCCCACCATCACCCCTTCCCCCTCTACTTACATCCTAAGGAGTCGGTCACTGAGACATAAAGGCAGTAATCGCAGAACTGGAAACAAAACAATAATAGAGCCACAGCCAAACTCTGGTGGCCAAACCCAGTGTTGCATTTTGTCTTACTCTGAAAGAAGAACAGCAAATTCACTGCTTCAAAGTGGCCTGGCTGCCAAGCTAGAATTTGGCAGAACGCACTTTACTATTCCTCAAGGAGTCAACCAACCTATGATCTGGGGAGGTGGGAAGAGGATGAGGAGCAAAGTTGGGATTTGGCAGAAGGCAGTCCCAGGCTCTCTGGATACTAGGGGCTAACTTTTGTGTTGACTCTGGTGCTCATCTGGGAACTTAGGAGAAACGAGCTCAGGGGTAATTTCTGGGTTGCAGCCTTAAAGGCTTGGACAGCTGTGAATCTCAATGGCCAACTGGAGGTGCAGACTTGGCATGGGGTGCATTCTAGCTGTTGACCAGATTGCTACCGAGTCCCCTCCTCCACTGATGAGCTGCCCACACTGGGAAGCAGCATGCCCTGACTGTTCCAACACCACCTGCTATGGGGAGTACCTTTGGTCCCCTCACATTTGGCCAGAGGCATACAAAAAACCAGAGCAGCTGGAGAGGGAGATAATTACTATTCCTTCCCTTCCTATCTCCTTTCTAGCCACAAGAGTGTGGGGGTTGGAGAAGAACCATTAGAAAGGGAAATTAGTGGGCTGGTGTATCTGGAAAGAGGGAAGACTTGATCCTCAGCCCCGAGGTTGGTGCAGGGCCTCCCCTGTGTGACTCTACCTGCACTCTGTGTTTATATCCTGTGCCCTAAGTGGGCCAAGCCCAGGTAAATTCCTGCTGGCCTTGGAACTCCAAGGTTTGGCTGACCAGCAGACTGGCTCCCTGACTCTTCAGCCTCAAATCCCCAGTTTTTGATGAATGTGGATTTCTGTCTGTAATTAAAAGCAATGCAACAAGTTGGCTCTTGAGAATGGCAGTAAACTGAGGGCCCTAAGAGTGTGGTCTGCAGGGTCAAGAATAAAGATTACAGATTATATTTACTTGATACTTGTGTCTTGACCTTCCTTGAGCATGGAGTGATTAAACTGGTTTTTCTAGGGCTGGAAGGACAGTCTCCAATCTCTGAATGAATGCGACTGCCAATAAAGCCCCTACCGTGTCTGTGGTAGTTAACACCCTTGGTAGAGTGGGAAAGATAGTTTCAGAAATAGAGTCAGTTGAAGACAACTCATCCCTAGTTAACACCTGAGCCCTTACCAGGCACCAGGCATAGTAGGTGCTTCCTGTGAATTCTCTTTAACTCCTCACAAATCCTCAAGTTAGATACGTTTTTATTCCCATTTATATAATTGCCCAAGGTCACCCAGCCAGGAAGAGCAAAGCTGATATCTGGTTTAACCACCAGGCGTAATGTGTCTCTCCAAGACTAACCTTGCCCCCAGTTGCATAATCTGTTTTGGTTTTTTGTGTTTTGAGACAGGGTCTGGCTCTGTCCCCCAGGCTGGAGGGCAGTGGTGTGATCCTAGCTCACTACAGCTTCAAACTCCCAGGCTCAGATTTGGTAAAAATGAGGCCTTGCTATGTTACCCAGGCTGGTCTCAAAACTCCTTTCCTAAAGTGATCTTCCCACCTTGGCCTCCCAAAATGCTGAGATTTTAGGCCTGAGCCACTGTGCCTTGTGCATAATCTGCTACTACTTTATTCATTTATTTTCTTGTGATCTGTGCTCTTTCCCCATCTGGATATAAGCTTCATGAGAGTTGGCTTTGATTTACTGCTTATCCTCAGTGCCTAGCACATCATACGCACTAAAAGAATAAAAGAAAAAGAAAAGATTGAAGGAACAATATCACAGTCCTTCCTTGCCCAAACTCTCCTGGGGACCAGCACTCAATGCAAGGCAGATCCTAATAGAACTCTGCATGTTAAGCAAAGCAACTGTAAACTGATGTAGTCAGCAGTTTCTCAGCACATAGCCTGCGACAGGCCCTGTTGGGGACTTGCACATACAGAATTTCATTGATGATCACGACACTTTTGAGGCAGGTATATTATTTGTATAGTGAAGAGACTCAGAAATCTGGAACTTATCCAGGCCCACTTATCTATTGAGTAGCAAGCAGAGTGAGGACTTCAACCAGGGTCTGCCCAACCAGGCTTTCTCCATTATGCTAGTGACCAACACGTGAGCATCACCCCAGAGACTGGCTGACAGCAGGGGAAGAGTGGCCTCTTAACCAGGTAGGGATGTGTGAGTGGGAAGCAATTTCATGAGCAGGCATGTTAGTAGTGAAAGCATTTGTGTTTAGATGTCTTTAGGGTCCATAGGCAACCTCATAACCATGAGAGGTTAGAAAAATATAATCAGGCTGGGTGCGGTGGCTCACGCCTGTAATCCCAACACTTCAGGAGGCTGAGGCGAATGGATCACTTGAGGTCATCTCTACTAAAAATACAAAAATTAGGCGTGGTGGTGGGCACCTGTAATCCCAGCTACTCAGGAGGCTGAGGCATGAGAATTGCTTGAGCCCGGGAGGCGGAGGTTGCAGTGAGCTGAGATTGCACCACTGCACCCCAGCCTGGGTGACAGAGAGAGACTCCGTCTTAAAAAAAAAAAAAAAAAGTAAAATCAGAGAGCAAGAAGCCTCTCTCAGGGTTTTTGTGAAGATTAAACGAGATAATCCTTATTTGTAAACAGCATGCAGTGAGTGGCTCACGTATGTTAAATACAGCTGTTCCTTGGTATCTGCAGGGGATTGGTTCCAGGACCCCCATGGATAACAAAATCTAAGGATGGCCAAGTCCCTTATATAAAATGGTATAGTATTTGCATATAACCTACATATATCCTCCCATATACTTTAAATCATCTCCAGATTTCTATAATACCTAATACAATGTAAACGCTGTGTAAATCGTTGTTATACCGTATTTTTAAATTGTATTACTTTTTATGGTTGTACTTTTTTTTTTTTCAAATATTTCAACCTGCTGTTGGTTGAATCCATGAATTTGAAACCCACGGATATGGGGGGCCGACTGTACTGAGTAACTGTTACCTTCGATCATGGTTATTAATCCTCCATCTCTCTGAGAGAACCTCAAAATTGAGGTAGGGATCAATGAGAGAATAAGGGTGGGATCCTTTTATGGACTGGGAAGCACTAATGAATACGAGCTGTGATATCACGCAGGGTTCTGGAATCAGAAAGCACACCCAACCTTATCCCTGGCTGTGCCTGCCTACCCAGCCCAAGAGACCTGGGGCAAGTGTCTCCCCTCTTTAAAGTATGATCCCTTGCCTTAATAAGATGAGGAGGTGAGCAGAGGCTCTCAGCTGTCTTCTATATGCAGTAGTGTAGGATGAGAAAAAACATATCGAAGAATCTCAGGATCATTCAGGCCTTTAATAAGCAGCCTGCGTCCAGGTGTAAAGACAAACAGCCCCCTCTACTGGTCATAGGAAAACATAGGCTTTGCTGTGGCTCAGGGTCCACCATGAAGGCTTTATAGGCTGAACTGACCATCCTTGTGGGAACTCTTTCTGAAGTCCACGTCATGAATCCTATCTAATCTGAGCAGTAGGACATTACAACAAACACACAATAAAGAGCTGCCAAACCAGATAACATTGCAAATGACAAACAATTCATTTTTAATTAAATACTAACAAGGAAAAAAGGCACCATGGCCCATTCAAGTATTTTGCATAGATGTACAAATATTGTAAACAATTAATAGGTGGACAAGAGAGAAGAAGATCTGTTTTCCGTGAACAATCTCCCAAATAAAAAGAAAATTCACATTGCCCTGGATCCCAGACACATACAAACGCACAGTGGACGGTGTGAGAGGACGCGTTGGGGGTGACTTTGGAAATGTGGGCTTGGATTCTACAGAACCTCTCCTTCGCAGGCTCCCCTGGGGAAGGGGACCTTTCCAGTTGGCGTTCCCATGGCTTTCTTGGGTGTCCAGCAGAGCTGTTATACACGTGGTTAACACAATTACTGACTTTGGAACTGGTCCCCAGTTTTCAAATTGCAAGTCTTCCATACCCTCTGTCAAATAAGAATAAATTAGGAAGTAGGCAGGGAGAGACTTCCAATAAAGATTGGAAAGGCGTATTGCAGGAGGTGGGGAGGGGCTATTGCTTCAGGGGGAAGGGACTATGGCAATACAAAAAAACACTCCAACCAGAAAATCAGCAAGTCTCAGACCTTAAGATCTGCAAGTGTCTCAGAGCTGGGGCAGAAAAAGGCTTTACTTTTATAGGGAGAAGTCAGCAAGGCTGAAAGGAATCTATGGCTAGCAGGCAGTTACAAGATTGAGCCAGGTGCCCAGGCTAAGGCTTCTAGAGACAGGGAGACAGGGCACTAAATCCCTTGAGGTTTGTTTTAGAGATGGCTCCAAGGCCCTTAAAAAAAAATTCTTGGGTTGTAAAATTGGCAGGAGGTTAATTTCACTTTTAAAAAGATTTACCTACATCCCCATCTGCACAAAGAGCTTGCTAACTCACTAACCCAAACTTGAGTTAAGCTTCCCTCCTCCCCACCAGACCCTGGACTTTGGGCCATCCTCAGCCTGAGCCAGCAAACAGCCCCTCCCCTGGAGACAAAAAAAAAAAAAAAAAAAAAAAGGCTGGGCACAACGTCATTCCCTGAACGTGGTTCTTTCTAGCCATGTTTACTTCTTCCAATAAAAGAAAAGTCCTTTTCTGCCTGGGCTTTGAGACGCTTGCAGATCTTGCCATCGGTCGGTCTGAGCCTTTTCACTATTCCCATAAGGCCCCTTCCTCTCCCTTTTGCAATATTCCCTTTCCCCTTCTGCAATCGTGCTTTGGAATAAGGTCTCTCCTTCCCTAAGCCCAGATTTATTTGTATTTGACACCTCAAAACAGCATACTGGGCACTGGAAAGAAAAGGGGATGCATAATGGCCAGTCTTCCTCCTGGGCAGCCTCCCTGAACAGAGCCAGGAGTGAAGCATTAGTAGAACTGGTTGCCGAAAGTCTATCAAATTCCAAAACATTCCACCATCTTCCAGTTCACAGTACAACTTTATGGGATGGAGGTGATATGAAAATAATAAAACAAAACAAAACAAAAAGCAAGAAAACGACAACCCAGGTCTCTTTCTGGTGTGGTTCCAGGGAGGGTGGACTGCAGGTTCAGATGGCTCATGCAGTCACTATGGCTGTGGCGCTGTCATTTCAGAGCTATCTACCTCCTGATGTGAGGGAGAAAGGCTGGAGAAGCCACAGGAAGCTCTGTGAGGCATGGGGTTGGGTTTTGAGGATGTTGCTTGTTTGTTTTGCAGAGGGGTGAAAGGGGATGTTTTCACCTTTACTTTCCAGGAACCAAGCCTTGAGGCAGAGGGTAGCACATTTAAATAAAAGGTTGGGCCACAGGAAAGGTGGGGAATGGATCTCCACAGCAAGGATGACCCACAGCAAGGATGACCCACGGCAAGGACATGGGGAACCTGTATCACAGCCACCCTGAGGGAAGAGAAACTCATTTTCCTGAGATCTTTCTAAACCCAACCCAGGCTTTTCCCCCAGGGGTACATCCCGTATTTTCCACTTATTTCCAAACCCAAGAACATCCAAGAAGCACCTATTGTGTGCAGAGAACTATAAGGAGGCCCTGGGGTGGTGAATCAGAAGCTCAGCCTCAGCCTTGCAGTGAGGTTTTCAAGAGCAAACAATTGCTCATGGCAGGATGGGAGGAGGCCCCAGGAAAGCCTCAGAGGAGTGAGAGTCAGGCCAGCTCCTGTCCGGAGAGCCACCCAGCACCTTTGTGGAGTGGGAGTCTATCTCCCAGCAAACATCTCCAGGTGCTTTGCAAAAACCGTCCTATCTAGCAAAGCACCACACGGCCCTCCTTCCCTGCTGCAGGGAAGACAGGAGCCACCGCAGACCCCCTCACCTGCTCAGAGCTCTCTTTCTGTGAGGGTCAGGTAAGGGCAGTGACCAGAGAGAGAACAAAAGGAAGTGAATGACAAAAAGCTGGGTTGAGGAAGAGGCTCCCTGCTCTGACTGTTCCAGTGCAGCTGCTGCTGGCTGCCTTCTCCAGTGATCTCGGGCAGCTCCCAGAAATGGGTCTGTTCTCTGCTCAGAGGGCAACGGTCCAGCCCGAAGTCAATGACCAGCCTGCTCCCTCGTGTGTACTTTGTAAATAGCTGGGCTCCCTAAGGGGAAACCTCACCTAGATTTAGCTTAGAGTAAGGAGGAAGACCCCCACCCTGCTGAGGTCACAAAACACAATGAAAAATAAACATATGACCCCAATGGCCATGCCCCAAGTCTACTCTGGTCACACTCCTGAGAGCCAGTGAGGGAAATCCAGTGGCCGACTGTGAGAGAGGACTCTGACTTGTAGGTCACAAGCACCTGGTCACCCGAAGGTCAGGACTGCTGAGGGTTTGCTCACCAAAGCACCACACATTAGAGGGAGAATGAGAGGGGAAGGAAGAGAGAAAAGCGTGGGGCACCAGGAAAGTGCGGCAGAGAAAACAAAGAGCAACTAAAAATTATCCAGAGTCAGGAGTCGCAACCTTTGGCATCACGGCTCAGAGGAAGCCCAAGCCCGGTGCTCCTCCTGCTGTCTACACTGCCTACGAATAGTACCTGTCTGAGTCAGAGTGACCCGTGTGAATACAGGGATGCAGGGGTTTGGGGAGAGGTGGGAGGGGACGTGGCTTGTCACATGCAGCCATACAGCCAGAAGCCGTTCCCTCAACCAAGCCCTGGGCAGGGCCACAGCAGTGGCTGGCTTGACCCTTCCTTAATCCCTAAAAGCTAAAAGGGGTGGGTAAGTACCAGCCTCCATCCAGCCCGGGACCTCTGAGGAGAGCAGAAGCAATGGGAAGCTCTCTTGCGTGCCCTGCACCCCAGGAGTGAATGGATGGCTTCTGCAAGCGAAGTGCTGGCCTGAGGGGCTTGCTGGCCTTGAGCATCTCCATCAGCACCTCGGGGCTAGGAGTCTGGAGGAGAAGCTGCCAGTCACCCTCCTCATACTCTCCCCTCCCTACCTGGGGCTGTATATTGCACAAAACAACACCTAGAGGCCATCAGATCATAGTCCCTCTGGGCTTCCAAGGAAGCCGAGGAGGCACTGAGTCAACAGGGAGATTTTTGGAGATGTGGAGGTTCCTGGAGGAGGGTGGGAGGAGCTCAGAGGCGGCCAGACATGCTTCTTCAGGGTTCCATGGCCATGGGTCCTCTGCAGTGTCCAGAGAGCTCAAGGAAAGGGAGAAGCCCCTTGGACAGGTCTAGATTTTCGAGCTAATCATCCCTCCAGCCCTCTGTGATCTGTATTCTGGAAACTGGGAAGAAAAAGAAGGGAGGGAGAGAGACATCAGCTTGATGCTGATCAATGGGATCAAGGGGGCAGCCATCCTCCCGATTTTAGAAGGAAGGATGGACCACCCACTGAGAACAAAGGCTTCTTGTGAAGTCCATCCATGTGTCCACTCACCCAGACCATCAGCCCTGCAGGAAGGGGTGTGGTAGGTGCCCCTATCTCAAGCTGACCAGCCACCCCTCCCTCTTCCCTTCCCTGCTAAGGCAGCAGCACAGTCCATAGTTTTCTCAATGCCTCGTGGGAATACAGCATGGTCAGCCAGCTTCTTCACCTCATCCCTTTCTGACCTGACTGCCAAGACTGGCAAACTGAGACTGTCAGCCACACAGAAGAAGTACGAGGAGGGGCCAAGTGTACACAGCCTCCCGCAGGCCAGGTGGCTTCTACTAATGCACTTCCTTGCTCTTCACAACAACCTGATGGGGCTGGTACTACTGCTCATCATAGCCTCTGTACAAATGAGGAAACAGACTCAAGAGGGACTTGCTCAGGGTCCCTCCCCAGGTCAGGTGCAGGGGCAGGACTGAAGCCACCACAGCTCAGGATTCTAAGAATCACCTTTCACATGAAGCCAAAACTCCACAGTCAAGCGGGCACCAAGAAACATGAATGTTTTGCCCTTGGCTTTTGTTCTGGAAGTTCAGTCCAGACCACAAGAAGCATGAATTGCTTTGTTTTCTCAACTCTACACCTGCCCCCCTGGAGCCCTCTGGTACCAGCTTTCACCTTGAGGGCTTCCCGTGGACTCACCTTTGGGGCAAGTGCTGCCAGAGGCCGGGACTGCTGAGGGCCAGCACCAGGGGGCCGCAGTGGGGATGCACCTCCTGGCCTGGGGAGGCTCCTGCGGCCTGGCACTGGGTTTGCCGGGAGTGCCTTCTGGGGCGGCCGAGGCCTGGAGAAGTCCTGGAGAGAAAGCAATAAGCCTCACTTGAAGGCCAGAGGCCTGTTTGAAAGAAAATATCCCTGATATCTTACAGGTTAAAATCAGATAGATAAAAGTTATATACTGTATGGTCCCATTTAGAAAGAAACTGTATGTATAATGTGTTTATATTCTCAAGAGGAAGTCAGGAGAGCAAGCTGGCAGTATCTATTAAAATTACAAATAACCAGTGAAGATGATCTTTTTTTCATATGTTTGTTGGCTGCATAAATGTCTTCTTTTGAGAAGTGTCTGTTCATATCTTTCACCCACTTTTTGATAGGGTTGTTTGATTTTTTCTTGTAAATCTGTTTAAGTTCTTTGTAGATTGGGGATATTAGCCCTCTGTCAGATGGATAGATTGCAAAAATCTTCTCCCATTCTGTAGGTTGCCTGTTCACTCTGATGATAGTTTCTTTTGCTGTGCAGAAGCTCTTTAGTTCAATCAGATCCCATTTGTCAATTTTGGCTTTTGTTGCCATTGCTTTTGGTGTTTTAGTCATGAAGTCTTTGCCCATGCCTATGTCCTGAATGGTATTGCCTAGGTTTTCTTCTAGGGTTTTTATGGTTTTAGGTCTTAGTTTAAGTCTTTAATCCATCTTGAGTTAATTTTTGTATAAGGTGTAAGGAAGGGATCCAGTTTCAGCTTTCTGCATATGGCTAGACAGTTTTCCCAGCACCATTATTAAATAGGGAGGATCTAGAACTAGAAATACCATTTGACCCAGCAATCCCACTACTGGATATATACCCAAAGGATTATAAATCATTCTACTATAAAGACACATGTACACGTATGTTTATTGTGGCACTATTCACAACAGCAAAGACTTGGAACCAACCCAAATGCCCATCAATGATAGACTGAATCAAGAAAATGTGGCACATATACACCATGGAATACTATGCAGCCATAAAAAAGGATGAGTTCATGTCCTTTGCAGGGACATGGATGACGCTGGAAACTATCATTCTCAGCAAAATAACACAAGAACAGAAAACCAAACACCACATGTTCTCACTCATAAGTGGGAGATGAACATGAAATGAGAACACATGGACACAGGGAGGGGAACATTACATACTGGGGCCTGTTGGGTGGTGGGGGGCTAGGGGAGGGATAGCATTAGGAGAAATGCCTAATGTAGATGACGGGTTGATGGGTGCAGTAAACCACCATGGCATGTGTATACCTATGTAACAAATCTGCACATTCTGCACATGTACCCCAGAACTTAAAGTATAATAAAAAAAATTACAAATAACTGTTCTCTGATCTAGTAATTCTACTTCTTCTGACCTATGTTAGAGAACTATTTGCACACGTGCACAAAAATGAAACTGCAAGGTTGTTCCTTGCAGCACTGTTTGTAACAGCAAAGAAACTATAAATAAGCAAAATTTCATCAGCAGAAAAATAACTAAAATTATAAAGTGACAGATGATATAGCACTTAAAAAGAATGAAGTAGGTTGATAGGGGCTGGCGTGGGGAGATGTTCAAGAGTTGTTAGGTGGAACAAACAAGCTGTAGAGGATAGTTGACATAAAATAAGTCAGCACGCTCACCGCCTAATAGAAATGTCTGTAACAGAAAAAAGGAAGGATACAGACCAAAGAGATTACACTGGGATGGGGTGCAAAAGGGGAGGGGTGTGTTCCAGGTGAACATTCCATTTTTTTTTTTTTTGAGATGGAGTCTTGCTCTGTCCCCCAGGCTGGAGTGTAATGGCATGATCTCGGCTTACTGCAACCTCTGCCTCCGGAGTTCAAACGATTCTCTTGCCTCAGCCTCCTGAGTAGTTGGGATTACAGGCACCCACCACCATGCCCAGCTAATTTTTGTATTTTTAGTAGAGACGGGGTTTCGCCATGTTGGTCAGGCCAATCTCGAACTCTGACCTCAGGTGATCTGCCTGCCTTGGCCTCCCAAAGTGCTGGGATTACACGTGTGAGCCACCACGCCCAGCCCTTGAACATTCCTTTTTTTTTTTTTTTAACAAGAGCATGTACGTGTATTGCCTGTTAAGATTAAAACAAAATTTAAACAAAGCAGCAGCTATATTTTGTTCATGTTGGTTGTCCATGTGTGTGGCACATTTCATGGATTCTGTCCTTCCTGTGTTACTATTACCTTCATGTTCTCACCATCTCCACAAGGCTTTGCCCTGACTACCTTATTTAAAATTACAACAGCCCCCACCCTGACATTCCCTGACCTTTTTATCCTAATATACCTCTTCTTTTCTTTTCATATCACTTACTGCCTTACAACATATATAATTTATTTACTTATCCAGTTGATTTTTACTTTGTGTCTCTCCATTCCCCTCTAGAGTGGAAGCAGTGTGGGGTCCGTATCTGTTTGGTTCACTGATACATCTTTGGCTTCCAGAACAGTGCCTAGTATACAGTAGGTGCTCAACACGTATTAGTTGATCCATTGTTTTTTAAGGGGCAAAGAATGACTGTCCCACCCGCAGGCCCCCAAGCTGTTGGGGTTTAAGGGGAAGCCAACTGCATAGAAGGGAGTTCCAGTGCCTGCTCCCCTTGACTTCCTTCCCTTCTCGAGAGGGTCACTACCACGTATTAAAGTGGACAAAAGGCAAGCACATAGAGAGGGCAGGAATAACACAAAGAGCCGAGATTTTCCCCAAGAAGCTTCATGGAATCAGAAACTAAAGCAAATTCTTAAGGCCAAAAAGCCATGTTCTTCAGCTCTATCTAGAAGGACAATACAACCCGCCCCCTTCACCACCACCTTCCCCAGCTCAGAATAGCTGCCAAGTTGCAATGGTTGCTGGAAGCCAGGATAGAGACCTTCTGGGGCAGGTGACAGCTGGGTGCAGATGTCAGGTTGCAACTGGGAAAGGCTGTGCTCCCAAGGGAGCTGTGCAAATGAGCCACTGAGGGGCTGGAGTTTGGGCAGGAGCCTCATCAGCATGTCAGCACTGGGCCTCCCAGGGCAACCAGCCACAGGCCACATCTGCGATGATCCAACTCAGCCCTACCAGGGCCCTCGCCCAGCACTGTTTTCCTTTTTCTAGAGCAGAAACAGTCCCTCAGCTACTCTGGCCCATGCTCCCTTCCACAAGGGATGGCATCTTACTCAATCAGATTGCACAAGCCTGACACGGGGCGTCATCCCCTGCCAAGCAATGGATCTTCAACTCGTTATCTATTTTCTCTTCTGCACATTTCTCATCAGCTTCACTTCATCAGCCCTGCCTACTCCCTGCTCCAAGCTTTTACCATCTTTCTTCAGGACAACCTTTAAATCTTCTAACTAGGACACCCATTTGCTTCTAGAGTGACTTTCATTTTTTAAAACTATTTTAAAAATTCAAATATAATACACACAGAAAAAGGCGAACAAATCATAAATATACAACTAGATGAATTATCACAACGTGAATACACTAAGTAATCCCCATGCAGGTCAAACAGTAGATTAACAGCTTCAGAAGCATCTATGGGCCCCTTGCAGGAACTACACCTCTCTCCTGCCTAAAGATATCCCAAAGAGTGATCAATCCTTGTCAACAGAAAATTGCATCATGTCACCACTGTCCTCTTCCTATGGAATACAGACCAAAGTCCTGACCAAGGCTATGTGGCCTGGGCATAGACGGGCTCCTCCTGGCTTTCCAGCCTCATCTCATAGCTCCTTGGGACCCAAGCACACAAACCTTTAAGTTCCTTCAATCCACAGGGCCCTCTCCCATGACAGAGCCTCCCTACTAGTGGGTCCTGGGACCAGGAAAGCTCCTTCATCACTTGCCCTCACAGCCTGGTTAAGTCCTGTTCCTCCTTCATGTCTCAGCTCAAATGTCACCACCTCAGGGAAACCTTCCTGGATTTCCCAGATTAGGTCAAATCCTCGTTACTCTCTTCTGAGCACCCTGAGCCTCTCCTTCACAGCACATATCACTGTTGCAGTGACACATATCCCAGAGTCACTGCCCCAGCAGAATGTGAGCTCCTGGAGGCAAAGCTGCCATCTGCCTTCCTCGTCATTGCCTGGCCCAGAGTGCAGGTGCATAAGCCGGTTTAGAATAGCAGAACTGAAGAAGTGATGAGGTTTCATCTATCACTTCTCCAGGGGGTCCATGTCCCCCAGCTAGGAGGTGGGGAATCTTTGATGGCAGACTGGAGACTGTGAGTGGCCCCAGGGCAGGAGGCTGTCTCACTCAGCTGGATGAGACCTGGGTTCAAGTCCTAGCTCCTCCACTCACAACTGTGCAATGTCGGGCAAGTCCCTTCAATCCTATGAGGCCTGGCAACCTCCAAGAGAAATGAGGGCTGCAGCAACTCCCTTCTTGGAATGGCTGTGAGGAGGCAGGTGGCAGCCCAATGTCATCACAGCAGCCCCCACTCAGAGCAGCTGCCTCCCACTGTTCGCTTGTAGAGAGACACCCACCTGGGACCCGGGGCCCAGGAGAAGCTGTGCTTGGGGGCTGTGTTTTGGGGTGCCTGCCACTGGCTGGGCAGCTTCCTGCACCCGGGACTCCTGCCAGCAGTCCCAGGGGTGCAGGTGCAGGGTATGCACAGCCTCCACCACTTAACAGACAGCTGGGTCCCCGCTGTCCCTGACACTTCCTGACCTACGGCTCAGCACCTAGGGGTGACAGGGGTGAGGCTGGCCCCGTGTTCTCTGAACATGCCTCTAGTGTGGGTTTTTCAGAACAACAGTCTGAGTGGACTGCTCGCCCGACCCACTCCCTCCTCCCTCTGCTGGCACTCCTGTTCTCCTGTAACCCCAAGTCTCTACACGCCTGCTTTCTCCCTTTCTTTCATCTCTCTGTTAGGGACTGAACTGTGCACTCATCATTTAAAAAAAAAAAATCATATGCTGAAGCCCTAACCCTGAGTACCTCAGAATGTGACCATATTTAGAGATAAGGTCTTTAAAGAGGTGATTAGGATAGAATGAGGCCACCTAATCCAATCTGGTGTCCTCATAAGAAGAGGAGAGTTGGACAGGCAGACACCAGGGAGGCAGAAGTGCATAGGAAAGGCCTCGTGAGAACACAGCAAGAGGGCGGCCACCTGCAAGCCACAGAGAGAGGCTTCAGAAATCAACCCTTCCAGCACCTTGACCTTGGACTCTTAGCCTCTAGAACTGTGAGAAAATAAGTGTCTGTTTTGAAGCCACCCAGTGTGCAGTACTCTGCTATAGCACCCTCAGCACACGAGTACACTCTCCACCTCTCTCTCTCCACTCCTCCCCTCTCTTGCTTTTTTCCTTTCCTCTTTCCTTCTCTCTCCCTGTCAATCTTTCCTCTCTTTCTGCATGGATTTTTCCATCCTACCTCTGCCCCACATAAAAGGAAGGGGAGAGCAGCAGTTTCACAGCAGAGAAACAGAATGGATGCCCTCAGCCTTCCCAAACTGTACCACTGCCACACATCCCAAGGACCCTCCAAAGCCTGCAGCCAACCCCAGAGTCCTTAGGGTCAGAGACAGCTTGGGTTCCATGGAGCCCTCTGGATTACACCCAGAGAAAGCAGTCTCAGTTGAGGGGTCACACCCAAAACACACAGGCCAGTTCCAGAAGGCACCCCACCCGGCCGCCACCCAGGAAACACCTGTGTCTGCACTGGGGGATCTCCTGCAGAAGGTGTGGTCAGAGCCATCAGAGCACACACACGCAGTGGGAACAGGCTGCTGGGCAGGCTATGCCTCCAAGAGCACCAGGGCTGGTGGGGGAGAGTCTAGACCCCACTCTCACCTCCCAGAGGCACCTGCCCCTTGGGATGGGCAAGGCATCAGGATACATCCCTAAGACTTTCCAATCAGTAGAAGGTACCAATAGGTACAATTTGGTAGGAAGAGTACTATGATGAGAGAAGTACAGTCCCATCAACCTCAGAATTGAGGAATCAGGATAGACTTCCTGGGAGAAGCGGCATCTAGGAGCAGATCTGAGGATGAGCAGGAGGTGGCCCCACCAAGGAGAGAAGGAGCGTATCAGGCAGAACAAGCAGCATTTACAAAGACCTAGCAGGCAGACGAGCATGGGGGAACTGACAGAAGTTAATATGGGGTGGAAGGTGGGTAGTGGCTTGTCATAAAATAGGCCAACCCGGGAGAAAATGCCACATGGTTTAGGAGCTTCTTAGAGAGTCTATTTCCCCACGTTCGTTGCTCTAACCTGCTGTGCGCCCCCGTATTGACTGAATTGCAGAAAAGGCAGTCAGCTCATGACCCCACAAGTTTCACCTTCCCCACCTTTGCCATTACCCATTGAAAGTGGCCTTAAAAGCAATGTTCCCAGCCCAAGGTTGCTGATTATCCACTTACCTGGGAAACGATGCAATTTGGTGCGGGGGGAATTGGCCGGCTTGGAGGAGGCCTCCTGGACGACTCCGTCCTCTCTATTTGAGACCCGGGCCCTGGGGAGTTCCTAGCAGCCCTGCTCAGGTGAGCTGGCAGTGGTGCAGGTGGGGACCCACCACGCAGATAATCTGGAGGGGGCCGGGGAGGAGGCTGGGAGGGCTTCCGCAGGATTTCCGGAGTGTTGATCACCTGTACGCACAAGTCAAGGAACACCTGAGACAAGAAATCACTCAGGGCTGGCCTTGTGTGTCTCTTTGAGATAAACCAGAGCCCAAAGGGAGAACAGACACACCAATCTATTAAACCCCTGAGGATCCCAGAAGTCAGATGCAACCTTTAAAGTCATTAGGGGATGTCAGAACCAAATAACATGTCTCTCCAGCCAATAAAAGGGCTTTTATTACCAATCCCATGGGCCCACAGAGGCTCTTAGAAAAACACAGCATGGCGGCCGGGCATGGTGGCTCATGCCTGTAATCCCAGCATTTTGGGAGGCCGAGGCGGGTGGATCACGAGGTCAGGAGATGGAGACCATCCTGGCTAACACGGTGAAACCCCGTCTCTATTAAAAATACAAAAATTAGCCAGGCATGGTGGTGGGCACCTGTAGTCCCAGCTAATTGGGAGGCTGAGGCAGGAGAATGGCGTGAACCCTGGAGGCGGAGCTTGCAGTGAGCTGAGATGGCGCCACTGTACTCCAGCCTGGGCGACAGGGCAAGACTCCATCTCAAAAAGAAAAATACAGCATGGCCCTGAGGGATAAAGGAAAAGTAGCAAAGTTCAGTGGTGCAAAGCTCTTACCTTTCGCTTGCCCTGGGGCGTCTGCAGCTTGAAAGTTGGGTTGGCATGACCAGTCCCGCTGTTCTGAGAAACCCTGAAGGGACAACTAGAAACAAGAAATGGGGGAGGAAAAGAAAGGGGACGATGTTCAGCAGGGGACAGTGCCTGAGTTCCCTTTGACCCAAGCACGGCCAGCAAGCAGCTAAATCTTTCCCAAGTCTGCTCTGGAGGGAGTGGGATTGGTCTTCTCGAACCACATCTTCCTAAGTAGAAAAACGTGTGGCCAATGGAGAACTCTCAAGGAAACAGAGTTGGCCTTATACAAAGCAGAGCTCTCTCAGCACCTTCTCTTCACCCTTTTAAGACCCTTCCCCTGTGAGGAGACACAAGGGTGTCACGAGCCATCAACCAATCCCCATCAGGCATAGATCCAGAAAGACCTGGGACTTAAAATCCCCTCCAGAACAAGTGTTATTTAATAGGTGACTCAGAGACTGTACATCTTCCATATCCAAAATAATACATCACTTTTCAAATGGGACACCAAAAGCGAGCAGGAGTAGCTATTCTTATACCAGATGAAACAAACTTTAAAGCAACAGTGGTTAAAAAGACAAAGAGGGGGCTGGGCATGGTGGCTCATGCTTGTAATCCCAGCATTTTGGGAGGCCAAAGCGGGCAGATCACCTGAGGTCAAGAGTTCGAGACCAGCCTGGTCAACATGGTGAAACCCCGTCTCTACTAAAAATACAAAAAATTAGCTGGGTATGGTGGCATGCACCTGTAGCCCCAGCTACTCAGGACGCTGAGGCAGGAGAATCGCTTGAACTCAGGAGGCGGAGGCTGCAGTGAGCCAAGATTGCACCACTGCATTCCAGCCTGGGCAACAAGAGTGAAACTCCATCTCAAAAATAAATAAAATAAAATGGGGAATAAATCAACTAGACAAAGGATGGCAAATAGATTTTATTTTATATTTCAACTTGATTTGGTTGGGGATATTCTGCTGAGAAGAACTCAGGAGTGATGACCAGAATCAGTAGAGTACTTACAATAAGATCAACTAGTAATGCCTGTCACAGTCATAGCAGGGGAGAGGGCAGCATGTATCTTGCACTTGTCTTCCCTGAATTAGACCCACTATCACCAACACTTTTGCTAAGTACCATTTATGGAGACCTTTGTGACCCATAAATTGACCCTGAGTCCTCCATTGAACCCTGTCATACCTGAACTGTTGCCTCAGCTTGGAAGGGAGAGCTGAGGGCTTGAGTTGGCCTAGTTTGTTGTTCTGTCTGCAGCAGTAGTACATCAGCATGAGGACCGCCAGCACCAAGATGGCCACCAACACTCCAGCTACCACAGGACCCACACCTTCCAGAAACAGAACCCAAGTGGGAGATTTAGAAGCTGTCTCGGCTACAGCAGATTTCAAAATAGGTATTCGTGCTTCTTCTTCAGGCATTTGATTTGCATTTAATTTGTATTACTTATTTTAACTTACAAATTATAATTAAAAACACACATTATGGGCCGGGCACAGTGGCTCATGCCTGTAATCCCAGCACTTTGGGAGGCCGCGGTCAGCAGATCACAAGGTAAAGAGATCAAGACCATCCTGACCAACATGGTGAAACCTCGTCTCTACTAAAAACACAAAAATTAGCTAGGTGTGGTGGCACATGCCTGTAGTCTCAGCTACTCAGGAGGCTGAGGCAGGAGAATCACTTGAACCCGGGAGGCGGAGGTTGCAGTAAGTCGAGATCACACCACTGCACTCCAGCCTGGGTGACAGAGCAAGACTCCGTCTCAAAAAAAAAAAAAAAACAAAGAAACGAAAAGACTCAGACAGATTTAAGACTAGACATCTCACCCATAATCCATAACTTAACATTTGGTTTCATCAAAACTACCCCAATATTCTCTCAAGTGGTTAATGTAAATATAGAGAACGTATTTGTACTAACAAAACACTACTTTTTATCAGTTTTACATATTGGGGTTTCTTCCTTGAAAGATTTTGGTGCTTTTTTTTTAAAGTTATTTGCTATTTTTTTTAAAAAAAAAACTTTAGAAATCATAGTGCTAGAATCCTTGAGAGATCCACTAAAATACTATAAAATTTTCTGAGTGTCTGGTTCTCCATTTTAACTTGTGTCCATCAGAGGAAATCTAAACCACCATAATGTGTCCCAGGTTCATGATTATTTTTAAGTGCCCAAAGAGAAATAGTCACCGTGTCCCCTAAAAAGAATGGGAACATTCAATGACCTACAGTCTCTCTTACTCTCACTCTACTAAGCGGGCTCCCCCTCCTCAGTAGAAAGGATGGGAGAAGAGAGACTGAACCGTGTCCCCACACCACACTATGAGCAGTCGCTCCTCTCTCTTGGTCTGTCTTTATCCTGATTTCCTCTCTACAAAATCAGGACAATGAAGCTGATTCAATGTGGATGCTCTGCAACATGCCACCTGCCCCTGATGCCCGCTCTTCTCACAAAAGCGGGCAGTGGCCCCAGCAGGCTGGCACTCACTCTCAGGGGGCATAGGCCCACTGTCGATACTGCCCCCGTGGCCCGGTGTGTTGCAGAAGGGCGGGGCCCAGCCCGGCAGGCAGTGGCAGTTCTGGTTGTTGTTACAGACCTGGAGCAAAGAAAGGGCAGAGGCATCAGCACCCCAGAGAGCATCAGCCACCCACAGGGCCTGCCCTCATGACGTCCCCATGACACAGAGAAGCCAGAACCCAGCACGCACCCCATGGCCATTGCACTTCTTCCCACAGCCTTCAGTTTCAAAGAAGGAGGTGTTCCTGCACTGCCCCTCAAAGCAAATCTGCACGGAGAGAAAACAGAACGATCAGTGCAATGGGAGGGATGCTGGTTGGGAGTTAGGAGGCAAGATTTTGCACTTGGAACATATGAGGACCCATGGCCCGGCCTGGTGGCTCACGCCTGTAATCCCAGCACTTTGGGAGGCTGAGGTGGGCGGATCACCAGAGGTCAGGAGTTCAAGACCAGCCTGGCCAACATGGTGAAACTCCATCTCTACGAAAAATACAAAAATTAGCTGGGCCTGGTGGCCTGTGTCTGTAATCCCAGCTACTCGGGAAGCTGAGGCAGGAGAATTGCTTGAGCCTGGGAGACAGAGGTTGCAGTGAGCCGAGATTGTACCACTGCATTCCAGCCTGGGTGACAGAGCAAGACTCCATCTTAAAAGAAAAAAAGTATGAGGGCCCAAATAGGCAGCACACTTCAGGTTACTATCAAAGTGAAAAATGGAAAACAGCCCACAACGCTAAGGACAGGACAACAGCCAACTAAATTCTGCTATTACTTTTGTGATTAGGGAGAAAACGACAAATATATTGTTAAAGTATCATATTTAACAATACAATATTATTTATGTGTTATCACATTAAAGGACTATTATGTTGATTATGTTAATTACTTGTCATTAATATGTATCAATTTTAACATTATATTTAAAAATAATGATGGTGACAGTACTCTGTGCCAGGTGCTATGCTAAATGCTTCATGTTTTCCATAGTTTCATTATCAGAATCGACTCTGGAGGATAGAGTCTGTGCTATTATTTTGCTCAGGCTTCCCTAACTCCTAGTCCATTTTTAATTCCTATGATAATTAGCGATGAGGATGAAAGTGGCACTAGCTAGGCCACCTAAGTGCTTTACTGGGATGATTTTCTTTAATCCTTCCGACAGTTCTCTGGGGTGGGTGCCTGCTGTCACTATACACGCTTCATGAAGGGAGCCACCAAGGCTCAGAGGTTGGCGAGGTGGCATCTGAGCCCAGGCATCCTTCCCTCAGACCTCACTTCTCAATCACTCTGCTCTGCAGCTGGCTCCTAGGTGAGCAGGGGAGGGGACTCACATGGTTGTAGCCACACTTGGTTCCAGTCATCACCAGCCCTGGGTCCAGCATGTCACCCTCCTCCTCAGGACCTCGGTAGACGTGGGTGCCCCGGCACTGGATCTGCCTCCCATTCATGATGATAGTGGTGTCAATGGGCACCGCGTTGGACTCCAGGGGCCGGGCCTCAGAGCTCTGACACTGGATCTTCCCACACTTCGCATCTCTGGGCACAAGAGACAGAGAGGGAAGGAAGCGGAATCAGAGGCAGAGGAAGAGCTGGGGCACCAGAGAGCTTCAGTCTTTCTTGATCAAGACAGCAGGCTTGCGTGGGGTGGGGCAAAGGTTTAGGGCAGTCATGTGCTTTGGAACCCACCAGGAGAGATTCCATGTGGACTGACACCAAGGGAAGAGAACAGGCTCCTTGACCCTGAGCAAATCTAGACCAGAGAACTGGCCTCGAAAAGTCCTTAACTCCAAGAATAGCCACCTGAGCTGAGCAATCTTTCCCTTTTTGCCCCTTATACCGCTGTCCACCCAGGAGTTCCAGCTAGAAATCTGGGGTCATCTCCAACTCCCCATTCTCCCTCACTCCTGGGCTCAAGCCATTTTCAAACCCTATCAATCTTCCCTCCTTAATTATCTATCTTATTATCTATCTACCTTAATTCACACTGCCCCACCCCCCTTACCTGGTCTGCAGAAGATTGATTTCCCTGCCTCCAGTCTGCCTCATAGGAGTCTAATTTTCACACTGCTCTCAAGCTAAAATCTAAACTCCCCTAGCCATGCATTTGAGGCTTTTCATGATCTGGTCCATGCTAAACTATCCAGGCTAATTTCTCAGCAGACCTTCTCCTTTGCACCCCAACATTATACTTTAACTGTATCAAACTGTTCTCAGTTCTTTCAACCACCAGTTTTTCTCTATTCATCTCTCTTCCTGGATTACTCTCCTATGCACCAGCACCACCTTCCACCCTGTTCACCGAGGTAACTGCTCCAGATCTCAGTGTAGGTATAACTTCCTTTGGGAAACCACTCTGACACACTAAGATGGGTTGGATGGCTCTCTCCACATTGCCATTGTCATACTATATTGTTAATTAGAAGTTCCATGCACTCAGCACAATATCTTGCACATGGTAAATCTTCAATAGATAGTAGATAGACAGTAAATCTTCAATAGATAGTAGATGGATAGATGGACGGACAGATGGATGGATGGATGGATGGATGAGTGGGTGAGTGGGTGGTGGAGGATGGATAGATGGATGGATCAGTGGGTGAGTGGGTGGTAGATGGATGGATAGATGGATGGATGGATGGATGGATGGATGGGTAGACAGATGAGTGGATGGTTGGTTGGAATGAATGATGAATAAATGAATGAATGAGTGAATTAATGAATGAGGAGCTATTCAAATTAGGGCATGATTAGAATTTGGCAGAAATGACCCAAAAGGGCTGATTCCCTGCCCTACTGTAAGATGGTCCCCAAAGGAAGCCCGATCAGCTTTCTAGGAAGCACTGCCACCCACACCCTCCTCTGACTTCCTCAGAGCTGAAAAGTGCATTGTCAAACAGGGGGCCGAGAATAGATGACTGACTTCAACTGATTGACGTAAAGGTGCAGCTCTGGGGCCAGTCACACTGCTGAGTTGGGCAACAGTGAGGACAGAGCAGAAACTGCTTGTTCATCCTCATTTCATGAGGCCTGCCCTTTGGTCATCACCTCATGTTGCACTTCCTGTGTTCACCATTCATGTCCTTTCCACAGTTTCCAAAGGTGTCTCCTGCCACATTCACCTTCTCGAAGCAGAGGTCAGGGGCAGGTCGGGCTCCTGGGTGGGCAAGCAACATCTATCAGTATACTCATCTGTCAGAAGCCCCCAAGGGCAAAGGTATCTTTGGTAAAGTCATGAAGGTAAGAATATTTTCTGGGAGGGAATACTCAGCCTCTTCTTCCTGTTCCCTCCAGGTTACTCCATCCCCATATTCTCAACAAGATCTACTCAGAGAATAATGTTTTATATAAATCCTTTTTTTTTTCTTTCAGATGGATTCTCGCTCTGTCACCCAAGCTGTAATACAGTGGCACAATCACGGCTCATTGCATCCTCCGCCTCTTGGGTTCAAGCAATTCTCTACCTCAGCCTCCCGAGTAGCTGGGATGACAAGCACCCACCACCATGACTGGCTAATTTTTGTATTTATTTATTTATTTTTTTTGTAGAAATGGGGTTTCACCATCTTGGCCAGGCTGGTCTTGAAGTCCTGACCTCATGATCCCCCCGCCTCGGCCTCCCAAAGTGCTGGGATTACAGGCGTGAGCCACCACACCTGGCCTGTTTTATGTAAATTCTTCCTACCTTATTGAGGATTTATATTTGTGTGTGGGGAGGGTTGCATGCTAAGCCTGCTCTCTAATGAAGAAGCCATGTTCCGATTCAAGATTTTAAAAAATAGGTCATACATGCATAATATTTTAAAGATATAAGTATGTCTTGGAAAATTTTTCTTGTAGTCATCCAGTTCCTACTTCTCTACATCCTGGAGGAATAGCACTTATTAACAGTATATTTTCTAAAGATACTTAAATCTCTAATTTCTGTATCTCCTAGGTATAATTCTGTGTGTATCTTCTAGAGATAATCTATCTAATAAAGAATGGAAGCATATTCTTTTTTTATTTTTTTTGAGACAGAGTCTTGCTCTGTCACCCAGGCTGGAATGCAGTGGCACAATCTCAGCTCACTGCAACCTCTGCCTCCCAGTTTCAAGAGATTCTCCTGTCTTAGCCTCTCGAGTAGCTGGAATTACAGGCGTCCACCACCACGCCTGGCTAATTTTTGTATTTTTAGCAGTTACAGGGTTTCACCATGTTGGCCAGGCTGGTCTTGAACTCCTGACCTCAGGTGATCCACCTGCCTTGGCCTCCCAAAGTACTGGGATTACAGGCGTGAGCCACTGTGCCCAGTCTTTTTTTTTTTTTTTTTTTTTTTTTTTGAGATGGTACATCCCTCTGTCGCTTGGGCTGGAGTCCTAGAGTGGAGTGGCTCACTGCAGCCTCAAACTCCTGGGCTCAAGCCATCCCCCCACCTCAGCCTCCTGAGTAGCTAGGATTACAGGTGCAAGCCACCATATCAGCCACCTGAGTAGCTAGGATTACAGGTGCAAGCCACCAAATCTGGCTTGAAAGCATATTTTATTTGCTGTTCTACACCTTGCATTTTTCACTTAATTTTTTGTGGAAGATGATTTTATTCAGTAAATATAGGGCTGCCTCCTTATTTAGCCATAAAGCATTGCATTATATGAATGTACCAGAATTAATTTAATTGGTCCCTACTGAAGGACACATAGGTTGTTGTTGCTATGGCTAACAATGGTGCAGTAAACATCATAGTAAATATATCCTCACATACATGTGCAAGTGTTAGCTGCATTTCTAAGTATATCTCCAAATTGCTTTCCATAGTGGTTATATCTACCTGTTTCTTCACACCCTCCACAACACTATATCATTATTATTGTTGTTATATTATTATTATCTTAACTTTCAGTCTTTGCAATCTGATATATGAAAAATCTCACCTCATCATAATTATACTTTGCTTTCCCTTAATATGACTGAGATTAAACGTCTTTTCATAGCTTAAGGGCCATTTGCATTTGCTTCTCTGTCTCCATCCTCTGCTCATTTTTCTTTTGGATTACTCTTATTCAATTGTCCACTCTGAGAAATAAAAGCATCAAGGGACTGGGAAGGAACACTGTCCTCTGGTTCTCCCTGAACATCTACCCTGAGTCAAGGGGATGAAAGAGGTAGTATCTAGAGGTGCCATTTGAAGCCAAGATTCCAAACTACCCTGAGGGCCAGGGGAGGCTGGCTGGGAAGTGGTGGGCTGGGGAGAGCCGTGCTCCCCAGGAGAGCCTTACCGGGTCCCCACAGCTGCTGGCACTGCTCCTGGTAGGTGAGGCACATGCCGTTGTAGCAGTAGGCCTGGCCGCCCTCACAGGGGGTACCATCCATCTGGTAGAAGTTGGTAGGGCAGTGGGGAGACTTGCCCGTACAGAACTCCGGGAGGTCACACTGCCTGGCCTGCTCGCGGCACAGGGTCCCAGGAGCCAACAGCTGAGCCAAGGAATGAGAGGAAAACACAGTCAATCTCCTCCCCACCCTCAACCCTGTTGCCCAAGGGCTCATAAGGATCACTCTCATAGAACAGAATTTTCCATTACCATGATTTCACAGCACTTTTTACATGACCTCATTAGCCCAAACCACCTTCAGCCTTCTCATGTGAATACTGACAGAATTTCAAGCTGTTTTCACAAATGCTAACTCACTTTCTCTTCATAGAAGTCTTAAGAAAGAGGCAAGAAATAATACCTATACAACAATTTACAGTTTCCTACATGCTTTAGTAATAGCAGCTACTTTTATGCAGCTCCCACTTAAGTGTCCAGTACAAATATGACTTCACTTAGTTTTCATGACAGTCCTGTGTGATATAATTATCCCTTCTGCAGATGATAAAATCTGTAGGCTTAAAGAGGTTAGACGATGCATCCAAAGACTCATAGTAAGTGGCAGAGGAGCCAGGCCCACTAATACACACACACACACACACACACACACACAAAACTAGCATTCACATAACATCTGTGAGTTTACAAAGCACCTCAGCAATAATATATCCCCACTATGGGGCCAGGCACTGGGCTGAGTGTGTGACATACACGTATCTCGTGGGATCCTCACAGCTTCCATGGGATAGATACTGCTATTTGTCCCACTTTGCAGATCAATAAGTTGATCAACAGCACACCTGGGGCAAAGGGCGAAGAGTCTTACAGCCTCCCTGGGTAGTCGGTGTTACTAATACTCTTTCCATTTTACAGATAAAGAACCTAGGCTCAGAGAGTTAATAGGTTGCCCCAAATCACACAACCAGGGTTTGAAGTCAGTCTTGGACACCAGGGAATCCTTTCTGAGGCTCAAACGGAAATTCTTGTGTGGAGTGAAGGGGTCCACTCCATGCTTATGCTTAGGCCTTGGGCCAAGACTGGAAGAACTTGACCCAGCACAGCCTCCCAGGGGGACGCACAGCCAAACCAGATGCCGTGCACATTCCGAGAGCCAGGCAAGGAAACCAGTGACTGAGAACAGACCCCCTCCCCTGCTCCTGGGCCACTCCTCCCACCCACAGGGTCCTTCCAGGAGAAGGCAGACAGGCTTCTCCACCGGCCACTCTCAGGCCAAGACTGGGCCAGCTGAGCAGCTTGCTGAGAGTGGATGCCCAGTCGCAAGTGTGGGCATGGGTGGTGTATGCAGGAGGAGGCTGCAGGACACACCTCTGCCATCCAGAGGCAGGTGGAGGCAAAGAGGACCTGCCCCACAGCCAGCCTGCCTGGGCACACATCCCAGCTCCTTAACCGGCAGCGGGGCCTTGGGCACCTGCTGTGTAACCTGTGTGTGCTCACTCACCCACAACTCAGGATAATAACCCACTAATGGGTGATTAAACGTGAGTTAGAACTAAGTATGTGAATGGTATCTGGCCCCTAACGAGCACTCAGCAAGTGCTAGGCAGAAGCCCAGGCCCACAGTTCCTGCCTAAAATGATGGGGCCAGATGGGGTTCAGGCTTTTCAGATTTAGAAAGCAGATATTGTAATACATAGGTCCATATGTACATGTGTGTACATATATAATTACACATGTGTGTATGTATATATATATATATATATATATGGATATGGATAATTACATATGTCCGCATATATAACTACATATGTATATTACATAACCCCCCAGCAAGGCTGGGGATAACACCTTCTGATCAAACATATTAATATTTCTGTAATGCAATATAAATATTCACTTTAGGAGTGATTTTTTTTTAAAAAGACTATAATTCATCTCATGTCAATTCAGGTCAAGTTTTGCCACCAAATGTGTTTACATTTTTTTTCAGCTTTTAGAACTCCCTTAATTTCAGAATTGTGGAAGAGAGATTGTGGTTCTACGGTAACACTAGCAGCAACAGACAATTTATCTCTCACATCAATATTAGGAATGTGGGCACCAGAGTCAGGGAAAGCTGGATTCAGTCCCTTCCTGACTGCCTGATTCCAGATAAACCTCTTATCCCCTATAAGCTCTAGTTTCCACATCTTAAAATAAGGATAGTCACATATATTTTATGGGGTTTTTGTGAGGAGAGAATGAGATAACGTACATAAAATTCCCAGCACAGTGCCTGGCATCTACTAAGAGGTCCATTAATGTCAATACAAATGATGATAATTATTATTGTTTATGAGCTCAATAAAATCAAGCCCACTCTCTCTGGATACTTCTTTAAAAAAGAAAAAAAAAAGTACCATTTCCAAAGAAGCGCCACCCTCCTCTGGGATGATCTGAATTCAGTGAGGCCCAGTATAGGAATAGTAAATTTTATTCAAGGCACCTTTTCCGCTCTGTGTTTCTGAAACTCTGTTGCCATCACAGCCCCAGGATGGAGGCAAATCCCCAGCCATCCACCCCAGCAGAGCAGTCCTGTGGTCCCACTGTCAGGCCAGGGCCCAAGGCGTGGAGAAAAGGGCCACTTACCTTACACTGGTGGCAGCAGGAGCCGTGAGCACACTCCGCCCCCGGCCTCAGGGTACAATTAGAGGCATTGCAGCAGGGGTTGTTACATTCCTGGGGAGGCAGTGGGGTGGGTGTGAGTGGGGGAGGGCCTTCACCACCCCCAACATTTTCCCCACCCTTGCCCACACACCCCTGGAACCCCAGCTCTCTAGCAACTATCTCTTTTTTTTTTTTTTTTTTTTTGAGAGGGAGTCTCGATCTGTCACCCAGGCTGGAGTGCAGTGATGCAATATCTCGGGTCACTGCAACCTCTGCTTCCTGGTTTCAAGCGATTCTCCCGCCTCAGCCTCCGAAGTAACTCAGACCACAGGCACACCCCACCACACCTGGCTAATTTTTGTATTTTTAATAGCGATTGGGTTTCGTCATGTTGGCCAGGCTGGTTTCAAACTTCTGACCTCAAGTGATCCACCTGCCTCGGCCTCCCAAAGTGCTGGGATTATAGGCATGAACCACCGCACCTGGCCTGGAAACTTTTGACCTCAAAAATCATGTGACAGCTTCGTCACTAAGCTAATGTGTACTTGTCACAAGAACCATATATATGCACAATCATTAGTAACATGACTTGGACACAGCTACATCTTTTTTTGAGACAGTCTGCAACCTTCTCCTCCTAGGTTCAAGCAATTCTCATGCCACAGCCTCCCAAGTAGCTGGGACCACAGGCACACACCACCATGCCCCGCTAGGACACAGCTACATTTTGAGTATGAATATTTTTCAAGGCATTTTCTACACACATACATATATATTTATACTTACTTTACAAAATCATAGTATCCACAGTGTTTTTTTACTTAATATAACATGCGTATTTCTCCCTGTAACCATGTAGTCTTCTAAAATGGACTTTTTAGCAGAGTATATGGAAATTTTATGTTTTGTTTTTCTAATCCCCAGTAGAACATCCAGACACCCTGTCTTTCATGGGTGCCCTCCTGCCCCCAACCCTCCTAGGCTTTCTTATCTCATGAAAAGGGGCTGCCGGTGCAAGAGTCTGCTGGAACAACCTCTCCAAACAGTTTATGTCAACTCCTGGGTCTGTTTCCTTAGATTTTTTTCTCCATCTGCTTCTCTTCCTAAGCCCTTCCTGGCCTGGACCTTTCTGGAACAGAAGATCTCCATGGGTTCCTTGCTCTCCCCCAGCCTGAGATTTTTAAAAGATTATGAGGCGTTCCAGTGACCCTGAGCGTCCTCATCACACTCTTACAGTATTAACAGGCCAATCCATCAGCCATTGATGAAAAGTGTACGGGGCTCCACAGATCTCTCCACCACAGCCTTATGAGGCAGCCTTGACCCCATTCCACAGACAGGGATGCTGTGGCTCAGGCAAGTCCAGTAGCTGGCCGAGGGACACACCTGCTGAATTCAAGTCAGGTCTGCCTGAGGCCTACCTCATGTTTATCAACCTTATACCCCTAACTGTCCAGGGCTCTAGCATATTGGAGAGCCACATCCCATCCCCTGACCACAGACACCTGTCCACCTGTCTCCCCTAAGAGAAGGAATAGAACACTTTCCTCCCATTATTCTCCCACCATGTTGGGCTCCAGGAAGACCTGTATTCCTGCCTTCCTAATGTACCATATTTCTTCCCACGAAGGCACAGGCTCCCCTTCCACCTGAAATGTGCCTTCCCTCCTGCGTGCCTCACTAACTCCTAATGCAGCCTTCAGATATGGGCTCCAGGTCACCTCCCACACAAGCAAGGAGGTTCCCCCTCACATTATATATGTTCAGAGCACTGTGTCATTTGTCTTCCTAGCACTTGCCATGGACTGTACATATATTCTTTTGCAATTATTTCAATATGTGTTTCTCCCACTAGACTATCAGCTCCCCAAGGACAGGAACTATGTCATTTTTGCCACTCATCCTAACCCTAGGACCAGACACAGTAGCCCACACTCAGTGTGCCTGTTGAATGAGCAACTGCTCAGAACCTAAGCCAACTGGCCATGCCCACTCTCAGGCCATTCCTCAACCCCAGTGGCCCTCCATGTTCATACCACTCCCTCCTTTCTGATGGGTCTGTGTTGATCTCTCTGGGCTCATGGTGGTGGGGGTGGCATCCTTGACTAGTTCTTGTTTTATTCTGAAAGTGACATACTGGCATTAAAAAAAGAAAAATCACATCACAGAGGTCACAGGCAGGGTGCGGTGGCTCACGCCTGCAATCCTAGTGCTTTGGGAGGCCGAGGTGGGTGGATCATCTGAGGTCAGGAGTTTGAGAACAGCCTGGTCAATGTAGCAAAACTCTGTCTCTGCTAAAAGTACAAAAAAAAAAAAATTAACCAGGTGTGGTGGCACACACCTGTATTCCCAGCTACTCAGGAGGCTGAGGCAGGAGAATCGCTTGAACCCTGGAGGTGGAGGTTGCAGTGAGTGGAGATCTTGTCACTGCACTCCAGCCTGGGCAACAGAGTGAGAGAGAGAAGGCCATAAAATCAGATTTTTTTTTCCATTTATACAGAACCTCAGTCTCACCCCCATAATTTACTGTTACTTGTTATCTACCCCAAATTGTTATGCATGTATAAACATACATATTTTCAGCCTTCAAAAAATAGAGACGAAACAATCCAGTTCTGCTTTCTGCAGAAACCACATGCATTTGTTAAAAATGACCGGGCTCTGCCGTGTACCCTCCACACTCACTGTGAAGATCAGAAGGAAGGAGAGAGTTTACACATAAACAGTTCCTCCTAGCAGCCCTTTTGGGACTTGACAGCACTTCCTACATCCCCTTTCCATCATCTCTCCTCCAGCCTAAACAGCATGAGCTTGTTATTTTAAGCATCCTCATAAGGCCCCTGTTCAAGCCCATATATCTGGCTGTGTGGCCTCCAGAATAAATTCCGTGCAGCTGGAGGGCAAGCAGGCATGTGCAGCTCCACTGAGGAAGACAGAGTCAACATGCCACGTGATCGTGGTTTCTGGTTAGACCAGACACTCATAAGAAGAACTGATCCTGGACACTAGCGATGCTGGCCACAAACTAGCAGAGGCGGCACAAACACTCCAACTGGAAGGCTTCTTCATATCTGATTTTTCATGGGGTATTGGACAGTTATATGTAGGAAACACCTGTGACTAAGAAATTTTCAATTGTGTTCTCTTTGACCTTGAGTTTTGAAACCAATGCAAATTCTTCCCCTCCCACTAGCACCATTGTGACCCCTCACCTCTTCTTCTCCACAGTCACACTCTTCCCCATCTTCCAGATACCCGTTCCCACACCTCCGGCCTCCATACAACATCCTGGTGTCTGGCATGTTGGAGAGACACATTCCACCACCTGACTGCAGATACCTGTCCAGCTCCCTCCTGTTGCATCCATTGAACACTTTGGGAAAGGGGTGCCTGGCAGAGGACAAGGCTGGAATTAGTGGGGAGTTTGAGCATCTAGCAGTCAGGCAGGTGTCACTCGTGCTGTCACTCCTGCTACCCGTGGGGCTGACTCCACCTGGGTTCAGACCCCCATTGTCTCACACACATACATTCTGGCCCCTTAGAACATTTACCAATACATTAATTTAGAATTTTTTCATCCCTTGAGTTCGTGTCCTTAGTAGGGACATGGATGAAGCTGGAAACCATCATTCTCAGCAAACTATTGCAAGGACAGAAAACCAAACACCGGATGTTCTCACTCATAGGTGGGAACTGAACAATGAGAACACTTGGACACAGGAAGGGGAACATAACACACCGGGGCCTGTTGTAGGGTAGCAAGAGGCGGGGAGGGATAGCATTAGGAGATATACCTAATGTAAATGACGAGTTAATGGGTGCAGCACACCAACATGGCACATGTATACATATGTAACAAACCTGCACGTTGTGCACATGTATCCTAGAACTTAAAGTATAAAAAAAAAAAAAAGAATTCTTTCATCCTTAGTGATGAGATATTAACCACCCCATAACATTCTATTTTTCTTAGTCGGCATGCAGAAAGCATTTGAGAATCAGGAGTAGCAATTTCTGCCCATTGCATGAGGGGGCTGCGATAAGTAAAGGGTTGTGAGTGTGTTACAAGAGGTCTCCTGAGACTTAGCACTGAAGAAAACACCAGCCAACCTAAACTTTTCCTGAAGCTGATATCAGGTGAATATTCTCTTGTGACAGAGGACCAGGCCAAAAAAAGGCCAAGATCATAAGTTTTATTTCATTTTGGGCCAGTGATCTCATTGCTGTTCTAAGGATGCAGAGGGCATTCCAAACTCAACCAGCCAACTCATAAACGCATGCTCTTTATCACAGGAGTATGGAAGGTCCTGGGTCCCACCATTGGTGAAAAGGACAAATAGTACAGCCATCTGGGTCTACAAAAGGAGAGTTATCCTGCTCCCAATTCTCTAAACCAATTAAAGGTTAAACCCTCCAAGAAACTGGAGCTTTTCCTTCAGTGGGAAGGTATGCTCCAAGGAATTTGTTACTAATAATTGTTAAACTATCCATATTTGTGAATAATTTAAAAATGAAAGAGAGTAGTAATCAATATAACTCTCAATCATTTGTCTTCAGATACGCTTTTTAGATTGAGAGAGAAAGGGGTGAGCTTAACCATGAGCTTATAGGGATCCAGGCATGACTGTGAAGCTGTATCCTGCCTCATTCTTTTTTTGTTGTTGTGGTTTTGAGACGGAGTCTTGCTCCGTTGCCCAGGCTGAAGGCTGGAGTGCAGTGGCACAATCTTGGCTCACTGCAACCTTTGCCTCTCGAGTTCAAGTGATTTTCCCGCCTCAGCCTCCCTAGTAGCTGGGACCACAGGCGTGCACCACCACGCCCAGCTAATTTTTGTATTTTTAGCAGAGACGGGGTTTCACCATGTTGGCCAGGCTGGTCTCGAACTCCTGACCTCAGGTGAACTGCCCACCTCAGCCTCACAAAGTGCTGGAATTACAGTCGTGAGCCACCGCACCCAGCCAACATCATCCTTTCCATGTCACAGCTGAGAAATAATTTTAAAAAATTGACACCAGAGCTCTAAGAAAGCTGCACTGTTTCTTGGAGACATTGAAACACCATTCTCTAAGAATCATAAACAGGCCCTAATGGTGTGGGGTGAAGGAACACAAGGTCCCAACGTGATGCCTTCCAAAGAGCCTGGAAGAACCCAATGCTTTGTGCTGCCTGAGTTCAGATGCTAGAAGACAAGTCCTTTGAAGAAACTCCCTAATTCTCTTCAGAGACTCTGGTTTTAAAAATCCCTCATGTCCAGCGCGGTGGCTCACACCTGTAATCCCAGCACTTTGGGAGGCCGAGGCGGGTGGATCACGAGGTCAGGAGATCGAGACCATCCTGGCTAACATGGTGAAACCCTGTCTCTACTAAAAATACAAAAAATTAGCCGGGCATGGTGGCAGGCGCCTGTATTCCCAGCTACTCGGGAGGCTAAGGCAGAAGAATGGTGTGAACCTGGGAGGCAGAGCTTGCAGTGAGCGGAGATCACACCACTGCACTCCAGCCTGGGCGACAGAGCAAGACTCTGTCTCAAAAAAAAAAAAAAAAAAAAATTTCCTCATGACCACAGGGAGATGCAGCTGCCTCACCCTGTTCCTCATGGGTAATGTGGCCTGCAAACTCCCTGAGAAGTCACTGTGGGGTGTGTGGATGGCCCTCTTCTTCAACTTGTTCTGTTACATCGGAGCTTTCAGTGAAGCCTGGAATTGAAACAGCACTGATCCAACTCTCTTGGGATAGAAGAATTAAGGGCTGTGGCTATGATCAAAATGTGTCCTCATAAAAAATTCATGAAATAAAAAAGACACATATGGCCAAGCCAATTTTATAACTCAACACCTTAAAACAGAAATTAAATAAATCTAGGGTTACACCAGCACCAAACCTCCTGCTGGAAAGTTAAGTTCTTGCTGCACATTTGCCTTGGTCTTCTCTCAATTTCTTTGTTGTAAAAACTACATTTTTTGGCCCCATCAGAAGTTTAAGGGAGTCTCAGTGGGGCCAGCTGGGAGGAACCCCTGGGTCACACTGTCCAGGTGTGCCCGCCCTCCTCCCCATCCTCCCTCTTGCTGTTTGACTCACCCAGTGGCAGCTGCCATGATGCACCCACCATCAGCCGCACTGGCCGAGCAGCAATCTGCAGAATCATGGGTCATGCCAAAGTTGTGGCCCATCTCGTGGGCCATGGTGGCAGCCACGCCAATGGCATTCTCGGAGTGGTCCTGCTCAGAAGACAGAGTTGAGGTCAAGGTCAAGGGGACAGATCTGCCTCTGCCCCCCATCCCTGCCTTATCCTTAGCCAAGTCTTGCAGGTCTCCACCAATTCCACTGTCACTGAGCATACAGACTCTCCATATGTGCCTCTGACAGCAAGGCTGAATCTGCTGTCACTAGGAGGAAATCAAATGTTTAAAAGTCCATGTTTCCTGAGTTCTCAAAGGTTGCAGACCACAACTGACCTATGGATGAACTTCCAGACCAATAAATGCTTTCAGAATAAATAAAAGAGGAAGATTTTTCCCCATTCTTCTTCTGAACATATATATTTCTCCAGACATAAGGAAATCAACATAGAAAACACGACCTTGATTCAAACATAGGGTGTACTTGGCTTAGTGTTTCCTGAGAAAACCACACAAGACAGATACACTCCAGGCACAGCACTTGGTGTACTGTCTGATGATGCAAAAGCTAAAGAAATCAAGAGGAAAAAAACCCAGCAGGAAAGAAGCAGCAGAAAGAGATTTACTAAACATGGAAGTGTGTTTCCTGCATTATTTCATTTAATTCCCATTCCTATCCTATGATTATCAACTGTAAAACTATGCGTTTTTTACAGCTGAGAACACTCATTAACTCACCCAAAATCACACAGCTGTTCTTTGAACCCAACAGGCTCAGACCCTAGAGCCTGTGGTTTTGGCCATTATGCTACTTTGTCGATAAATACAGAATGGATAGAGGGACAGACAAATAGATGAAGACAAGTCTTCCTTGATATGCACTTCACAGGTTAGAAATGAAGAGTCAAAACAAATAGTCTCATGAAGTCAGAGTGAATTTCAAAAGAAGGCAGTAATTTCCTAACCATGACTTTGAGACAGGTTCTTGTTTCTTAATGACATATATAACAGCACACGACCTGAAATAAAAATACTTTTAACCTCTACTCTCTTACTATTTTCCAGCCCCTGGTTTGGAACATATGAGATCTAGTGATGTATGCATGTAATCTCTTCAGGGTTCCTGAGCTTGAAGATACGGAATGAACTATAATAAATGAAAATTCACCCTTCAGTACCTCCATCTCTTAGAACTTAATGACTTCATTTTAAACAATTGCCCTTCCTGATGTCAAAGCTTTTTCTGCTACAATAATAAATATCAACTTATTATTCAAAAGATGACCTCTGGTCTTGAAAGGCAGCTCAGCGCCTTCTGCAGCGCACACACACGGGCTGAGACTCACCATGTTGACTCCTCCAGACTGGTACACAGAGCACATGGCCATGAGGGGGGCCAGGCCGATGGTGGTGCCGTGGAAGGACATGCCCCTGCAGGAGGCAAGGAGAGACGGTGACCGGGGACGAGACTAAGAGGGCTGTTCCAATGTGCCTGGGAGTAAGTGGCCATCACGGGGTTCCCTGGACCCGCTGACTTTCCCAGGTCATTCCCAAGGGGAGAGGCCCTTGTAACCAGGCCAACTGGACAACTTCCAGCTCACCACACCTCTCACTTCCTCTCACCTACTCCCTCATGACTCCAGAGGAACACAAAGAGAGAGAGAAAGGTCGTTTATCTCCCACAATATACCCATAGCTGATTCCTTGGAAGGAAATGGGCAGGGTTTGCAAAGCTGCATTGCATTCCTGCTGCACAGGAAAAGGTCAGAAGGAGAGGTTGATGGAAGGGTGGCACAGATTCTGATGCTGAAGTGAATCATGCCCACTTCCACCAGCTGCCGGGATCCAATACCTTACCCCTGGCTCTGTGGTGTGAGTCCCACAGGGTAGGGGTGGGGGCATCGGGGCAGCAGCTGTGGGGCCGATGATGCTTCATTCCCACATACTCAGGGGCCAAGGAAACAGCTGTGCCCCATCAGGAGCCTCACAAAGTGCAGTTGGATGCAAGAATGAGCTGTTTCTGCCTTTGTTTTGCAATGGGATCCTAATCTGCCAGCAGCAAGCTTCATTTTCCCCAGTTGAATACATCCCTCTTTCAGTTATATACATCCAGGGTAGAGGAGAAGAAAAAAAAAACTACCAGTGTTTCTGTGCATGCCACAAACATGTAATGTATTTAAAGAACCTATATGGAAATTCATTATGTGGTACTTATCTCCACGTTTGTCTTCTCATCTAGACCATGATATCTTTGACAGCAAGACTATCTTAACTATTTTGGGATCGTAGAACCTAGCACAGAATCTCACACATAGTGGGTATACAATAAATGTTTGCTGAATTACAGGCAGACTTATCTTCAGAGAAACAATCTGCAAAGAAATATGCAAAATCTATGCAAATTGATATGAAGTCCTACTAGTTATTTTCTACATGTTCCAAAGTTCAGGCCAAAAGTTCTAATAGCCAAAGACTCTTCCTAGGCAAATGTAGTAACTATTTACAGCCCAGGTTTTGGGGACAGTTATTTTTCCCAGTTTCTTTAAAAGGATAAGCCAAAGTTTAAATGATTATTAACTCAGCTATATTTAGGGAACAGAAGAAAAATGGTTTGAAGGCCAGGCATGTGTGGCTCACGCCTATAATCCCAGCATTTTGGGAGGCCGAGGCGGGCGGATCACTTGAGGCCAGGAGTTCAAGACCAGCTTGGCCAACATGGCAAAATCCTGTCTCTATTAAAAATACAAAAATTGGCCGGGCATGGTGGTGCATGCCTGCTACTTGGGAGGCTGAGGCACTAGAATTGCTTGAGCCCAGGAGGCAGAGGTTGCAGTGAGCCGAGATCACGCTACTGCACTCCAGCCTAGGTGACAGACGGAAACTGTCTCAAAAAAGAAAAAAAAAAAAGAAAAGAAGACAAATGGTTTTATTATCTATATGCCTTTTGTTGTAACTGCCTCAAAATACCTTCAGAAGTCAACACTAATAAATACCAAATAATCACCCTGGGGCACTGTCACATGTGACCCCCATCACTGTCTCTCCCAGGCTGATGAAAATCTAGCACAATCCCTCCTCAATGTCTCCCTCCAACCAAACCCTCAGTTCCTGCACTGTCTAACACTTGGACTCTCTCAAGCACTCAGCCTTGTGCCCCTTGGGAACCAAGTGAAGGACAACACAAGGAGCCCGCTCTCCTGTGCCTGTGTTGGGAGATCAGCTCATGTATTAGAACAAAGCGCCAGGAAGATTGAGATGAGTCTCTTAGAAAGTCTAAGACCTGACCAACAGTCAGTCCCTTCCCAAATACATACACAATTATTTCAGATGCTCAATGGAATATGTGTAAGTCTAATTTTCCCATTAGACTGTAAACATTTCTTAGGAATAATGTGACTCAGGCTTTTAAACATTTTCTGGGGTATGCTGGGTACAGAGCGCATGTTTAGGAAATGCCTGATTCTCTGGACCAGGGAGTCAGAATGGCCTTGTACAACCAACACTCGCCATGGGGCAAACTCTGAGCATGTGCTGGGTGGGCAGAGGCTTTGCAGCCAAGGACAACACAACATATGGAAAAAGGCTATTTACGTGATTAATTGGGCGTTGTCATGGTACTTCTGGGCAAGCAGCTTGCGCCTCCAACTGAGAAAGGACCAGAGGGTAGAATATGGATTCTCTGAAACTTCACACATGTTCCCGTGGGTCCACACTTCCAAGCCCACGAGAGCAATCCGGATGTTCAAGGATCGGTAAAACTGAAAGGACACAGAAAAACCACAGTATCTGTCAATACCACCTGGGATTTAAAAGCCCCTTCCTTTCATTCTGGTGGAGCTTGAGATTAAAAAGAAAAAAACTAAAACTAAAAAATAAAAATAAATTTAAAAAAAAAGCTCCTTCCTAGCCTAAGAACTCAGAGCACAGATACCAGATTTCTCTTCTGCCCATGGCTCCAACAGAAGGAGGCAACTGGTGTTACTGACATTTTTTAGAAAGGGAAAATGAGATCCTGAGAGAGAGCAGGACATTCTGGTGGCAGAACTGCAGTGACTTTGTTTAGAGATGACTGAGATAGGACATAAAATTGCTTTCAGATATGAATAGGTCTATCATGTGGAAAAAGTTGTTCTGCATGATGTTCAAGTAGGGCTTAGGTCAATAGGTAAAACAGACAGGAACATAAATTTCATTTTAAAATAGGAAGAAGGCTTTCAAACAAAGCTGGTCATGAGATAGCTCAGAGCTGAGCTTTGCTGTCTTCTGTAATCAGTGCCCTTGGCCAGGCTGTCTGGTACAATTTTTTTCTCCCAATTCCTTATGTGAGCCTTATCTTTCTTATGGGTATCTAAAAAGTTCTCTTGTATATAGATTTTTTAAAGCCACTTCATTGAGGTATAATTTGCATACCATAATACCCATCTATTTTAAGTGTACAGCTCAATGCTTTTTGGTAAATTTACCAAGTTTTAAAGCCATCACCAGCCAAGCGTGGTGGCTCACACCTGTAATCCCAGCACTCTGGGAGGCTAAGGTGGATGGATCACATGAGGTCGGGAGTTCGAGACCAGCCTGACCAACATGGAGAAACCCCATCTCTACTAAAAATACAAAATTAGCTGGGCGTGGTGGCGCATGCCTGTAATCCCAGCTACTCAGGAGGCTGAGGCAGGAGAATCACTTGAACCCGGGAGGCAGGGGTTGCGGTGAGCCAAGATTGTGCCATTGCACTCCAGCCTGGGCCACGGGCGAAACTCCGTCTCAAAAAAAAATAAAAATAAAATAAAGCCATCGCCATCATCCAGTGTTAGAATATTTTCATCACATCGGTGAGATCCCTCATGTCTATTGATAGTCATTTCCCATTCTCACCCTCAGCCCAGGCAACCGTGCATCTACTTTGTTTCTATTCTGCCTTTTCTGGACATTTGTTTTACAATATGTGGTTTTGTGTGTCTGGCTTCTCTCACTTACCATAATGTTTTTGAGATGTATCCATGTGTTAGAGTGTATTCGTTTATGATTTCTCTTTATTGCTGAATAATATTCTTTCGTATGGATATACCAAATTATATTAATACATGGATATTTTATTATAAAATGTCTCCCACTCATTTTGGAAGTAAATGAGTATAAATGACATAAAAGTGCACAGATATGCTTACTCTTCAAATTTTCTTCCCCATCCCTGGATAGTCTCAGGTTTTGTCAAGGATGGAATAAGCAGGTTGCAAGCAATAGACTACAGACGTTCTTGGTAATCTTCAGGGTTTTGTCCAAACCAGAGATCCTGAAATTCTATACCCAAGATCTGACTCGACCTCCTCGAGGCTAGAGCTACATCTAATCTTTATGATCTGGCATTTTTCACCTCATACAAATATAAGCAGGAGGAGGGTTTTCTTTAAAGCTAAACCACTGGAAGGTGTGGATACAACGGGTTCTTTGATGGGTCCACCCTACAAATACTGAGCCAGTGACTTAATAAAAAGCCCCATGTATGGAGAGGACATAATGAGCAGGAGATACCATCTTTATCCAAAATTGGTAGGTACTGCCCCAGCTGAAAAGAATAATCATAGCACCAACATTTTTCCACCACTTTTTACGTACTAGGCACTGAGGCTTAGAGAAGTTAAGGAACTTGCCCAAAGTCTCAGCAAGAAGATGGTGGAGCCAGGATGAAGGCCCAAATTACAACCTCAGAGCCTATTTGTGACCCTTTACTACTTCAGTGCTGCAGTACCTACACATCCAGATAATCCACTCGCTCCAAGAAACGCTGGTCAAGATGGGCTCCAGATTCAGTGAAATATCAGTTTATTTCAACAGAAATTTTGATTTTTCTGTTTTGTGCCAGTTCAATCGTTACAGAAAATAAAAGGTTCAGATTCCAATTTGAATTTGCTTTACTAGGGAGCTTTTGAAGGAAGTAAACTTGGCTTTTTTTCACAGTTACAGAAAAACATTTTGGATTGGGTTCATGACTCAGCACGAGTCCAATTCATTCCAGTTTTAGTTCAACAATAGTTCAGTTCAAGTAGCTAGGTCAGCAAGCTCCAGAGAAGTGGGCGTGGCTTCCCTTACCCGCCAGGAGTGACTAACACCAGCCGCGAGGAGAGAGCCAAGACGGCTGCACAGGATGCATGGGCCACCCAGGCTTAGGGCTTTCAGTAAGGACTGGGGCTTGCTGGTGCCTCTCTTCTCCCTTCACTTGTCACCAGCGCCCTTGGTTCCATCACATACCCCACAGAGGGGATACCCAGCCAAGTCCGAACCTGCCAGGTCTCCAAACAATAGATGTCACATGGGGGAAAGCAGAGTCAGCCTCCCATATTCTCCCCAGGGAAACAAGCTTCCCTTGTTTTCCCAGATGTCAAATGTTTGGGTTGTAGGATTATTTAAATGTTATTCTTGAGTGAGTCAGGAGCTAGAGGGAGGACTGGACTGTGTCCCTAGAGTCTGTCCTTCCAGGAAATGCCAGTGTTTGACTTTCACCTGTCACTGACCACTGACCTTTGTTTCCAGAGCCATCTAGGGCAGAAAAAAACCATGGGCATGGAAACTGCCATCTGATGACTTCAGAACTAATACATTTGCCTATTAATCCCTAAAACATATTTTAAGTGATCTCCTATATTCTCTAGTGTTTAGGAAAAAATGATTTTCCCTTTAGACCTGGAATTCATGAATCCCTAGCAGGCCCAAAGTTAAGCTTCATCAATGTTATGAGTATTCTAAAATTGTGCAATAAACGTTACCAGATTCTCAAAGAGACTTTTGATCCCAAACACATGAAAAACTACTTTTAAAAACTATATACTACTAGCCTACCAAGAGGCTACTGTCATTCTAGGTTACCTATTCTGCATTTTGTACTATAACAAATATCTTCTTTCATATACACAATGTACTTCCAAGTCCCAGACCAGCCCGTTCTAGTAAAATTCAAAAATGTAGGTATTTCCGAAGAGCATCTTGTAAAAGGTCCTGACCTAGGAAAGTTAACCACTGCACATCCTTCCTAAGAGACAAGACATAATTTTAGGATAACTTTACAGATGGAGACTTTATAGATTAGCCCCAAGCAACCCACTTCTCAGACAATCCGCTTCTCAAGCAACCCACTTCTCAAACAGCCCACTTCTCAACTTTTAAGGCTGTGTGTCTTTCCCACCCTGACCTACCTCAATTCCCTCCTAAGTCAGAGAATCCCTGGGCTTTGTATCTGGAAGGAACCTTAAAGAACCTTAAAGGATTCTTAAACTGGGCTCTTCCATGCCCCAAGCTGCTCGGGAGCCACTGCAGGGGTAAGAGGAAGGGGTCAGAAGGACAGTGTTCTGGGTCCTCACCCCAGCTCCCACTTAGAGCAGTCTGTTTTCATCTAACTTTTATAGTAGATATTGGCATAAGATTTCATTTTTTAAAATTCCACCAGGAAAATAAAAATAACAAAAAAAAACCACACATTGATTTACGACAGCCTTTCTATTTATAAGCTGAAAACAGAACAAAAGAAAAAAAAATGCAACACAAAGAAAATGAGTTACTTGCCTAAGGGTACGTAGTTCAGGGCTCTGTCATGACCGCCCTGGGCCTCTATGGCACTGCTCATTCCCTTTCAGAAGATGGCTGGGGCAGCCAATCCAGCAGAAGGCAGCTCCAGTGCCCTTGGAAGTGCTGGCACCTGGCACCTTTCCCACAAAGTACACACCTGGTCTCACCTTATCAACATAGTTGGCGATCTCTATGAGCTTGTGTTTGGTGGCGTCCTGGTCTCGTCGATTCTTCTGAAACTAAATGGGACAAGCAGAACCATGTGAGATCCCAGAACCTCTCACAGGATGCTTCCTGCGCCCCATTACTTGTCTTTGAATTTGCTCTTATTTTCTTCTGTCTTCTATGAGCCATCATTTTTATGCAATTGTCTTCCCCACCACAGTAAGAGCTTTGGAGGGTAGGACCTGTCAACATCCATCTTCATATCCACAGCTACTAGCTCAGCGCAGCACACACAGTAGGCATGCAATAATTATGCACGGAGTAGAATTGCCTTCCTCTAACCCTTGAAGCACATCTTATTCTCCTGTCCTTCGAATTACATGGCCTCTGGCAAACTCCCACTGGGGCTTAGGAGGACTGATCCAATCCTCACCGTGGTCATCACCCCAACATGAAGCCACCATTACACAGATCTCACGAGGCTTCCCTACATGTGGTCAATCAACAATCATCGAATTGCTGCTGAATGCCTGCTATGGGCAAGGCATTGTGCTTAGCACTATGTAGGACACAAAGAAGTGTGAGATCTTGGTTCTAGCCTAGAGGAGCTTCAATTAAAACAGAGAGGGCCAGAAATAACTGTGGCAGATGCTGAGTGACAGACCCTGTACTTAAGGAGTATAGAACTGAAATGGTTGAGAAAACCTGCCGGGAAAACGTGCACAGAAATAACCACAGTGGGAGGTCATGTGAATGACATGAGTGCCAACGAGGAGGACCATAAGACACTGGCAAATAGGCTTCATCTTGCACACCACTCAGATCCACTGGCAGTGCCTTCTACAGTGAGAAGAATGAGAAGAATTATGAGACTGCATCGATTCAATCACATTTCTTTCTTTTTTTTTTTTTTTTGAGACAGAGTCTCGCTCTTGTTGCCCAGGCTGGAGTGCAGTGGCGTGATCTCGGCTTACAACCTCCGCCTCCCGGGTTCAAGCGATTCTCCTGCCTCAGCCTCCTGAGTAGCTGGGATTACAGGTGCTCGCCACCATGGCCAGCTAATTTTTGTATTTTTAGTAATGATGGGGTTTCACCATGTTGGTCAGGCTTGTCTCAAACTCCTGACCTCAAGTGATCCATCTGCCTTGGCCTCCCAAAGTGCTGGGATTACAGGCGTGAGCCACTGCGCCTGGCCGTAATCAGACATTTCTAACCAAGCACAGGAAAGAAAGCTGTGTTCCATTAGAAATATCTGCCATGGGTACCAGAAAGAGGACATTTTAGTATGAATACCTCCTATTTACCATTCCTGCCTCAAAAAGATAGATCTCTCTGAGCTGCAATGATGAAGGAAAGCTTCACAGTGTAAAGAGAAAACCTGCTACAACTGCAAATTACATTTAAAAATGATGGGCATGTCCTGTACACTGCCATTGTTACACAGAATCTGGGTCCTCTCTAATTTATCTTAGGTACCCACTATACATGTTATTTTGATTCAAAATCTTCACGTCCTTCCTCCACCCCATCCCATGAGAATATCTAAGCAAGAAAGAACAAGAACAGCCAAGTAAAACAACCTGGGGTATTTGTTTGGCCAGAGGTGTGTACCAGCCCTGATACAGGGAAGAAATCCACCATTTCCCTTTCACCACAGCTTGTGGACATTCTTAGGCTTCCTTAAAACTGCCACTCACCAGAAGAGAATCTGTTACCACTGCTTTCTAGAGTTAGATTCAGTGTGACACTGTAACTTAGACCTTTCCAAGGTGTTAATCCAGGAGTTTCTCATTATAGAGGCCTCCTGTTTCTAAATTGGTCTCTCGGCACAGACAGCGTTGCAGCATTTCCATTCATTTAGTAATATTTATTAGAACATCAGGGCCAGATTTCATTGTCTTTCAAAAAAATATTAATCTTCTCTTCAAAGAACTGCCCAATGAGACCACCATAATTTAAGGAGCGAATTCTGTTGTCCAGAGTATTCTGAAGCAGGAGTCAGCAAATCTTTTCTGCAAAGGCCGGATTAGGCTTTGCGGCCCCATAGTCTCTGCTACAACTCTTCAACTGTGCAGTGGTGGCTCAGAATAATACAGACACCTGTATATATAATACAGAAGCCTGGATAATACAGAAACCAATGGGCCTGGCTGTGTTCCAGTAAAATTTTGTTTGCAAAAACACAGGATAGGCTGGATGTGACCATGGGGTATAGTTTGCAGACCCCTGATGTAAAGAAAGGACTGTCTCAAACTTACATTTTCTAGGGTGACACAGTGAGTACCACATGCAGCACCATCCTTTCCCAGCCACTCTGCACTGTGCCAGCATCATGGAAGTCCTTTACAGGCCTGTGTTTACAGTTATCCTGTCTACTCCTACAACAGCCCACCTTACTCTTTATCCCCACCTGGATTCCGTTCCACCTGGGGAATGAATAAACTGAGAACCACCCTAGAAGCTCCCACCTAGGCCCAGGGAGCGAGGAGCTGCCTGCTCATTTTTACTGCTGACAACTCTCTCTCTAGGCAGCAGCAGGGTCTTGCTCTCCCTATCTGTGTCTCCACTTTCTGCTCTGCATTCAGAGCCCCAAGGCTCTGTCTCTGCAGCAGGTTATAAATCATGGTAAAGCAGCCCTCCCCTTTCCTGCCTTCCCATCCTCTCAGATTAATTAATTAATTGTCAAGAATATATTTCTGTCTGCAGAGGATGGAGACAGGTGGAGAGGGGATGATTCGTGAGCCTGTGAACCCAGCCTGGCCTGTTACACACCCCCACCCCAGTCCCTCAAATGAATCATTCAAAGCCTTCAGCGGAGGGGTGTCCAGGACTGAGAAATGAGCACGTTCCCTTATCCACCACAGCTGCATGAATCACAGCCCTGTTGGGAACCCAGGGCTGTTGCTGAGACACTCTCCTTTGTAAGAGAAAGATGGCTCTAGCTGACACCAGAGTCCTGGAGGCACCTTGAGTGGACACTTTTTCTCTGGAGGTGTGCTGTGACTCTGGAGGTCAGGAGATAGAAGATGCCTAATCCCTGCCTCCCACCATGCTTCCCACTTCTCCAGCTGCTGGAGATTCACACCCAGTGGGTTTGAAAGCCTGCACAGAGATTCCTCTGAGAACAATGCAAGGCCAAAGGGGAGAAACACCCCACCTTTAAACAGAGCAGCTGGGCTCTATATGCTTAACTACTGGGGTTCCCAGGAACTTCCATGTAACCAAAGGATTCTGTAGCTGAAAAAAATGACTCAAGACCATTGTATCAGATGATCACAGATGCAGAACTTAAGTGGAAAAATGTCCCAGAGTCAGAGGAGCTCAGTTTTCTTCCACCAGTCCTCCCACTACGGGCAGTCAGGCAGGGCAGGCCAGAGTCAGTTATCTCCTCCCACGACTATGGAGCCTCAGCTGGCTTTTAAACCAGCTTTGGATTTTGCTCCCCACACTATTCCCCCATCCTATAGACACACTAGTCTTTGGAGAGGAAACAGAAAACATAGAACACACACACACACACACACACACACAAACAGCTGTTGGAAAAACCAATATCAACATCAGTTAAAATAAATCTAAACGCTTTTCAAAGCAGAGCACAATGTTCCCTCGGCCCGGAATGCCCTTCACCTCCACTCCTCTGCCCAGTTAACTCCTCCTTGTCTTTTAAGACAGCTTCAAGGGCCACCTCCTTCTGCTGCTAACATCCAGTGACTAACACTCAAAGACCTTCTGGCCTGCAGCCTAGTGCTCTCCCCACCACCAGGCCCTGCTGCCAGGACACATGCTTTGGAAATGTGACTAGGTACAGCTGCCTTAGAATGAGCTCTTTGGGAAGATGGTAGCTAAACTATGTGGATGGGATACAGACAGACTGGAGTTGTGATGGGCTCTATCCTCAGGAGAGACCAAGGCCAGTGTCTGCCCTGCTCGAACACAGCGAGCGCTCAGCTCATAATGACATCCAATGCACAGAAGATGCACTTAGTACTTATATGATGGAGTCACTAAACAAAGTGAGAATTGGAGGTAACAGCTGGCTAATTTAGGCAAATATGGGCTCTGGGGCCTAAACTCACTCTTTAGGTGTCTGCTTCAATGTCAGGGAAGCTTTCCCTAATTCCCAAAACCATGTTGAATCCCCCATTATCTGCACTTTCATCCCTCCTAATGGTCCATCTTAGTGCTTATCACACTTTGGACCTACAGGTTTGTGTGCTGTTACTGCAAACTCTGCGATGCCTGGGGAGGGTCTGTCTTCTTGAGATCTATATATCCAGGTGCTTGGCACATAATAGAAAATCAAGAGATCACTGATGAATAAATGAAATACATGATGAGCCAGGTGAGGGTTCCTCAAATTCTTAGAACCTGTCTGATTTGAGGAACATGGAGTTAAAGGCTGAACTGCTATGCCTTTAGGTCAGTGGTTCTCAAACTTGACTGTGCAACCCAATCGCCCAGAGGTCTTGTTAAAACATGGATTTCTGGACCCCACCCTGACAGTCTGGGATTCAGGAGGTCGGGGGCAGGGCCCGAGAATTTGCATCTTACACAAGGGTGCTGCTGATGCTGGTGCTCTGGGGACCACATTTTGGGGACCATGGCTTTAGGTCATCATTTGGCATCAACATGATTATAAAAATGGACCCACACATGGGCAAGAATACAGTTTTCAGTCGGATGACTGGGAATATATTTATCATCTTTGCAAAAAAAAAAGTTTTAGAATTTCCATAGACAATTCCGGGTTCCTCAGAATAAACACCAGAATCTAAAGGTCTTCAGACCCAGTACAAGAAATGTTAATCAGACAACTGTCTTGATTTTCTATGTGACTGATGTAACAAGCCAGGAGAGGCTTAGCTGTGTGTGGAGGTGGGGGAGGAAGGGGCGGGGGGAGTTGGGGGAGTTCCCCCCAACTATGTTTAAAATGGCAAAATGAGCCTTTGGTCAGATTTTTTTTCTTTGAGACGGAGTTTCGCTCTTGTTGCTCAGGCTGGAGTGCAGTGGCATGATCTCAGCTCACTGCAACCTCCGCCTCCCAGGTTCAGGAAATGCTACTGCCACAGCCTCCCAAGTAGCTGGGATTACAGGCATGTGCCACCATGCCCAGCTAATTTTGTATTTTTAGTAGAGATGGGGTTTCACCATGTTGGCCAGGCTGGTCTCAAACTCCTGACCTCAGGTGATCCACCCGCCTTGCCCACCCAAAGTGCTGGGATTACAGGCGTGAGCCGCCGCGCCCAGCCTTTGGTGAGATTTAAGGTCAAAATCATAGATGAACTGGAGAAAGATGAATGGGCAACATTTCCCCAAAGCAGTCTGGAGCCTGGAATGGAAGCTATCAAGAGAGCAGTTTTTCTGCAAGACCCATTGCCTCCCCCTTACCTCTAAATAATCAGCCACGAGGTAAAGCTCCACATACTTCATGGAGTTTAAATCTTCCCTTTTCATCTAAGAAAGAGAAACAGATCAGCGCTGTAGAAATAGTGGACTTGGCCTCATTTTTAAAAAACTGCTAAGAAACAGAGCTGCTGGATAAGCAGCAGCTACCTCCGTAATGATTTTGTCATTCGGCACTAGAGATGTTCTTGGCTGTGGTGGCCATCACTCATATAACACCTTCCACTGCCATTTGGTTATTGCTGGAGGCTGCTCTGGGACCCTGGATTCAGTCCTTTATTCTCAGAAAATACTGAGATGAGCTGATGAGCACAGGCAGGACAGAGGCCAGCATATGAGAGGGAGTGTGCTAACCACCACGTTCCCACAGAACCTCGAAACCTCGAAACACCATGCCATTTTCAGTATGAATCAATATGAGGACTGTGTGCATATGGTGTAGTGTCTACTCCAATAGGGAAAGCATACTTTTTTTCCCCACTTTTTAATTTTTATTTATTTTTCTGAGGCAGGGTCTCGCTCTGTCACCCAGGCTTCCGGGTTCAAGTGATTCCCGTGCCCCAGCCTCCCAAAGTAGTTGGGACTACAGGCACCCAGCCATCATGCCCAGCTAATTTTTGTACTTTTAGTAGAGATGGGGTTTCGCCATGTTGCCCAGGCTGGACTCAAACTCCTGGCCTCAAGCAATCTGCCTGCTTTAGCCTCCCAAAGTGCTGGGATTATAGGCATGAGCCATGGCGCCCAGCCTTCTTTTCACTTTTTAAGCTTTCTGAAGTCAGCATCTGAGTGTTTTAAAGGTAGTAGTGTTTTCCCCCAAAAGCAGTTATTCTATGATGAGGGTATTTCACACTCAACAATGACAGAATAAAAGAAAAACACTATTTCCTTTTTCTTAGGCATCACCTTCAATTTAGAAATACTCCTGGATTCAAAGTAAGCAACCTCAGAGGGGACAAGCCTGTCCCCAGGTTGATTTCTGCACTGAGAGCCTCAAAACTCACCCTGCGAGGTCGCTTCTTGGTCTGTTGTGTAAACTGAAGAGCCCAGTCCCTGGTGGTGGGCTTGGAGTGCTCGAACCCACAGTTTCCCGGGGGCGGCTTGAGATGTTCAGATCTGTAAATAAGGTGTTGGCCCTTGCTGTCAGGGAGGGGCTCGATGACGTAGCTGAGGTTGCTGCTCACCGTAATCAGTCCTCTGTTGAGAGGAGAAATAGAATCTCTGGTCAAAGATTATGGTTCTGAAAAAGTCCCTTGTGTAGGTCTTAGTTTCTCCATATGCAAAATGACATAGTGGGTTTTGATCATTGGTTCTTAACCTAATTATGGGGCCATGTACCCCTTCGTGAGACTCTGATGCAAGCTCACACTTCCTCTCTAGAGGAATGCACTTATACATAAAAAGTGGTGCATGAGCTCAGGGCACTTGGACCTCCACCCCAACCCCCACCCCACCCAACCACCACCACCAAGCTCATCGTGAGACTCCAGGTTAAAAGTCTCTGGACTGGGAAATCTCAAAAAGTTCTAAGAAGGCTGTACCTGTGACACTTAAAACTTATGAAGGATGGTAGGTCCAGGATTCCAAAAAGCCTCCCAAACCAAAACATGGCATATGACAAATCATGGGTCAAAACTTTAGAGACTCAGGAAAAGCAGTACAGTGGCCAGAGAAAGAACAGTGGCCTGCAAGTGAGGTGACCGAGGTTCTGGATTTAGCTCCAACATTCAATTGTCACATGCTCTTCAACAAGCATCTTAAATCTCTCCAAGCGTCAGTTTCCTCATCCCTAACACGGCAATGATAACTTATCAAGACTACTGGATGATTAAGTGGAAAGACAAGGGTCTTTGTGCTTGGAAACCAGAGCTAGATGCATCAGTGATGACACGCCTACTTGTCCCACCTGCCCCACGTCAGCACGGTAGTTATTTGGTGAAGTGACATCCACCACCAAGCATGAGGGACTACTTTTTTTCCTCCCTTGATTATAGATACTAGCACTGAACTCAGAATAAACTCATGTGTCCTAGACATAATCTAGACATAATCCTTGTCCTTGAGAAACTCACAGTCCTCTGGAAGACAGTCACAAACATTTACTGGGCTCCTGCTACGGGCCAGGTATCATGCCAGTTGCTGAGGACGGAATAGCGAACAAGACACACCAAGTGCCTACCCTTGTGAAGCGTTGAGTGTAAACATTGGAATAAGTCACTCTAATGTATAACAGAGAGAGCAAAAAGTTTCATCACCCCTTGGACTGGAGGCAGCTGCTTCAACTGTTACATCACCAAGGCTTCTGAGGGCTTTTCTAGCCTCAGCAAGAAAGAGGACCATGACTTATTATCAATTGCTATTGCTAATGATCAGTGAAGGCCCAGGCAGCAGATATCTGCCAACCTTGATACAATGAGATAAACATGATTGTAAAGGTATGTAATCAAGGCTTAGTGGGAGGAGGAAGCCCAGGAGTAAGCCCCATGGACTCTAGCAGCATTTTGTATGCTCTAAAACCTCAGGCAGGCTCTCATCCATGCAGAGAGCTCAGAACCTACAGCATCTCCAACCCAGTCTTTGCCACTGTAAATTGGCAGGACCTCTCTCTTAGCTTATCTCAGCTTCCACCTCCACCACAACCGCCACTTGGGATTCCTGCCCAGATTTTGCCCTTTGGGAAGAGCCTGTGATGCTCTCTGGAAAATCAGCGCCAGGCTCTGATGGGCAGCAGCCTTTCCCGGATCCCATCCCTGGCTGACCTCATTCCAGATCCAGGAAGCCTGATGACTTCCTGGTTGCCTCACCCAGTCTGACGCAGCAGTACCCAATCACCCCCTCTGACGGACATCTAAGGTACTCCCTGAACATCTGGGGGTGGGAGCGTGGCAAGGAGCAAGGGTCGCATCCACTCCCTAATCCAGCCAGGAAAGGGCAGAGGAGAGAGCTGCTGCACGCATCCTGTTCCCAAGTTATCTTTTCATCTCAGCCAACCAAGGCCTCTCCCATCACCTCAGTTTCCCCTAACGGCTACACACTTTGGGAACACAGAGGGCTTGACCACCAACCAGCTGATGGTTCTGTGTGCACCAGGTTGTGGTTGCCAAGATTACACCCAGTGAGTGGAAAGTTCCATAGAGGAATCAGGGAAAGTTCCAATGGAGGTTCACAAGGCGCAACTGATCTGGCATCACTTGAACAAGCCTGTGAGCTAAACAGGACAGAGACCAAGCCATAGTGTGGTGCACAATAAATAAGAATCCTCATAGTGGCTGCAGATTATAGAGCCTTTGCTATGGACTTGGCACTGTGCTAAGTGAGCATTTTATTCTTCCCACCACCTTCCTAGGATCCTTACAAATATTGTCCCCAACGTACAAATGGGAAAACAAAGGCTCAGCAAGGTTAATTAACCCAAAGTCACACAAACAGTAAGAGTAAGAGTAGGGATTTGTTTTTTGTTTTTGTTTCATCAACTTTTAAGTTCCAGGGTACATGTGCAGGATGGGCAGGTTTGTTACACAGGTAAACATGTGCCATGGTGATTTGCTGCACAGATCAGCCTATCACCTAGGTATTAAAGGAGTCGGGATTTGAATGGAAGCATTCTAGTTCCAAGTCCCACAACCTTACCCTGACCTTCCACTGCCTCAATCATGATAGTCCTGTAGAGGCTGGGCGCTGTGGCTCACACCTGTAATCCCAGCACTTTGGGAGGCCAAGGCGGGTGGATTTCCTGAGCTTAGGAGTTGGAGACCAGCCTGGGCAATATGGTAAAATCCTGTCTCTACTAAAAATACAAAAATTAGCCAGGCGTACTGGCGGGTGCCTGTAATCCCAGCTACTCAGGAGGCTGAGGCAGGAGAATTGCTTGAACCTGGGAGGCGGAGGTTGCAGTGAGCTGAGATCGCACCACTGCACTCCAGCCTGGGCGACAGAGCAAGACTCCATCTCCAAAAGAAAAAAAAATACCCTGTAGAGTGAATTAGAAAGATACCACCAGTCTACAGATGGCTCCAGTGATGGTGCCAGCAGCTCTCTTCTTAGGGGTGATTGGCCTCACCTCAGTTTCCTAAGAGAAAAGATGAAGGAGGTATGCAGCCTACTTTTCACCTTCAGATGCCATTGATTGAGCTAACTGGATGCCAGGCACTGTGTTTACAAATGTTATTCTTATTTCATTCCCACATCATCATTATAAGGAGGCACCCTCATGAGTCCCACTTTATAGATGAAGAAACTGTGGCTCAGAGACATTAAATAACAAGCTCTCATGGTTAAGGGCAGTGTGGGCTCCAGGCATGGGGACTAGGTAATCTGAAGTCAAAGATTTAAGGTCCACAGACTCTGGACCCCATCCCCTTAGCCTCTGTGCTTTCTGCCTCCATCAGTGAGTTCCAAGCCTAAGTGTCAGAGATCTCTAGGAGCAGAGGTCTCAGGGATATCTATTAGAATATTCTACAGTGTATTGAAAACATAGGTATCCAGGTCTGCTGTGGATATGGTTTATTTGTCCCCACCAAGTCTCACGGTAGAATGTGGTCCCATTGTTGGAGGTGGGCCTGGTAGGAGGTGTTAGGGTCATGGGGTGGATCCCTCATGAATGGCTTGGTGCATCCTGGTGGTAATGAGAGAGTTTTTACTCAGCAAATTCCCATGAGAGTTTCCTCAAGAGCTGGTTATTAAAAAGAGCCTGGCACCTCCTCCCTTTCTCTCTCACTTTCTCTCTCACCACTTGATCTCTGCACACACAGGCTCCCCTTCACCTTCTGCCATGAGTGGAAGCAGCCTGAGGCCCTCACCAGAAGCAGATGCTGGTGTCATGCTTCTTGTATGGCTCGCAGAACTGTAAGCCAAAATAAACCTCTTTTCTTTATAAATTACCCAGCCTTACGTATTCCTTTATAGCAACACAAATGGACTAATACAGGGCCCAACCTAAAAAACGCAGAGCTGCAGGCCTGAGTAATTCCCTGCCTAGCCACACTCAGGAACTTTGGCCTACAGACCACCCTCTGTAGCAGGCACCTGCTTTTCACCAGGCCCATAGTAATTCTGATTCAGGGAGTGGGCAGATTACAATTTGAGAGAAACAGAGGCTCAGAAGGACCCTGAAGGTCGTTCCAGCAATAGGATTCTGTGGCCACTTCCCTCCCTTCCTCCAACTGCTGTTCCTGGTTATTTGCCCATGTCACGACTGCAATCCTCTCAGACGGCCTGGGGATGGAGGAGAGGCTGGCACAAGCCCCAGCACTGTCAGTGGACTGCAGCTTTGTTGCTGGGGGAATGTCTGAGAATGTGGTTCCAGGGGCTGTCCCCGCCCTCAACCCTAATTCCTTTAGCTGCCCTCTTCCAAGCACCACCAGTTGTTTATCCTTCTAGGAGCCTTGGTTGATCTAATTTGCTGAATGTTAGCCCTGGCAAAGGCAGAACTCAGCCAGAAGGCATGAGCTGGGGCCCAGGAGGCTGGGTGGCCAGCCTCACATGCCATTCTCCATTCTGTTCTCCATCCTATTGCTCATCGTTAAGAGATGGATACAAATGAAATTGTATAGGAAAACCCGGGCAGGCCAGGCCAGGCAGGCACCAAGCAATTCATGCCTAACCCCTGCATAACTGAAGGATTCACCAAATGCATTCTTCAAGGAACTAGGCCAACAACTGCTTCCTGGGGACTTGTCCATTCAGAGCTAAACCAAAGGGGACACATTCTACATCCCTATACCCAGAGGTGCCCTAAAAAGTAACTACCCTGCTACCCTTCTTTCCTCTCCCCTTCTCTGCAAATTATATCCATCCAAAAGGAGTTACAGGGAACTCCAAAGCCTGCAAAAAAGAGAAGAGAAGGCTTGTAGGTCATGTACTTTCTCAAGGACAGGGTGCCCCCATATAGCACCTGGATTCAAACTCTGGCTGTGCTGTCTCCTAGCTGTGTGGTAAGTGATGTAATAACACTGCCCATCTCACAGAGTTGCTGTGATAATGGACTGAATAGGCAATATTTACTAATAACCAAAGCAGCATTTTAAAAGAACAGCTAACGGTCATTGATTGTGTATTATACATCAAGCAAAGCGCAAAGTGTTTTATTCGATAGCCATTCTACACATCTGTACTGAGAACCCAGTGTGTGACAGGAACTGTTCTCAGCTCGGGAAATAGCATGATCAAAGCAAAGTCCCTGCTGTCAAGGAGTTTGCACTCCTCACCTATTGTAAATCCACCAGTGATGTCAATATTGTTATTCCCATTTTATGGATGAGACAACTGAGACTTGAGAACTTAAGTAGCTTGGCAGGGTTTAAACCAGGAAGTGTCTGGCTCCAGAATCTAAATTCATCACAACTTAATAACACTGTCCTCTGAGGGCTTAATCTGTGCAATGCCTGACACGGAGGTAGCATTTATGATCCATTCTGCAGAAGGAAGGCAAGGAATTCAAAGGTGGAAAGGACTTGCCACTTCTTCTCCAGGGCTGGCTGTGTGTATATGAGCCACCTCCTTCTGCCCCAGGCTCCCACCTCCCTGAGACTCTGCCCAACCTCTCTGCATCCCAGGACTTCCAACACAGAAGGAAGCTTTTAATGGTCTGGTCTACTCTTGTTTTACAGAAAAGAGGAAAGCCCACCCAAAAAAGAACTTGCCCAAGCTCACCTAGCCAGTTAATGTGAGAGCCGGGGCTAATCCCAGCTCTCCTAATGTTCAGGTTCATGACTCTGGGGTATGCCCCTGACCTCACCCCCACTGACCACCCACCCCACTCCCAGGACTTAGCCACCTTTTGGATAGAGTAGGGGCCTGTGGAGGGACCAGCCTGGCCACAGCAAAGACAAGGAAAAAATTTAATGGGGAGAGGAAAACACAGAGATCCACACAGCCAGGAAGTATGTAGCTAGATCTTAAACGTGGATCCCTTGACTTTACATTTTGAGCTTATTCCAGGCCATCATGCACACTTTCCTACACATTCTCCTGCATTCATTTTCAATCTCATGTTCTCCCTCTCTCCCTCTCTCACAGAATCTGAGTCCAGGGACCACGGTTAAGGTGTAATTACAGTGAGAGTGAGCCCTATGTTTTCGAAGGCAGGGCTGCTGTAATATAAGGGTGATCCATCAAATAGACCACTATGGATGATTTATTGCATACCTCTGAAAGACTTTCTATATAATGAAACGTGCCAGACATTAGTACAAACGATATTATGCAACCATTAAAAGAATGAGATAGATCTATGTATACCTAAAACATAATGCTTAAGTTGGAAAAAAAATACAAAACTGTATGCATAGGGTGATCTCATTTGGATTAAATATGTTCATATATACATATATATATATATACACACACACACACACACACACACACACAATTATGTATTTCAATAAAGGATACCTCCAACAGTAATTAAGGATACCTCCAACAGTAATAACAGATGGAGAATGGGATTGGTTGGAAGGGTAGGACAAGATAAACAACTTTCACTTTTTAAAGCTTACACATTCCTGCATGATTTGAACATTTAACACTAAACCTGTATAGTTATATAATGATAATTTTTAACAAAAAAAAATTTTTAAAAAAGTAAACAACTTACCAACCAGATACACTTCCTGCTGATAGACAGTGAGCTACAGACTCACACACAGAGTTTCCCAGAACACACAGGCTCAGTCAGAGACACCTTAACCCAGTATAGATATTTAGAGAATGTCTTAATCTGAGACAGGCTTGGGAGAATGAAACTTGACATCCCCAGTGAGATGGGATGCCACATCTTTTTATTGGTGTCATTTTTTTTTTTTTTGAGATGGGGTCTTGCTTTGTCGCCCAAGCTGGAGTGCAGTGGTGGGATCTCAGCTCACTGCAACCTCTGCCTCCCGGGTTCAAACGGTTCTCCTGCCTCAGCCTCCCAAATAGCTGGGACTACAGGCATGCAACACCACACATGGCTAATTTTTAAATTTTTAGTGGAAATGGAGTTTTGCCATGTCGGCCAGGTTGGTCTCGAACTCCTGACCTCAAGTGATCTGCCTGCCTCGGCCTCCCAAAGTGCTGGAATTACAGGCGTGAGCCACCGCGCCTGGCCTATTGGTGTCATTTATAAGTACCCATAGCTTCCAATCAATTCTCAAAGGGTCCAGGGGCCCAAATAAGATTACAGACATTATATTCCTATATTAGTCCGTTTTCACACTGCTATAAAGAACTACTTGAGACTGGGTAATTTATAAAGGAAAGAGGTTTAATTGACTCACAGTTCTGCATGGCTGGGAGGCCTCAGGAAACTTACAGTCATGGTGGATGGCAAAGGGAAAGCAAGCACCTTCTTCACAAGATGGCAGGAGAGAGGGAGCACAAGGGAAACTGACACTTTTTTTTGTTTGTTTGTTTTTTGAGACAGACTCTCACTCTGTCACCCAGGCTGGAGTGCAGTGATGCGATTTCAGCTCACTGCAAGCTCCGCCTCCCGGGTTCACGCCATTCTCCTGCCTCAGCCTCCCGAATAGCTGGGACTACAGGTGCCCACCACCACGCCTGACTAATTTTTTGTATTTCTAGTAGAGATGGGGTTTCACCGTGTTAGCCAGGATGGTCTCGATCTCCTGATCTTGTGATCTGCCTGCCTCGGCCTCCCAAAGTGCTGGGATTACAGGCGTAAGCCACCGCACCCGGCCAGAAACTGACACTTTTAAACCATCAGATCTTGTAAGAACTCCCTCACTATCACCAGAACAGCATGGGGAGACTGCTCCCATGATTCAATCACCTCCCACCAGGACCCTCCCTCAAAACATGGGGATTGCAATTCGAGATCAGATTTGGGTGGGGACACAGAGCCAAACCATATCAATTACATATCTACGTTCTTTTTTCACAAGGAATATTCCTAAAAGGATATACAAGAAACTAGTAACAACGGCTGTCTCTAGGAAGGGGGAAAATCTGGAAATCTGGGGTGAGAAAGAGATGTTATCTTTCATTGTACACTCTTTTGTACTTTTTGAATTTATTTTTACTAAGATAATACATGACTTCTTCAATTAAAGTAACCTAAAGAACTGCTTTGAAGAGAAGAGGGGGCCTAGCAACCACCTAGAAGCTCAGCTGAATTCCTCTTGGTATCATCAGCTTGAAGATCTCACTTGATAGAAATCCTACCTATTTCTCCAATCATGGGAGCATGTTTCCAGGAAAGAAGAACAATCACTATGGAGATTTTTCACTGCAGCAGTGCTTTATGAGCTTTGGGAGGCGCCTAGTGTTTTGACGACATGGGTTTGAATGTTGCTGCTGTTGCAGCTGCTCCTTCTCCAGGGTTCAAATGGAACCATCTGGCATGAGTCTCCAGCTCTTAAATCAGTCCACCCACAGCCTTGGTTTCTTAAGGCGTGTGTAGTGAGAAGGCTGGGAAAGTAAGGCAGGTGGACCTCACCAGACGGAAGCATGCAAAACAGAAACACACGGACAGCTCACCCGGTATCCCCCTCCCTTTCAGCACTGCTGCTGGAATGATTTACAAGACGCCAAGCCAAGTTCCCACTGCTCCAGACTGAGGGGATGGAGGAAGAGGCAGACAGAAGCAGGTCACACCTGCATGTTCTTTTTCCTCCTTCTTGGGACAAACTTTGTTTACTTGCAGACTGCAGGTGGCGGTGGCTGGGCTTGTAAATACCACTGCGAGGCCAGTTAGCTTGGCTCAATCAGGTCACTTAAGCAGAGGGGATTTGGGGCCACTCTGTTATTGCTTCCCATCCAAAGCCCATTTCCTGCCTGATTTCCTCCAGCCAACTCACCATGCAGCATTCAAACAAAGTCATGGCCCAATTTATAAACAGACACTTGGGACCTGCAGTGTGAGAAACCTTCCATTTGTATAGGAGCCTGCATAAGTCTTAGCATGGTTTCACCGACGTAAGAGGAGGAAAAACCCTTATGTTTAAAAGTACTATAATTACAGCAATAATCTCTACCATGCTTAATACTGATGTTCACTTTATTGACAAGGAAACTGAGGGCTCCAAAATTACAGTGCTGGTTTTCCCTCCACCTGTGTAGGGTATGGGCATTAGGAAGACACCCAATTTCTATTTGTGAATGAAAAATGCAATCATTGAATGAATGAAGCAATCAGTCAAGAGAGGAAGAACACACAATGGAGCCACCTCCTATCAGCTCACCAGAGCCAATCAAAGGCATATCTTCCCAATTCTGCCTTCAATAACATCACATCGGTAGCCTGAAATTGATCATGGTGGGATTATCTTTGTCAGCATATTGGCAGATGCTACAAATCAGGGCTTTTTCCTTTTTGTCATAGAGCCAGTTTACACTGGGCTGAAGTGTCTCACACTGAGCCTGTGTATTCTGGGAAACTGTAGCTCACTGTCTATCACTGCACAGAGGCACCACATAGTACAGACAATCAAAACCCAGGCAATTAGTATATGCAATGAGATACCAGGTTTTTTAGATCATCATCCTTCTTCAAAAAAAAAAAAAGAGGAGGGAGATTGAAAGTGGTCTACATAAATAAGACTTATTATGTCAACATACATGTGTAGATCCTACTGCAAGCAAGGCATTAAGGCAGGCTGGTGGAGAGAAATAGATATTTGAGATATACTTCATATTCTCAAGGAACACACATTCTCAGGTACAGACTGTAATGGGCACACAAATCACTTGGGAGTCTTGGTAAAATGCAGATTAAAATCCAGTAGGTCTGCGTGGAACCTGAGATGCTGCATTTCGAACAAGCTCCCAGGTAAAGTTGATGCTGCCCATCCATGGAACACACCTAGAGAAGCAAAGTCCTAGGAGTTCACTGCATGCTGACAGTGTGCCACTGCAAGTTCCTAGGTAAGATAGCTATTCACAAGCTGAATCCTCACAACTGCAGGCATATATTCTTTTTATCCACATTTTACAAATGAGACCACTGGGACCCAAGGTCACCCAGCTGGTAAACTGCTACCAGCTCAAAGCCAGGTAGTCTCACTCAGAGAAGGAAGGGTCACTCTCAAAAGCACATTCTGGTCAGAACTTTTCAGTTGATTTTCTGTCTTGAAAATTATCCTTGCCTTTCCTTTCACTTCCTACTCTCTGTTCATTAACCGTCCATTTCCTATTTCACCACCTCCAAGTACATCTCCCAGAGAAGAACTGAGGAGGTGTGGAACCAAATGCCCAAACTCATCCATCCCGAGCATATTAACCATGTGTCTTCTTTTTTATCTTCTGTTTCTTTGACATCTGGGTCTTACTGACCATAGAGGGACTGCCCCTTCCAGGATTAGCCAATTCCTAGAGATGGTCAACAATTTCCCAGCTACCTTGCCTTTCAAATGCAAGCCAACCAATCCAGAGTCCATACCCTAGCCATTTATTTTATGGGCACTCTCACCCTCTGGGCCACTATCCCCCTTCCCTAATCACCCCAGAACCAGGTATAGGACAACTAAGGACAGAGAGCCCATAAACCCCAGAGCCTGCTGAAATGATGCAAACTAGCCAATCCTAAACCTGCTTTCTCTGCCTCGCCCATTCCTTCCCGCAGAAACCACAAGAAGGGCGTCTGCTGACATTTCTCCAGACTCCCTCTGCCCGCTGACCAACCCCAGTGCCTCCCCGTGCCGCCCCCCATGGCACAGCCGGGCCCCTCCCTTTTCTGTGAGTATGACCATCTTTTCAATGGCAGTCATCTCCTGATTTTTTGGCCTTACCATACCTAAATAATAACAAAACCTATATTTTAAAACATCAAGTTCATCAGGAAAGTTAAATCCCAATGGATTTCTGGATTACCTAGGCTTTCCCTTGCCCATCCTCCCAGGCTCAGCCCCTCTCTGGGCTGGCTTGCACACATTCTCAATGGACTCCTTCCCAAGGTCCTTGCCTCAGCCTTGTCTATCTTGAAACTTCCATTCCTGGGGAGAGTGCCCGGTGCCACCTGCAGCCTCAGGGTCTCTTACCTAATTCCTCGGCAAGTGCTGAGCGTGACGCTGGACAGTTCTGTCTCCCTCACCGTGCCGTGGTAAAAGCAGTGATCCTAGCAAGGAGAAAGGAGGTGGTCAGGCTAAAGAACACTGATAAGCATGGCAATGTTAATATCTCAGGATGGTCATGGATGACTCATGGCTTATTATATACCTACCCAACCTTATAGCACCTTACAACCTGCAAAGAGCTTTCCAAGCCACCATTTCATCTGATTCCCATAATAATCCTAGGAGACGGGGCAGGGAAGATGTCATTATCTCCATGAAGCAGATGAAAAGCTGAGGCTCAAAGGAGCAAAGAGATTTGCCCAAGGTCTCCCTGCTGATTGGAAAATCCAGAATTTTCCTAGTTCAGGGCTCTTTCAGGAATCAGTGTTTTCTGTGGCCAAAAGCATGCCATGGAAAGAACTTGCCTCCCCACCAATGTTATCTTTGCAACCCCCTGCAATGAGTTGAATAGAATCCCCCTAAAATTCATGTCCACCTCAGAATGTGATTTATTTGGAAATAGGGTCTTGCAGATGTAGTTAAATTAAGGTGATGTCATGCTGGGCCAGGCGTGGTGGCTCACACCTGTAATCCCAGCACTTTGGGAGGCTGAGGCAGATGGATCACTTGAGGTCAGGAGTTCCAGACCGCCCTGGCCAACATGGTGAAACCCTGTCTCTACTAAAAATACAAAAATCAGCCGGATGTGGTGGTGCACACCTATAATCCCAGCTACTCGGGAGGCCGAGGCAGGAGAATTGCTTGAGTCCAGGAGATGGAGGCTGCGGTGAGCCAAGATCGCACCATTGCACTCCAGCCTGGGCGACAGAGTGAGATTCTGTCTCAAGGAAAAGGAAAAAAAAAAAAAAGATGGTGTCATGCTGAATTAGAGAAGGTCCTAAATCCAATGATTTGTGTCCTTCTAACAAGAGGGAAGGACACACAGACACACACACAGAAAGAGAAGAAGGCCATTTGAAGATGGGGGCAGAGACTGGAGTGATGAAGTTGCAAGCCAAGGAACACCAAGGATGGCCAGAAGCCACCAGAAGCTAGAAGAGCCTGGAAGGATTCTCTCCAGAGGCTTGGAGGGAGTATGGCCCCGACAACATCTTGAGTTTGGACTTCTAGACTCCAGGACTGTGAGAAAGTAAAATTCTACTGTTTTAAACCTTTAAGTTTATGGTGCTTTGTTACAGTAGCCCTAGGAAACAAACACTCCCTACTCTTCCACAGCTCAAGATGCTCTTTCACACAAATCCCTCCACATCTGGATTGTACTTGATTTGGTACCTGTGCCCGTGAGGTCTGCTGCTGCTCTCCAGCCACTGTGTCTCATGGCTGTCAGAATTTCTCCATCACTACAAACAGCTGTGACCACCGCTCTGTGCCAGGCCAGGGGCCAGCCCCTGGAGACACCATAGCCAGCAAACGGAGTCACAGCTTCAGCCTTCGTGGGGCTTATGGTCTTGTGAGAGGCAGTCATTAATGAGAAATCCAAACAGATATAATTACAAACCAAAAGAAGGGGCTTGAAATAACCATTTCAAGTGCTGGCCGAGCATTTTATAAGTCAGGTAACCATAGAATTTAGGAAGCAAATACGCACTGTTGGGCATGCTAAAGTGCTAAACCAGACAGAAGGGGGTGAAATCAGGACGGTGTCCAACGAATCAGGGGTAACAACAAGAGACACATTCCTAGAGGCTTCCTCCCAAATAAGTCAAGAGAGATGCACTGGTCAGAACAGAGAGAAGATAAAACCCACAGGGTAGAGCCAAGTTCTGGAAAGATCTCAAAAGGGATGGATGCAAACCACACAGTTGCAGACATGGAAGCTTTCTCTTTTCCCCCATCTCTAGGACCATGCTGCTTGCAGTTGCTTCTTTGTCCCCACCAGACAGGGATGTGACCCAATAATCAGCTACCCCGTGTGTCTGTATTCTCTGGCTCCACCTCCCTCCCAGCTCTAATCCTGAGTATAGACAAATAATTAAATTCAAACATTTTGGCATAGCCAGGCATATTTAAATCCAAGCATACGCAGTTCCACAACTCTCTCTGACCTTCAGTGTCTTTAGCCTCTGTACCCCAGAGTGGTGGTGAGAATATCGTACATAAAGGAGCTAGTAGAGTACTTGGCCGAGAGTGGCAGGCGATAAACATCGGCAACCAAATAATCATGAAATTCTCCTTTATCAAAGAATATGGCCTCAAGGCGCCTGGAAGCCCACCAAGAGGCTGAATCCAAAGCCCTAGCTGTGCCAATGCTCCAGCATATCCAGCCAGCCATGCAGCCAGATCAAAGGATACAGGCCAAGCTGACACTCAACACGGCCTCGTTCTCCAGACCACAGGTGCCCTTTCATCTGCATATGATCCATCGGCCAGCGATGTGGCTCCTCTGCCCATTCAAGCTCATAGTCAGGAGGAGGGACAGAGCCAACCCCTGTCTTTGCATCAAACTCTTCTGGACTTTAAACAAGTCAGATGCCACCCTTGAGAGGAGCACAAAGGAAAGCCAGTGTGCTGTGATTATGAAAGAAGGCGTGGCAGGCAAAACCCTCCTCCTGGCCAGGATTCCAACTGCTTTCAAATGCCAGCCTGTCATGTGGCTTCTCAACCTACCCGTGGGATCTGGGATTTGGAGGCCCCTCATGAAGCACTCAAGTCCTGAACCTGGTCCTTAGAACTCAACAGGGGAGCCACAAACCCCGTAGCACAGGATTACTCATGGGGAGAAGAGGGGCCGGGCCTGTGTGGAGTAAATGGGGCTCAGAGAAGTTGGAATGACAGAGAATCAAGGAGTTCAGAAACGTGTATCAGCTACAGTTTCAAAACGCTGGTTAACAGAAAGAACTGAGGCCAGGCGCGGTGGCTCATGCCCGTAATCCCAGCACTTTGGGAGGTCAAGGTGGGCGAATCATGAGGTCAAGAGATCTAGACCATCCTGGCCAACAACACGGTGAAACCCTGTCTTTACTAAATATACAAAAAATTAGCTGGGCATGGTGGTGCACTCCTGTCGTCCCAGCTACTCGGAGACTGAGGGAGGAGAATTGCTTGAACCCAGGAGGCGGAGGTTGCAGTGAGCCGAGATGGCACCACTGCACTCCAGCCTGGTGACCGAGCGAGACTCTGTCTCCAAAAAAAGAAAAAAGAAAGAACTGAAACCCAGGGATGGCTGTGAAGAATCCCTGCACCTCTTCCTATCTTTGAATGGATGCTAAGAGTGTTCACAGCCCTAGTTCTCTCGAAAATAGAGCACCTGGCTTCTGTAGCATGCTTTATAATTTACAGAGCTTTCACATACACTATCTCTTGTGATGATGACACCTACAACTTACTATTATTAACAGTAAGAGGTCGGGTGGGGTGGCTCACACCTGTAACCCCAGCACTTTGGGAGGCCGAGGCAGGCAAATCACTTGAGGCCAGGAGTTTGAGACCACCTTAGCCAACATGGTGAAACTCCATTTCTACTAAAAATACAAAAATTAGCCAGGCGTGATGGCGGGCACTTGTAATCCCAGATACTCGGAAGGCTGAGGCATGAGAACTGCTTGAATCCGGGAGGCAGAGGTTGCATTGAGTCAAGATTACGCTACTGCACTCCAGTGTGGGCAACAGAGTGAGACTGTGTCTCAAAACAAACAAACAAACAAACAAAACAATAAGAGCTAACATCTAACCAGGCATGGCGGCTCATGCCTATAATACCAATGCTTTGGGAGGCCAAGGCAAGAGGATCACTTGAAGCTAGGAGTTTGAGGCTGCAGTGAGCTATGATCATGTCACTGCACTCCAGCCTGGGGGACAGAGCGAGGCCCTATGTCTAAAATAAAAGAGCTAACATCTACCCAGCTCTTACTGCTTGCTGAACAACTTAGCAGATTTTTCCTTGTGATTCTGACCACAATCTTATGAGGCAGATATTATTATTGCCATGTTTTAAAGGGGGAAATTGAAAGAGAGGTTTTAAGTCATTCACAAGGTGACACAGCAAAGTGGATACTGGAACCCCAGCAGCCTGGCCCCAAGCTCCATCCTCTGCCTCTCCCAGCAGTAGCAAAGGAGGAACTTGGCTTGTCAGAGCTCTTTTATCCCCACCTTCTCTAGCAACAAAGGAGACAAGTTCTAGCCTAAGCCTTGCCACTTACTGGTTAACTGAACTTGGGCAAGTTACTTTTCCCCTTCTCCTCTCAGTTTCCTCATCTGTAAAATGTGGGGTTGGAAGAGTTGCTTATGAATTCCCATAAAAATTAGTGATTCATCTTACCCTTCCACAGCCCTGCGAGTCAGATATCAGCATATGCAATTTGCAAATGAGAAAACTCAACACTAGTGTGGTCAAGGGGGTTGTTTAAGGTCATATAACTAGTTAAAGCCAAGATAACAACCCTGGCTGCAGATTGCAAACCCTGTCATCCTTTCTGTTGGAACACATTCACAGACCCATTCCCCCAACCGCCTGACCTAGATGCAGGCTGTCGCCTAAAGGCCTGACTGATGAGTCTTGATAAGGTTCCCAGAACTCCAGCTACCCCAGGCCAAGTTTGGTAGTAGAGTGCAGTCTCCAACATTCGGGTCAAGGGCAGCTGAGTAGTTTATTCCATTCCCATTTTTCATTGAGCTCTCAGCTCCCAAATGGGAAGTCTGACTGAGAACCCCATGGGCCTGGGTGGGAGCTTTGCAAGAGTCTAGTAGCAGGGGATGTAAGCAAACAATGAGTTGTCCATCCCAAGGTTCAGCTAGGATGTGCTTCAGTCAACAAGACCTTCTGGAAGGAGGGGATTCTGGGAGAGGGGGAGTTCTTTTCCAATCCTCTCTTTCTGAAAGGCCCTTACAACATCTCTGCCTAATGCACAAGCAGAGAGCACAAAGAACAAGTCAAGGATCAGTCATGAAGTCATTGCATTCCTCAGCTTCTCAGCCTGATGGGGCCACCCCAAGGGGGCTTTCATAGCAGGAAGCGTGAGCTCATGGCAAATTCGTGGACTGAGACCCATTCTTGAGCTGTGGGTACAGAAGTGGCAGGATCCAAACTCAGAGGAGAGTGTTTGAAGGAGGCTGTCATGGCTAACAGCTTTCTAGGCATGCCTGTTCCCCCATCCCACCCCTGCCCCTGGAGGCAGAGAACAGAGGTCTCAAGAAGAGAGGAAAAGTTTTGACCAAGGGGCATTGAAGAATATGAAGTCACAACTGGACAGCCTCCCTGGGGATGAGAAGACACAGTCCAACTTTGCTGCAGGCACCGGCCACACTACCAACTCCTTCCCCATCCAAGAAAGTCTTGGTTAAGAAGGCAGCACTGGTCTTCACATTCAGCCACAAAACACAGCCCCTGAGCTACCCAGTTACTATGCGCCACGTCTCTTGGATCTATCAAAAACTGTGGCCGGGCACAGTGGCCTGTAATCTCAGCGCTTTGGGAGGCTGAGGTGGGTGGATCACCTTAGGTCAGAAGTTCGAGACCAGCTTGGCCAACATGGTGAAACCCCATCTCTACTAAAAATACAAAATTAGCCGGGCGCAGTGGATCATGCCTATAATCCCAGCACTTTGGGAGGCCAAGGTGGGCAGATCACCTGAGGTCAGGAGTTCGAGAATAGCTTGGCCAACATGGTGAAACCCTGTCTCTACTAAAAATACAAAAATTAGCCAAGTGTGGTGATGCATGCCTGTAATCCCACCTACTGGGGAGGCTGAGACAGGAGAATTGCCTGAACCCAAGAGGCGGAGGTTGCAGTGAGCCAAGATCGCACCACTGCACTCCAGCCTAGGTTACAGAGTGAAACTCTGTCACACACACACACACACACAAAATTACCTGTCCTGTGTCCCTTTCCCCATCCAGGGGTAATCTGGCGAACTAATCTGAGCTGTTAATGACTGATAGTGGCCAGTGTTATCTTGCTGGACACTTGCACTCCAGCAGGGATATTTTAAAGAATGGGCCTGGTAGAACACTCAGGTTCCATGAGAAGCTGCTGAAGGAGTCCTGATGCAGAGGGACCTCTCCTGCTGTTCTCCACACCACAACTCCCAGTCTGTGTGCCTCAGTAGTCCATTATGTCCTGCCCCAAAGGCAAAGGCCACTGCTGCTCCTGCCAGTGTGCGTCTTCCCTTCTTCACCCCCATCTCACCAGCCCAGACTTTGAGAATGGTCATTCGAATCCAGGGTTTCTCAACTTGGGCACTATGGATATTTGGAGCTGGATAATTCTGTTGTGGGGGAGTGGTGGGTCTGTCCTATGCATTATAGAATGTAGATGCCAGTAGATCCTCCCTGCCAGTCACGGCAATAAAAATTGCCTGCAAACATTGCCAGGTGTCCCTCGGGGTCGGGGCAACGCCATTGGTTCTCCTGGTTGAGAATCAACGTTCTGAGCCTACAAATTCCAATAGGCATCCCTGTAAGAAGAGCTAGCCACCATGAAATGTGTATCATTCACTACTTTAAATGTCTACCAGTGGAGTGTGGCAAAGCAAACTGACATGTAACCATCTGAAAGACCATTTTCTAAATGAAAGATCTTTGACATTGCGTAAACATCCCTACTCAAAAACAACTTTGAGGGAAAAAATGTCCAATATGAATATAGAAGCAAAATAAAATATTCATAACTTAAAAATCACATTAAAATAGCAGACTACAAAATGTATATGCACAGTGATTACAACTCTGTAAATGTTATACATCCATTTAAAAAGGACTAATCAAACATCTAATTGGATGAGACGACAGGATTATGAGTAAGTCACTCCTTTTACTAAAACTTTTGTTAACATGTGGGTAATTAACATAAAGCAAAGAACATGTATATTTCACAGTAATTTGCATCAATTGTAATTAGATGCAATTACCCTAAAATAGTCTATGTTTCTTTAGCCATTGTAGTCAGCAAAGGAGGAGGAGCACCTATGAACATCAAATACATGTTTTGCTTCTCGTTTGCTCCCTTGGTCTTCGCTTGGGGGAAACACTCCCTTCAGAGGAGAGACCAACTCCATCAGGCATCTCCTGAGGTCCTAGGAGTAGGGCTGGGAGAGGACAGCTGCTGGATAGACATTTGTTGACCTGAACTCACCTCCAATTTCCGTGTGGTGGTTTGAGGGTTACCACTTGAAGTATAATGGGTTTCTGTGTAGGAAGGAGCAAAAAGTTGCCTGCAAAAAATAAAAAGAGACATTTATATCATAAGTGGATGAACTCCACCCTCCTAGCAACAACGAGTGATTTTAACTGAACCAGGCAGGACTATCCCAAGCATCTCCATACAAAAGAAACTAGGCAGCCACAAGGGGCTAAGGAACAAAAAGGAAAACCATAAGTTTGTTATTAATTTTATATTTAATGTAAATTAAATATAATTTATCATCACTATGGGAACATCACTCCAACTAGATGGAATTGACAGAACTAAAGCAATGATCTTAATATTTGTCTGGGTCCTGGGAAAACAGACATGCAAACACATGCAAAATTTCCCGGGGCCTATGAACCCTGTTGTGTACCGTGGTTGATTTTTCCAGCACTGGATCTACCAATTTTTAGTATCAGCAGACCAATTTTTCTTTAAGGGAATAACTCTTCCCTGATGCATATTTTGGTGAGATTGTCAATCAAGGTGTCCTACTTGGCCCTGGCCAAGGGGTGACCTGTATTTCAAGCGAAGCCAGTGGAGAGATACTGCCAGGTCTGAACAGATGGAAGCAATGCATCTGTTCTTCTGTTCCTGCTACAAGGGTTCCCTAAGCTTCCGTTGCCTGCCCTTTCGGACACTTAGTGGTTCCGATTTCCTGAGACCTGGTAATTCTATGTTACTCTTCCAATAAATTCCTTTTTTTCTTTTCTAAACTTGGACATTGGTTTCTCTCACCACAGACCCCTTGAAGTACAGGTTAAGAATCCCCTCACCAAAGGCCAGGCAACTTCAAGAAATGTTCTTAGAATTTTCTCTAAAAATTAAAAGAAAAATATAAGAGTCAAATGGATGTTTCAACTATTAATAGTTCAGCCACATTAAAGGCAGAATTGATCTACAGAAAGTCAAGGTCAGCCAGGTGTGGTGGCTCACACCTGTAATCCCAGCACTTTGGGAGACTGAGGTGGGCAGATCACCTGAGGTCAGGAGTTCAAGACCAGCCTGGTTAACATGGTGAAACCCCATCTCTACTAAAATTACAAAAATTAGCCAGGTGTGGTAGCAGGTGCCTAGCTGGGAGGCTGAGGCAGGAGAACTGCTTGAACCTGGGGGGTGGAGGTTGCAGCGAGCCGAGATCACGTCATTGCACTCCAGCCTAGGTGACAAGAGCGAGACTCTGTCTCAAAAAAAAAAAAAAAAAGAGAGAGAGAAACAAATGCCCTTTGTTGATGGTGATTATCTCAGGGGTTGCAGAAGATGTTTACAATATAAGTTGCATATTTCTGAAGTTGGTTGACTTTTAAATTAACTGTCAGAGAGGTGTTTTGAAAACTGAAATTTTAATTTAAAACTGCTCTTAAAAAGAAGAAAATGTAGGCTGAGGCCAGCACAGAAAGCCAAAGGAATCTGCAGGGATAACCCAGGTTTTGAAAGAGGTGACATTTCCCAGCAAGAGAGGGTCATCGCAGAGGGTCTCTAGAATTCCTCTAGAGTCACTTCCAGCTCTAAGTTCTGGGATCGCTCAGATTTCCCTCCATCCCCAGTGTGTGGTCAGAAGGCAAATGCCACAAGAATTGTCTCCTGTACTATGTCAAGGCCTTCAACTTCTCGCCTTGGACAAGAAGAAAAGAAGCCCAACAGGAAAATGTAAAAATAAAGCAAAGCACAAACCCCAGCTTTGTGAAGAGAAATTCTCATTCACATGGAAACTTTGGGTCAGTGGCTAACCTGCCAGAATCTGTCTCCCAGTCCTTTCTCTTTCTCCTTAGCATCTAACTAGTCCAAGATTTGAGGGAGGAGTCACCCATTTGCCTGAGGGAGAAAAGCTGTAAGCCTCATGAGGGCAGAGGCCAAGCAGTTTTGCTCACTGGTTTATGTCAGTGCTTAACATTTGTTCAATGAGAAAACCACTTAACTAGTTACCGAATGAATGGATGGATGAGTAGTTCAGTGTACTAGCAGCTTAGAGCATGGTCTGGAGACTGGAAAACTGAAGTTTTGATTCCAGCTCTGACATTCACTGCCTCTACGGCCGTGAACAAGTACATGTATGTCTCTGAACCTTTGTTTCCTCTTACACAAAAAAGAGGATGATATACTCATTTGATAGGGCTGTGATGAGGATCAAACAACATAATAAATGTAGCAGACTTAATGCCATGCCTGGCACAAAGTGGAGCTGGGTAAAAGTTAGTGATAATCATTATTGCTTTCAACAGGGATTATGACAGAAGAACCCAGAAAGTTTCTCTCTCTAACTTTCCCCAGCCATGAACTCTCCAGTACATCACTTAAGAGAGGTGGTAAAACGCAATGTGCTCATTCCTGCAGCCCATTTCCTGGGTTTGCTTTCACAGACTGCGCCATGTACAGCTGGTCAGGAGTTCAGAGTTTAATAGTTCATTCCAGGTGCCAGTGGGGAAGTGTGAATTTTCCCACAGAAAATGCACTCCTGGTAAAAATATTCTCAGCCTCTTCTGAGACTTAGCAAGGGGGGAGAAATCATTCACCCAGTGACATTACCCCATCATCACAGGCCTCTCTGACCCTCAGCACTGAAAGGAACCCTAGAAATCATGTAGTCAAACCCCAATTACACTGTGAGCTCCCCAAAAACAGGGACCTTGTGTCTTTGAAGTCTTCTCCCCGGCCCCCAGCACCTAGCAAGCAGGCAGTACATGTGCATTCTGTGAATGAGTGAATAAACTCGCAAACGAATGAATGAACCTTTTATCTCGTGTAGGAATCTGCCAAATGGCTATTCACCACTGGACACCTCCAGGGAGAGGCTACTCCTGAGACTACCCACTCCATTTCTGACCACATACAGTAGTTTAATGTTTTACTCCGGATTAAAAACTACACCTCTGTCACTGGCACCCACAGGCCTTCATTCTGGCCTCTGAATCTACATAAAACAATCCGCTTTCATTTTCCACCTAATCACCCTTTCTGAAGCAGCAATATCAGCATCATCTAGAAACTAGTTAAAAATGCAAATTGCCAGGCTCCACCCAGACTCATGAATCAGACAGAAACTCTAGGGTTAGGGCCAGCCATCTGTTTGAACAACTCTGCAGCTCCCCCAAGCTAGGTCCACATACGCCCATGTGTCCAGGTGCTGCTCTCAGAACCAAAGGACGCTGCTGTCCCACAGAGAGGAGGGCACATGGTCACTGAGCAGCCCGGCCCAGCCCAGCTGCCCCATTCTCTGACCACATCTTGTTCTCATCTCCTCCCTGACGAGGGGCTGGCTCAGCAGACCGGCAGGAAGCCGTCTCTCACCATTGGATTGCATTAGGATTTTCAGGAAACGACTTGTGAGTGATGTGCATCCAGGAAGAGAAAGGACTGTGCAAGATTTCCCATTCCGCCCACTCCTTTTTTCTAGCTTTAAAAGAAAAGCAATTTCTGTTCTACCCTGCTGCCCCCTGCTCTGTCTGCTCTGTGCTCAGGAGCCCACGGACAGGCAGAAATCAGTAGGACACTCTGCCATGTCTCGGCACCATCATAATAATAGCCAGCACTAGAGTTGAGCAAAATCTGGGTCATTTAGATTCCAAAGTCCCTGAGCAAAACCTGCATCTTCAGACTCCCACCTAGGAAAATAAGCTACCCCCAAATACCGGACATAAAACATTAGGTCACTCTCTAGGGAAGAAGAACTGGAACCTGTACAAGCAGCCAGGCCCTGAAAGTACACTGCAGCCTGAAAACAGCTCAGACCCGTCTTTCCTAAGGCTCAGAAGCTTCAAACTCAGGACAATTCCTTTAAGTTCTATTTATCGTCAGACAAATTTCAAATGCCTCTCTAGGCTAAACCACCCTCTAGAGAGGAAGGAGCAGTGACACTAAAATGAATTTGCAAAACATCTTCTGGGAGCTCAAACCTTCTTCCTCCTGCTTCAGATAAGCAAACCAGTGAAGATAAAGTGATAACAATTTCCCATTTACCTTGAAAAACACCCTCTGCAGACGAGCTCAGCATAGGCGAGCATCACTCTGCTCATCTCAGTAGCAAGTTTTGCTGACACCTCCTTTCTCTGGGCCTTTCTCTATCTAATTCTTCCAAGAGTCTCCAGGCATTTATACCCTGATGATGCCTTGGGAGGTCCACTTTTCTGGTCTCTCTTATTTCACCTGGAGGGTCTTCATCCTGCCTATGTTAGTAATAATGTTCTCACCATGCGACTTAGCCCAACAACTGCACAACACCTGGAAAGACTGTTCAAAAATACACAATCCCCTCCCTTTTCTAGGGAAGGATTAAGAAATCTGTATTTTTAATAGTTTTTTTTTTTTCAGGTGATTTATGTTTTCGGGTTCTGGGAATTATTCTACTCCATTTGAGCAATTTTAACATTTTTAATTCTTTTTTTTATTTCTAGCCTCCTAATCACCTTCCAAAAGTCTAAAGATGGTGCTAACCCAGCATAGAGGGAAAGTCGGAATGCTTTGGTTTAAGCAGCAGCTGCACTAGGCAACTGCCCTTCCAAAGCCTGGAAATGAAGCAAAAGATGACTATGGTTCCTCTCAATGTCACACAAGCGTACAGCCAGGGCTGGGTGCAATGGCTCACGCCTCTAATCCCAGGACTTTGGGAGGCCGAGGCAGGTGGATCACACGAGGCCAGGAGTTCCAGACCAGCCTGGACAACAGGGCGAAAGCCCGTCTCTACAAAAAAAAATAGCCAGGTGTGGTGGCGCGCACCTGTAATCCCAGCTACTCAGGAGGCTGAGGCAGGAGAATCGCTTGAACTCGGGAGGCGGAAGCTGCAGTAAGCTGACATTGCACCACTGCACTCCAGCCTGAGTGACAGAGCCAGATTCTGTCTCAAAACATTAAATTAAAAAACACTAAGGGAGCACAGCCAAGCCTTAGACTCTCAGAGGCCTGTCTACGGTTCTCTGGACTTTATGGGAAGAGTGTGGCTTTGAAAGATGTACTATTTACAATTAATTAGGACAGCCCTTGTTCCACTCTGTAAAATCAGATGTTAACTTGTAAAAACTTAATAAGATACAACAGAAATGCAAATATTTCCATCTAGTAGAAAAGATAACCCCAAAGGTTATGATTTTACAGCCCCTAGGATATTAACTAGTTTTGTGTCTAATTTAGCAATCTTATCTCAGCATTCCTTTTTTCACTATTAAATACACACACACCGCCACACAAATACGTCTTAGTTTCCCTTATCCAATTTTAAACCAGTTTTATCATCTTGCTGGTTAGCCCATTAATTAGATAAATAAAACTTCGAGAAGTGCTCACTATGTATTTGTATAAAAATTGTTTTCACGTGAGCCACATAAACCCCCTCCATTTTCTAGACTGCAAAATGAACAGACTAATAATCACCATCAGTATCACAGCGATGCTGAGGATCAAATGAGAAAATACATTCAAATCCTAGCTCTTATAAGTCGTGTGAATTCAGACTGGTCAGTAACTTCTCCGTGCCTATGGTTTCTCATCATAAAATGAGGAGAATGACAAAATCTACTTCACAGTGCCCCTGTAAGATGTTAGAATAGTGCCTGGCATATAGGAAGATCATATGAACAAATGTGAAAGAATTATTTGTAAAGTAGAAAGTATTTGTGCTTTACAAATATTGCTATCATTTTCTCCAGCACTAGCTATATATACACGTGGCAAAATCTTGATCATTGTTAAATCTAGGTAATGGGCATCTGAGGTTTATAATACTAGTCTCTCTCCTTCTGGGTTTGTAAATTTTGACAATATTTTTTAACTGGCTAGGTGATACGGTGCAAGTCACAAACTACTCAGCCTCAGTTTCCCTTTCTATCAAGCAGAAATGGCAATGCCCAGGACAGACAGGTACTGGAAAGTGTCTCTGAAAAGCAGAGTGCTATTCTAATGTCATGGCCTGCACTAGTCTAGATTTGGGACAAAATAAATTCAGTGAGTATTGTTTTGTTTTCTAAGATGCTGAAAGAAAAGCAGGGAAGAGACAGCCAGAGCTGCTTCAGAACCAAGATTTCTACATCAGTACTCATTCCACCTCTGACTCCAAAGGAATGGAAACAAACCAACGTGCCAAAGGCATGGCCCTAAAGCCAAATAAGGGACTGATGAGTCCAGGGGGCTGCAAGCAGACACATTCCTTTATGAGGGAACAGAAAGGCGAAGGAAGGGGGAACTTTGGAGGTTGCTCCTAGAGTAAAAAATTGGGACCTCCTCCTATCCCAGGGACTCCCTTGAATAAGCACCATCGTTGCCAGAGGACCAGCTTTGGAAGCAACACTCCGAAGGCAAAAATGGCGCCATCCAGAAGCCTGGCAAAAGGCCAATGCTACTCAGTATGTTTTCTTTAACTTCCTATTAAGGAAGTTTCCAAACAATGCGTTAAGTCAACACTCCCTTTCACCAACCACTTCCCACGACATCTTCTCCCAGTCCGCACAAGACCTGGCACCCTTCCGACCAGTTTCTGGTCCTGTGTTTTGCTTTTACATTATATACCAAAGGATGTTTGGATGAGCACCACTGACTCCTTTGGCCAGCAGGGTCTTTACTTAATCCTCTTCAGGCCTCCCTCGTGGCTGCCTCTGTGAAGATGGGTAACCTCTCTGCACAAATAGAGCTGACTTCTTGAGATCAGACAACTTAACTGGCAGGGACCTGCGGGGCCCTCAAAATGGCTCACCCAAGAAGAGTTCACAAATTTGTTTTCCAGTGTCCCGAATAGCCCATTATGTGTATTTGTTGGAATTAGATAAGAACAGTTCGGGGAAATGAGGTGCTACCTTTAGAATTTCTGAGAAAAATCTAAAAGCGAAAATGGTGAGTAGGAACAACTTCTCTAGCAACCAGTTTTTGGTAAATAACCACAGTGTTGATCAGATTAGCCGATACCACAGAAAACCTGAAGGGAAAGACGAATGTAAGAGGGTATGAGGAAACTGCCATATCATAAAGAAAAACGGTGTGGATAAGACACAGGGGAAATGAAGAGAAGGACCCTCTGAGATCACTGGAGCTGTGAGAATATGCTTAGAAAAAAGGGAATAAGCGGACCACTCCCTGAAACTAACAAACAAACATAAAACAGGTAGGTGAGGACCACAAACCAGCCTGCTAAATGTAGGTGCTTAGCCCTTTTTAAGCTCTGATTAAATATCCCAGTAACTTTCATAAACTTGCCCAATGTTTCTTAGCATACTAAGACACAGACCGCACCCAAAGCATAAGTCAAGGATGTCAGAACTTGGAAAGCCCTCATAGATCATAGTGGATACCTATTGTCAGAGCCTGCCCAGCATCCATGCCACCTTCTTGAGATAAACAGTGGCCCAACTTGCATTTAAAGAAATACTCCCCTCTCGTTGCATTGCTGACTAGGGCACCTGGAGTTGGTCAAGATCCCTGCCCTTGCCTGGCCAAATGAATGCTTCATGATATGCCTGGACAGTCAGATCTCATCTCAGAATTTCAAGATGATAGTACATGAAGGGACCGTCTATTCATTCTAGGATCTCAACCTTTCCAAACCTTAGTTTTTCAACTTTTCCCTCATTCTATGCGTTGCCCCATATCCTTTCCAAAAAGATTGTTTAGGAGAAGCGAGGGTTAGTGTGTAAGTTACAGAGTCTACCGCAATGAAACATTATTTATATACCACCCTCTCTGCCCAACCCTGACCTCCACTTTTACAGATGAAGAATCTGAAAAAAAGCAAAAGCAACTTGCCCAGCATCACACAGTTTTTGTTTCTAAACCCATCATTTCAATAAACTAGAGTAAGCTAAATGTCAGTGGTAGACAAGCCAAGAGTTGGGCCATCCAGACACACCCAGTAGGCAGAGAGAAAGGCTCTTCATGCAATCTCATGAATAACTGCATATTAAGCAGTGTAATGTGGTACAAACTGCAGGCCACCTGGCATCAGGAGGCCAGAGTTTCTCACAGCTTGATTTCGTCACTATTTGCTGGGGGTCCTTGATCAAGACGCAGCACCTTTCTGAGCATCAGGCCTTGCAGGCCCTGCACCTGCAAGTCCACTTGCACCCTCCACAAACATGTATGGAGGTCCGTGATGTGCAGGCACTATGCTAGGGGATGGGGCTTCAGCAGCCAGTGAGGCAGGCCTAGGTTTCCTGCCCCTCTCCTGGCTTGGCACCTGCAGCTCCCAAGTGCTTGGCAAATGCTGACACCATGCAGAGGGCAGGTGTCACTGTCTGGTCCCCAGAAGGCACTGTTTCACAGCTCATCTTCCTTCCTGGAACAGCTGCAAACCAGTGTGGTAACCAATTTCTAGTTTCTCCTAAAAAGCTGTCTACACAGTTATGGAGAAGGGATGTATATGTGCACGCACACGTGTGTGCATGCATGTGTGCGTGTTGAGAGCAGAGAGCAAGGCCAGTCTAGGGATCAGGAATTAAGGATACTCACTCAACATGGCTGCCCTCCTTCTCCAAACCCATATTCCTATCACCATATCCCTGAGAGGCCAGTTTGACCTTTGCATTCTTACCCAAGCCCCAAATCTAGCATCAGTGAGTCAAGAGATAAAGAGCTTCTAGAATACAAAGAGCCTGACATTCCTTCCAACACTTAGATCACTCTTTTCCCCAGCACTCCAGTCTCCCTCCAAAGGAGTCCCTTTCCATGACTTGCCCTTCCCTTCTCCAGAAGGGGGGCCTTGGAAAAAGAAACCATGCTTGATATAATGCAGCCATTATAGCTCCTTGGCCCTTCTGGCCCTCTCCCCGGGGAGACTGATGCAAGAGGAGAAAACGTGGAGACTGCCAGTTTTCTGCAAGGAGGAAAGGGGGGAAGTGAGACACATGGGAGCCATGGAAGAGGCTGGAAAAGAGCCACAAGTACAGAAGTCATAAAGACCCCATTTCTCCTTCAACCGGCTGAGGAAAGTCCGGCCCAGCTCCACCTACTCAATGATATCATTGTTTTCAACAAAAGCCGGTTTCAGAATCCCTAGAGAGGTCCCCAATGAAGCCTCAGCTGCTGGAATGGGCAGAGGTCTCACCAGTTCCTAAGAGACCAAGTGCTTAGAATTTTAGATAAGGAGGAGAAAACAGAGAAAACCAGGGGAGGCACAGATTTTGCTTCTGCTGGGCCTGTCAGCGTTATGGAAAGAGTACAGGACACTGCTTTTCACACAGGTTTTATTATTGCATCCCCATGATGATCCTGCCAAGGTGGTGACTAGGAATTATTACCTAGTCTAATTAGTCCATTGAGTCTAATTACCTATCTAATGAGAAACCTAAAGATCCAAGGAAAGAGGTGGCTTGTCCAAGGTCCCACCACAAGCTAAGGAAAACTCCAGGGACAGACACCACCATTGCTGTGGTTTGAATGTATCCCCGCAAAAGCCTGTGTTGGAAACTTAATCCCCAATGCAACAGTGTTGGAAGGTAGGCCTCATGAGGAGTGATTAGGCCATGAGGGCTCCACCATAATGAGTGGATTAATGCTGTTATAAAAGGGCTTGAGGCTGCAAGTTTGCTCTCTTGCTCTTTTTTTCATGTGCTATCTTGCCCTTCTCCCTTTCACCATGGGGTAGCATAGCAAGAAGGCCCTCATGAGACGCTGATACCTTGATGTTGGACTTGCCAGCCAGCAGAACTGTGAGAAACAGATTTCTTTTCTTTATAAGTGACCCAGTCTCTAGGATTCTGTTTTGCCAATGCAAAATGAATTAAGACAACTATCCTGCTACTTATTCAAGCTAGAAACTTTGGACTGTCCCTTGAAACCACCCTCTCCCTCAGCCCACATGCAACCCATTTCCCAGTTTCCATGATTCCACCCTATAAATATCTCTGGAATCTATCCTCTTCTCTTTATATCAGCTACCTCTTCCCTAAATTAGTCCTTCTCAAATGCGTTTTGGATGCTGTCACTATGTGACTTTTAAAATATTCTTCATCCGCTTCCCATTGCCCTAGAGATAAAAGCCCAAACTCTTTAAGGTGCCTACAAGGCCCTTTAAGGACTCACCTCTGCCTGCCTCACCAATTTCTTCTCTCATCATTTCCTTCCTCCTGCTCTCTGTTCTAACTATAGAGAACTTTTCATTTTCAATGTCATTCTTGCCTTTGGGCCTTTGATCCTGTGATCTGTGCTGCCTGGCACATACTCCCTATTGTATGAGCCAACTCTGCCACACTCTCCACCACCATCACACTCCCCCTTTTCTTTACTTCCTCCTATCAGACTTCCCGTGCCCCCAATCCAGAGGAAGTTCCCCTTCCCCATGTTCCTACAGTACCCTCTACTTCCTCCCTCCTAGCAGGTCCCACATTGTTCTGTAACTGTTTAATTATCTGTCCCCTCTACTACGTTCTAAGCCCCATGATGGCAGAGACTATTCTGATCACCATTGATTCTCCCGGGAATAACCAGGACCTATCCCAGTGCCTGCCACATAGTTGGCACTCACAATATTTGTTTAATGAAGGAAGAGAAGAAAGGAATAACATAAATTAGGAATTCTCAATGAGTAGTCCAGAACTCAAGCCCAGTACACTGGGAAGAGACTTGCCAGAAAAGCCAGGGATTCTCTGACTCAATACCTGCCCCAGTTGAGTTTGTGCAAGACCTAGCAACTTGCCCCATAGTACCCAGAAGACTATTCACTTAGTTTATTCAAGGGGTCAGCCAAAGGTCTGTGTATGTCACTGAGTTCTAAATAAAGAAAAAGCAAATCTTAATTGCTCAAAATCAAAAACATCTCCTGGGTGAAATGTAAATGTAGTTTCATTTTCAGGACAGAATCTGTCCAGGGGCCACATTGTCAGCCTCCTCTCATTTTTCTCCAGGATAGTCATGCTCCATTGCCCAACCACAAAGGGTAAAGAGTAGGAAACACCCTCCAATTTCCAGAGAGCCTAGATGAAGAGTTTAATCACATCCTCGGAGCTGGGAGAAAAGAGAAGGCCGAAAGAGCCTCTCCCAAATCCAAATGTATATCCATAAATCCGTCTGCATCCCGCCCACCAGCCTTGCATCTCAGGAGGCTTCCCCATCTACAGAAGTTGTGAAGAAGCCATCAATGCCTTGTGCTCAGCCCCTTCCAATCCATGGGCTCCATCCACCAAGTACACCTCCATCCTCTTGGCTCAGCCCAAATTGTTCTTCAGTGGGGAGGGGTGGGAGGAAAGCTACTTCTCTTCCAAGGTGTAGAAATACAGCCTAGCTTTTAAGTGCACTTCAAGTATGTTTCCTAGAAGTAGCTCACCTACTTCCCTGACCACATGGGTCTGCCTGAGGCAAGAGAATGCAACTCAAAGTCAAAAATGGGAGAATTAAAATATTGAGCTCTATGCCACTCAAATCCTCTGGTAGCCCACCAGTGGAAGAAAAAGCAACCCGTTCCCCAACCTCAACATATCACTCTTCTGAATTCAAATATTTGGCTAGTTAGGGATACTAAATTCCTAAAAGATTAGTAGCACTACAGTTTTAGGTTCCCTTTGATCCAGACCAAACATTTACACATTGTTTTCTCAGTCTGAATTCCTTTCTCATTCTCCATTCATCTCATCTCCCTCCCTCATCAAAAGCCTCCCATCATTCTGCAAGACAATATTTCAAGTAACCCTCATTAGGGAAGGCTCCCCTCTTCCCCAGTCACAAATTCCCGTTCCTCTTGCCTTCGCAGTTCTTTACTTTCAATTCTACCATGTAAATTTGTAATCTGTTTTGGATTATGCTGTTTGCATGCTGTTTTCTCTCCCACAGAGTCTAAACTGCCAGAAGGTAAGAATATCCTGTTTTCATGCCTAGTCTCTACAGCACCTAGCACAGGATTCTACATAGAGGTGCTCAATCAGTATCCCCTGAAATCAAACTTGTAGAATGGAGAAAAATTAGCTCGAGCTTAAAAGGCAGATCTATCAACTAATGAATGGGTTAACAAAATGTGGTATATCTATATAATGTAATACCATATAGCAATAAGAATACTGATACATACTACAACACGAATAAACCTCAAAAACTTTACCCGAAGTGAAAGTAGCCAGTCAAAAAGACCACATATTGTATAATCCCATTTACATGAAACATCCAGAATAAGTAAATCTGGAGACATCAGATTGCCAGCTTCATAGGACTGACGTGGGGTGGGGGAGAATGAAGAATGACTGTGCTCCTTTTCTAGGACTACCGTAACAAAGTATCACAAACCAAGTGGCTTAAAAATCGGAAGTTTATGTCACACAGTTCTTGAGGCTAAAAGTCCAAGATCAAGCTATCATCCTCTCTCTGCAGGTGCAAGGAAAGGGCTTATCCCAGGCTCTCTCCTGGCTTCTGAGTTCCTTCGCCTGTGGTGGCATAACTCTAATCTTCACATGGCATTCTCCCAGAGTGTGTGTCTGTTTCCAAACCTCCCCCTTCTAAAAGGACACCACTCATGCTGGATTAGAGACCTGCCATACTCCAGTATGATCTCATCTTAACTAAATACATCCACAACTCAATTTCCAAATAAGGTCACTTTGAGGTACTGGGGATAAGGACTTCAACATATGAGTTTGGGGGGACACCATTCAACTCATAACACTGCTGATGTTTTTTCCTTTTGGAGTGGTGAAAATGTTCTAAAATCAGATTATGGCGATGGCTGCATGACTTTGTAAATATACTAAAACAGATGAAATTGTATACTTTAAATGAGTGAACTATATGGTATGTGAGTTGTATCTCAGTAAAGCTGTTTGGAAAAAAAAAAAAAAAGACAAGAGAGCTTGGGTTTAAAGAGTCTGCCCAAGCTCAATAATCAACTCAATGGTGTGTTTGGGAAAACAGGATCTCTCAACAAGGGCAGTGAGATATAAACTTGCAGAGGAGCCAAGGGCAACTTGCCTTTATATATCCACGTTACATGTAAATTCGCTTTGACTCAGTTGGGTATACAGTGATTCATACCATCATTCTCTCTACTCTGCACGTTTGATAATTTTTCACTATAAGAAGCTGTAAGAGTTAATCATGCATACACATAGACTATAATATCACACAGCCACGAAAATGATATGATAGTCTCTTCAATAAATGGTGGGAAAACCATATGCAGAAGAATAAAACTAGGCCCCTATCTCTCATTGTATACAAAAATCAAATCAAAACGGATTAAAGACTTAAATCTAAGACCTCAGGCCAGGCACAGTGGTTCATGCCTGTAATCCCAGCACTTTGGGAAGCCGAGGCAGGCGAATCACCTGAGGTCAGGAGTTGCAGACCAGCCTGGCCAACATGGTGAAATCCTGTCTCTACTAAAAAGAAAATAATTAGCTGGCGTGGTGGTGCACGCCTGTAATCTCAGCTACTCGGGAGGCTGAAACAGGAGAATCAATTGAACCAAGAAGGCAGTGGCTGCAATGAGCTGAGATTGCGCCATTGCACTCCAGCCTAAGCAACAGAGCATGATTCTGTCCCCCCAACCCCAAAAAAAAAAAAAAAAAAAGACCAAAAAAACTAAGACCTCAAACCATTTAACTGCAACAAGAAAACATTGGGGAAAATCTCCAGGACATTGGTCTGGGCAAAATTTCTTGAGCAATACCCCACAAGCACAGGCAACCAAAGAAAAAATGGACAAATGGGATCACAACAAGTTAAAAAGCTTCTGAACAGCAAAGGATACAATCAACAAAGTGAAGAGACAACCCAAACAATGGGAGAAAATATTTGTAAACTACCCATCTGACAAGGGCTTAATAACAAGACTATATAAGGAGCTCAAACAACTCTATAAGAAAAAAAAAAACTAATAATCCAATCAAAAGTTGGGCAAAAGCTTTGAATAGACATTTCTCAAAAGAAGGCATAAAAATGGCAAACAAGCATATGAAAAGGTGCTCAACATCACTGATCTTCAGAGAAATGCAAATCAATACCACAACAAGCTGGGTGCCTTGACTCATGCCTGTAATCCCAGCACTTTGGGATGGATCACTTGAGACCAGGAGTTTGAGACTAGCCTGGTCAACATGGCAAAACTTCATCTCTACTAAAAATACAAAATGCAAAAAAATTAACCAGGTGTGGTGGCGTGCACCTGTAGTCCCAGATACTCAAGAGACTGAGGCTCAAGAATCGCTTGAACCCAGAAGGCGGAGGTTGCAGTGAGCCAAGATCGCACCACTGCACTCCAGCCTGGGGGACAGATCAAGACTCTGTCTCAAAAAACAAAACAAAGCAAAACAAAAAAAACCGCAATGAGATATCATCTCACCCAGTTGAAAGATAGGCAATAATAAATGCTGGTGAGGATGTGGGGAAAAGGGAACCCTTGTGTACGTTGCTGGTGGGAACATAAATTAGTACAACCACTATGTCATGCTACCATATGATCCAGCAATCCCACTGCTGAGTATAGACCCAAAAGAAAGGAAATCAGTGGGCCAGGCACGGTGGCTCATGCCTGTAATCCTAGCACTTTGGGAGGCTGAGGTGGGTGGATTGCCTGAGCTTAGGAGTTCAAGCCCAGCCTGGGCAACAGGAGTTTGAGACCAGCCAGGGCAACAAGGTGAAACCCCGTCTCTACTAAAAATACAAAAAGTTAGCCGGGCATGGTGGTGTGTGCCTGTAGTCCCAGCTACTCGGGAGGCTGAGACAGGAGAATTGCTTGAACCTGGGAGGTGGAGGTTGCAGTGAGCCGAGATTGTGCCATTGCATTCCAGCCTGGGTGACAGAGCGGGACTCTACTCAAAAAAAAAAAAAAAAAAAAAAAAGGAAATCAGTATACTGAAGACATACCTGTGCTCCTGTGTTTGTTGCAGCAGAGTTTACAATAGCCAAGATTTGGAAGCAACCTAAGTCTCTATCTGGGATGAATGGATAAAGAAAATGTGGTACATATACACAATGGAGTACTATTCTGCCATAAAAAAGAATGAGCTCCAGTCATTTGCAACAACATGGATGGAACTGGAGATCATTATGTTAAGTGAAATAAACCAGGTACAGACAGAAAGATCAACATCCCATGTTCTCACTTATTTGTAGGATCTAAAAATCAAAATAATTGAACTCCTGGGCAGAAAGAGTAGAAGGATGGTTACCAGAGGCTGGGAAGGGTGTAGTGGGGAGATGCAGATAGTTAATGGGTACAAAAAAGAATAGAAAAAATGAATAAGACCTATTATTTGATAGCACAACAAGGTGACTACAGTCTATAATAATTTAACTATACATTTTAAAATAAAGAGTATAATTGGACTGTTTGCAATGCAACGGATAAATGCCTGATGGAATGGATACCCTTTTCTTCATGATGTGCTTATTTCACATTGCATGTTTGTATCAAAATATCTCTTGTACCCCGTAAATATATACACTTACTATGTATGTACTCACAAAAATTAAAAATTAAAAAAGGAAAAGATAAAATTACTGAGATTTGTTTCATGGGCTAAAAAGTAAGTAAAAATAGAACTTCTAATTAATTTTTTTAAATATGATAAAGGTACATGGAGACATATTTATAATATGCTCATAATGTGAAATGGTACATTCAACCTTTGGGGAGGTATCTGTTGTTGTATAAATGCAAAATGGTACATTCAGCCTTTGGGGAGGTATTTGTGGAGTGAGAGGTACAACTTGTCAAAATTTAAAAGCGTTTTAATTGTGTACTCCATAGGATCCTGTAACTCTACATCTAGGTATCAGTGCTACAGAAATACTTGCAAATGTGCTTAAAGATTATGTACAATCCTATTGCTAGGATTATTTGTAATAACAAGAAATCAGAAACCTAACTGTCAGTTAATAAGGAAATTAATAAATTTTGATTCATCCATTCAGTGGAATCCTATGTCACCATTAAAAAGAATGAAACAGGTCTATAAATGTGCTCATGTGGAAAGACACTGAAGACAAAAAATAAAAAAGCCAATTATAAAATAGTATATAAAGTACGATACCATGCATTTAAAAACTCTATAACTTGTTTAATTTTTCTCTGAAGTTTTATTATGAAAAATGTCAAACATTCCAAAAAGTTCCATGTAAAATCTTTTAAATGTTTTTAAATGCCCATGCTATATTTCCAAGTGAAAAAAAATAGGTTACAAAACCAAGAATACACTATGACCTCATTTGTATATAAATATACATAGGGATTTTTAAAATCTACATAAAATATTAAGTTCATGGTAAATGCTCACTCCCTCAATGCCAGCTATTGTTGTTATCTGAAGGTAAGCAGCCTGATGATAAAGGGGTCCCCAAACCCAAGCATCCTGACTTCTTCCAAGTCCACAGCTTCCCTTAGTTCGGATAAGGGTCCATCTAAGGCCAACAGGGCAGTTGACAGCTTCCTCCCATTCATTTTACCCCGTGCTCCTGCTGAAGAGCAGCCAGGAGAAATAAGCTTGAGACAAAAGAAAACCGTGGACATCCTTCCTGGCTGCACAGGCAGCCCTGGCTGCGGATCCCTGGAAGGAGAGCCGGAACCAGTGAACAAATCCCAACCTCATATTGGACAGTTCAGGGCCTCATCTGATTCTGCAGGCACAGAAAAGAGGTACAGTTTGGCCCACTGGAGAACACTGCAAAGCAGTGTTTTCGAGATACAATTAGGTCAAACTGGGCATCGCTGGAGAGCAGAAGTAATTTCCTCCCAGGGGCAATGGGTTTTAAGGTCAACTCTTCTTAATTACATTTGGAAACCAACTCAGGGGAATTCCCTCTGACTTCATTCTTAAATGCTTTTCTGACCCTGCAAAACACAAATAACAGTGTCTATTTATTGTGCTCTCATAGTGCACCAGGCACCCTGTAAATCCTTTAAGAGCATTACGTTATTGAATTCCACACACATCCTATGAGGTTATTATCCCCATCACGTAGATGAGAAAACTGAGACTCTCAAAGGTTGAGCGACTTGCCAAAGCTTACACCTCCAGGTAGTGCAAGGAGCCAAGCTTGGGATGCACACCTGCCTGGATTACACTATCACATTACACTGACATGCAAATTCTAACCAGGGCCTGGGAAAGGTAGGAGGAAAGGGAAGGGGGAGAGTAGAACAATGAAGAAGAAATGCCAGTGCTAACCAAAAAAGAGCCCAAAGCATAATGAGCCAGGACTATGCATCTGAGAGGCAATATACTGCCCCAGTTAAAAGCCTGGACTTGGGAGTCAAACAGATCTAGTTTCACATCCTGGCCCTGCTCTTCCCACCCACATGACTTTTAGCAAGTCACACTGCTCCACACCTCAGGGTCCCCATCTGCCAAATAGGGCTAATATAGGAATCTACTCTTCATTGGTTGGTTGTGACAAGTGAAGTAGATGACCCATATAAATACCACAGTACGATGCCTGTTATACAGGCATCTCCTACTTTTTAGCTATCACCATTTGTTAATATGTGACAATCATTCCTAGTTATCCTCAGCCAGAAGTTCCCTAAGGGCAGACAGAGCATCAGAGAACATGACCCGGAACTTGGGTAATGTAGATAAGCAATAACCACACAGATTATTGCTCAATATGTTTTTTTCTCTTGTCATTTTCATGCTTGAAGAAAGCTGCAAGGGCCACATGTCACAGCTTGCATCCCCAAAACACCTGAAAACATTTGTTCTGGACGTTGCATTAGTACAAATTAGCATGTATTGAAAACCTGCTTGCTATGTGCCAGACGTTGTACTAAGTGCATTGTCATACATTATCTCCTAACCTCACAAACCCTGTGTGTGTGTTTCCTGGGGCTAGTGTGTAATAAATTGTCACAAAATTGGTGGCTTCAAACAACAGAAAGTTGTTTTCACACAGCTTGAGAGGTCAGAAGAATGAAATCGGTATTATTGGGCCAAAATCAAGGGGTCAGCAGGGCTGCGTGCCCTCTGGGAGAATCTGTTCCTTGCCTCTTCCAGCTTCTCCTTGGCTCATGGCTGCACCACTCTAATCTCTGCCTCTGTGATCACATCACTGTCTCCTGTTCTGTCTATAGTCAAATCTCCTTCTGCCTCCCTCTTATAAATATATTTGCCATTGTATTTAGGGCCCATCCAGGTAATCCAAGATAATCTTCTCATCTCAAGATCTTTGATTTTGTTGTTGTTGTTGTTGCTGTTGTTTGAGACGGAGTCTCGCTCTGTCGCTGAGGCTGGAGTGCAGTGGTGTGACCTCAGCTCACTGCAACCTCTGCCTCCCAGGCTCAAGTGACTCTTCTTTACTGCAACCTGTTTTATCAGCAAGGTTTTTATAACCTGTTTTTTTTTCTTTTTCTTTTTTTTTTTTTTTTTTTTTTTTTTTGAGATGGGGTCTCACTCTATTGCCCAGGCTGGAGTGCAGTGGCACAATCTCGGCTCACTGCAACCTCTGCCTCCCGGGTTCAAGCAATTCTTCTGCCTCAACCTCCCGAGTAGCTGGGACTACAGGGGCGCACCACCATGCCCAGCTAATTTTTGTATTTTTAGTAGAGACCAGGTTTCACCATGTTAGTCAGGCTGGTCTCGAACTCCTGACCTCAGGTGATTCACCTGCCTTGGCCTCCCAAAGTGCTGGGATTACAGGCGTGAGCCACCATGCCCGGCCTCAAGATCTTTAACTTAATCACATCTGCAAAGATTCTGCCACATGTTCCAGGGATTCGAATGTGGTTATCATTGGAGGGGAGAGGGTGCATTTTTCAGCCTTCCACACCCTGCAATGAAGGTATCAATGTCTCTATTTTCTATGCAAGTGCTATAATGTAGTAAGAGGCAGGCAGGCCAGAGTTTGACTCCTGGCTATGCCCAATACTGGGTAAATTATTTAAACTCCTCATGCTTGAGTTTCATTATAAAATGCAGACAACAATATCTCATTCAAAGGGTTGCCATGAGGATTCAATAAGACATTGTGTGAAGTGCCTTTTCCGAAGTATCCATTCTCAGCAAATGCTCACAAAGCAGTGAGTATTATTACTATTATTTGAGACAGCATCTGGCTCTGTCAACCAGGCTAGAGTGCGGTGGTATGATCTCAGCTCATTGCAACCTTCACCTCCTGGGCTCAAAAGATCCTCCCACTAAAGCTTCCTGAGTAGCTGGGACTACAGGCATGTGCCACCATGCCTGGCTAATTTTTGTGGGGGTTTTTTGTTTGTTTGGTTGGTTGGTTTTGGTAGAGACAGGGTTTTGCCACATTGCCCAGGCTGGTCTCGAACTCCTGGGCTCGCGTGATCCACCCGGCTCAGCCTCCCAAAGTGCTAGGATTACAGGCATGCGCCACTGCACCTGGCCAAGTAGTATTACTATGAATACAGATGAAGAAGTAAAACTTAGAAGGCAAGTGACTTACCAAAGACCACCCAACCGGAAGTGTCAGTATCTGGAATTGAATCAGGGTCTCTGGGACCAAAGTCCAAATCTGTTCTACTCTATGGATTAGGATGTTTAAGGCTTGTGTGCACAAGGCTTTCAGAATCAACACATCTAGGCTATTTCAATTTTGGATGCTCTCTGATACCTTAGACAAGCGTATCATGAAGCTGCATCCCTTCAGATCACCAGGCTTATTACTGAGTCTGAGCTTAAGCAATGGACCCTAAGAAAGTGATATCATGTGTCCAATATTTTAGAAATAATGGCATCTTAGTCCATTCTGGCTGCTATAACAAAACAGCATAACCTGGGTAGCAAATAAGCAACAAATTTACTTCTCACGGTTCTAGAGTCTGAGAAGTCCAAGATCAAGGGATCAGCAGATTTCGTGTCTAGTGAGGGCCCTCTCTCCGGTTCATAGATGGTAGCTGCTAGCTGTGTCTTCACCTGGTGGAAAAGGTGAGCTAATTCTCTCGGGTCTCTTCTATCAGGGCACTAATCCTATTCATGAGAGCAGAGCCCTCATAAACGAATCATATCCAAAAGGCCCCACCTCCTAATACCATCACCTTGGGGACTAGGACTTCAACATAAGAATTTGAAGGGAGACATAAACATTCAGTACATTGCAAATGGAGACCCTGCTTATGCTGGGGTGGGGTTGAGAGTTTGGCTTATAAAAAATCACATCAGACTGGCTGGCAATCCATTTGTTCTGCAACTCCAGGCATTTGGGACAACATGGGAAATGCAAATGAAATCATTCTCAGTCTACAAAGCTACAATTAGAAACTACATCTCAAACAGGACTACCAGGTCTCTCTGGAATGACGTGCCTAGCAAAGCACTTGGAATTTAAATCCACTCATGCATTCACTGCCTTCAGCGTCAACACAGCAGGGTTAAACCAGTTCTTCATACTTCCAAAGAACATGTGAAGAAAATTTCAGACACCACAGGCAGCTCTCATCAAATTCTGGTGTCCCCACCCATTCATCCAACTGTTTCCTCAGCACCTGTCTCCCCGGGTTATACAACCTTAGCCATGGGGAATGGGGAGCCCAGCTGCGAGTAGAGTTTGGAAAAACATTTTGAATACTTTAGATCTGCCAAATACTTGGTTAAAGAATGATATCCTTTAATTTCTTGAGCCATGTGTATTTTAAGTGCAATGTAATCCATATGTCTATGACTCATTTAAATGCAACTCAGTGAAGCATGGTTTACTAAGAGCATTGGGATACCATCTAAGCCTTTCTAAGCTGCTCTTTGATCCAGGAAATTGAATTTTGCCAACAACAAATGAAGCTCCTGACAAGAGAGGGTCAAAGAGAGCTGTCCTTTATCCTAGGTAAGATGTTAAAGTCTACTCTTGACCTGGGAGGAAGCTGGGAGGGTGGAGGTGGGGAGAGCTCCACTGCCTAAGTGGTATTCATAGTTTTGCTTTGGGTCTGCTACTATTTCTACCAGGTATCCTTGAAAAAGAAGTGCAGGAATAAGAGATGGCAACTAATCTGCCCCGTGTGTTGCTGAAAAATTCCTTTCCTGCCTGCTAATTCTGCCCTTCCTCAATTCCACCAGTATTATGCAATCCAAATTGTATAATGGACTTGAGGAAAAACGAGAATGTTAGGGAGCTAGATTACTCCATTAGCACTGAATGTTAATTTTCCAGATTGTAGCTTGATTTCCAGGACAATGAAAGCCTTCTCCTTCCCTATGATATCACTGAAGGACTGATAAGAAGTTAGGGATAGGAAGAAAGATTAAAGTTGGAAGTAATGATAGGTATTAAAATCAGTAAACCTCTAAATGCCCAAATTCTGCCTTGACAATTGCTGTTCCCCAGGTGGTTTGGAGGTAGACATACTCACAAAAGAAAACAAACGCCCGTTCTTATTAACTAAACTTGAGCAAATAAGATCTCTCTTTAGCTAACTGGGCTGGAGCACAAATGGATGGGGTTAGACCAAAGGACGTCTCTCCCTTTCTCAAGCCATCATCATTTGGACTTGAGGAAGGACAGTGTATTGAAGAAATGAGAGTCCTAGAATGTGTTTAAGATACTAGAAGACAGAAGCATATGGCCAAAGAGCCTCTGGGCAAAGTGCCTACTAGTTGAGCCATTCATTTGCTTTTGAAGGTGATCTTGTAATAGAGTGATCCTGCTCACTAGTAATGCGGCCCAGTGAGCATCCAGGAATCTGGTTGAGCAATTCAGTGTGCCCTCCTTTTGGGAAAAAGCCAAGAAAGGACAGGATATGGCGCTGGGGCTCACATAACCCTGTTCATCTCCCTGGATGCCTGCAGCTAACTAAGGAGGATTCCATTTGATTTCAGCAAACAAGTTTTTGTCAAATATGGGTTCCTGGGTTGGTGAGGTAGTCTCAGGACATGGGGAAAAGAACATAGAGAAAAAATATGGATTAATGCTCAAATCTGTGGGTTGTGCAAACAGCAGTCTATAATTTCTGCTCTGTAGTTTCCCTTCTTGTATTTTCTGTTGCCTGAACCTGCGGGTTCTGACCTAGAAGTTCGTCCCCAACTTCAAGGTCCCGTGATTTGGGGCACCTTTTTCCTTTATCCCACTGCCCACTATTTCCCAGGATGTCTCCACAGGTAGAGCAAATTTCCTGAGGCAGAGACTTCTTTTGCATTTTTCTACTCACAGAGCATCCTTTAAAGAGGTAGTGCAGGCCGGGCGCGGTGGCTCACGCCTGTAATCCCAGCACTTTGGGAGGCCGAGGCGGGCGGATCACGAGGTCAGGAGATCGAGACCATCCCGGCTAAAACGGTGAAACCCCGTCTCTACTAAAAATACAAAAAATTAGCCGGGCGTAGTGGCGGGCGCCTGTAGTCCCAGCTACTTGGGAGGCTGAGGCAGGAGAATGGCGTGAACCCGGAAGGCGGAGCTTGCAGTGAGCCGAGATCCCGCCACTGCACTCCAGCCTGGGCGACAGAGCGAGACTCCGTCTCAAAAAAAAAAAAAAAAAAAAAAAAAAAAGAGGTAGTGCAGAAAGAGCCTTCAGAGCCTATCCGGGGCCAAAATCTGCATTTTACAGATGAGAAAGCAGAGGCTCAGGGGAGCTGGCTGGCTTTTTGACCAATTTCATATCATCTGTCTCTGAGGTCAATGCTATGTCCACTGTACCACACTGCCTCAATCACAAGTTTCTCCAACAGCAGCTATGCACCAATCTTTGCAAATTATGTGATTACATGTGTGTATAAATATTAAACAATGTAATATATACTTTATTAGAGCAGAAGACTGTCTTCATGACATCCAGTTGAGTTCAAAAAAGGAAATGCTGGAGCAATATGTCTGACATAATCTCATTTCTGCTCCTCCCTCCCCAACAAAAATAGCAGCTTCTGTGTGACTGTGTCTGTATGTGATTGTGTCTGTGAGGATTCATGTGCATGTTCTTGTATGCATAGAAAAGGTCCAGGGTTTGCTCACCAAACAGCAGTGGATTTTCCTCGTGGGAGGGAAACTTTCATTCTTTTGTTTATTTGGAATTGCTACATGTTTTACAATGAGCATGCTTTGCTTTTGCAATTTAAAAACAATGAGCAAGAAATAATCATAGCTACCTTGAGCTTGGAATACAAACAAGGCACTCTGCTAAGTCCTTCACCTGTACCATCTCATTTCATCCTCCCTGTGGCTCTGGCTCTATGACATGGGACTATAATTACACCCCAGATGCACAAACTGAGGCTTAAAGAGGCTACAAGGTAGTAAGTGGCAGAGCCAGGATCTGAACACAGGAATAACCGACACAAAAGCAATGCTCAGATTATCCCTAAAGGGTCACTGTTTTTCACCTGCACTCAATAGAGAAAAGAATGTGTGCTTCTCACGGATGTCATCCGTGAGTTGCTGAGTTGCTTCAAAGCAGAGACAGGCTGCCGGCTGCCGCGCTATTGTAGGACACCTCAGTGTGTCTGCTGCCTGAGCTGAAGCTCACTTTGCTGTGTTCCCCCTCCTCTCCTGGCCCATGCCCCATGCCTTTCCATCCTCACCATTCTTGGCGATCTCTCCATGTGTGAATTCCATTAAAGGCTTGCTCACTGCTATTTTGGGCCATGCATTAATACGTGGGCTTTGATTTGATGGGAGAAGGCCAGACACGGCAGGATGATGAAAAAGAAATTTAAAATGTCCTCTCCCTCCCCCCAGAGTCCCAGAAGCCCTTGCTCACCGCTCCTGGGAGACCTGAGAATCCAGTGTATGGGGAAATGTACAGAGGGAGAGTGGAAACCTTCATCATCTATTAGGGCCTTGGAACGTGGCTGTTCCCTCTCCTTGGAATTGTCATCTCTCAGCTACCCATATGGCTCACTCCATCACCTCCTTCAGGTCTTGACTCAAGTATCAGTTCACCTGAAAGGCCTTCCCTGACTGCCATTCAGAAACAGCAGCTCCCATTCTACCTCCACACTCCCCTGGCCCCACTCCCTATGCTCCTCTGTCTCCTGCACAGCACCCATCACCTGACGGACGGTGCACTCACTTGTCTGCTTACTGTTTCCCACTAGAATAGAAGCTCCATAAAGGCTGTACTGTTTTATTCACAGCTTTATCCCCAGTACCTGCACTGGTGCCTGAAATGTCACAGAGGCACGTAGATTAAAAAAAAAAAAAAATGAATACGTTGATCGAGGAGGTTAAGAACCAGAGGCTGAGAAATGGCTTGGCCCAGGGCCTAGTTTCCCCCAAATGTCATGAGATTATAGAAACTTCAACACAGTGATTTGAAAAATTAGAAAATCATCTCCCCCGCTCCAAAGCTGTTTTGAATCCGGACTCGCACGCACCATGAATGAGAAGGCTTTGGGAAATAAACACACTAGGAAGTCGTGTGCAGTTGGAGTTCCGCTCACTAACACATGTTCAAAACAAAAAGCCCAATTTGGATGAAAATAGCAGGAAGCCGTCCCCCAGGGACACCTGGTGAGGTCATATTGCTTGGCTCTGCTGCTTCCATTTTTACCAACTCTGCTGCCTTCTGCCAATTCAAGGAGGCCAGGAACCACATCCAGCCCCATGCGGCTCAATGGGAAACGAGAGCTGCTCTCGGAAAAGCAGATGCTAGAACCACAGCCCCGGGCTCTCCTCTGGAGCCTCAGTGTGGGACAATAAAAATCCCAACAGTGGCTGGCCACTCACCATGCGCTGTGCAAGCACTTCCTGCACTTCACCTCATTTATCCTCACAACCATCCCACGAGGCTGGCCTTATTACCCTCATTTTATAAACAAGGACACCGAAGTTCCAAAAGATTCAGCCATTTGCCCTGGGTCACATTCTGTAACTCCAGACTCACACCAAGAATACACATGATCCTAGTTTCAGCTCTTTCATTTACTTGCTGGGTGGCCTCAGACAAATGCCTATCCCTCTCTGAATCAAAACTTCTGCATCCATAATTTCAGAGTTTTCTAAGATCATTCCATTCAGTGTTTTCTAAGGCATCTTCCTGCTTTAGCTTCCTATGGTCTGTAGCAAATGTTTCAAAATAGGAGGGAAGGATAGAGACTTGAGTCCTGGGACTCCTGCTTGGCCAGTCCAACTCCTAAGCATTTTCCCACAACACCAACACTATCACTTGGGCTGACCAGAGGGAGCTGAAGGGCCACAGGCTCTACTGGGGGCAGAACAGGAGAGATTAGACACAGGCAACAACAGGGAACACTTAGACTAGAGTTAATGGGAACAAAGCTGCCGTGAGCAACAAAGGCAGGCCCCCGAGAGACACGGTCAAGAACAAACCCTCTAAGGGCCTTTTCTTGTAGGACCAAAGGAAGACAATGCAAGGAAAAATCCAGGGCCAATAGACGCTGCACTGTCTAGGGACGCAGCTGGCCAGGTCTATTCCAGGGACACAGGAGAGAAGAAACACAGCCTAAACTGGCTTTACTCTCAAGAGGAGAGGAACAAAAATGACTGTGATCCCCATCTTTCTGGCTTCCCGAGGCCACCATGTCCTGGAGGCAGAGGAAGGATGTGGATGAAGCCCCACCACTGCACAAGCTGTGAGTTGTATTTTAACCACACTCGGGACAGCACTCATCCTCCTTTGCAAGTGCCCAAAAAGCCCAAATTTGGAATAAATTATATTCTCCCTTTCCACCCAAGCCTAAAAGCTATTCCCATCCTTTTGTATACAGGAAGGTCCTTCTTCATCCTTTTCTTGGCAGTGATGCATTTGATTACTCATTGGCTTCCAGGGGGTTCTGGAGGCTGCCAAGAGGAGACAGGCAGCTCTCCAAGCCACGCAGCCTTATCTGCGACGTCTGTGTGGCAGAACGAAAAGTGGGACGGTCAGTGGGGAAACACCAAATGTTTTCAGAGTCCCCCGGCCAAGTAAGGAGAGCTCTTCATGGCTAAGTAGATGGGGAATGGCCAAAGAATGAGCCACAGACATAGCCATGCATCGTGCCCATTCACCTCCTCCATTACATGAATCCAGATATGACTGCATCTGATGGCAAATCAATGTGCAAGTGCCTCTGAGCCAGGCTACCACCCAAGATGAATGAGGTTAAGAAGATGGAAGAGCCGGGCCCGATGTAGCCAGGAGACTGTTGACGATGCCCTGTTGACAAAATCTCAGATGCGGCTGAACCAGAACACATGGAACAATCTGAGTCTGAGGCTCCAAGCCCCAGCACACCCTGCTTTGCTCGCTCCTCTCTGCTGTTTTCCTCTAATCTCCTTCATTTCCTGCCACACACTAGGCTGGCGCTAGTAAGGCAGCTGCCAAAGACCTCTGGTCCATCCACTCCCTTAATCTCACACATACACAGACCTCTGTGTGCCCGCAGTGAACTCCAGGGGCCCCTGAAATACTGCCTAAGGAAATTTTAGCAACACATTTAGCAGTCCAGCAATCTCACATCGAGTCAAGAGGCTGTGGAAAGGCTCTGGCTTTGCAAGATGCTGCCTGAAAGAAACCAAGGACTGAGAGCTTGGGGTCACTCCATTGACTGCTTCCTTCCAGAACAGCGACACCTGCGTCCGGCGTTGACACAGAAGTTATTTGTTTCATTTTAGACAAAGGAGGAGTCCACTTACTCATTCTTCTCCAGGTCCAGGATCAGTTCTCGCCCCTCAGCCATTACCCTGAGCTCAGCTTTGAGTGGATGCTAAAAGCAACAACAAAACAATGTCAGTTCCTAAAAGCCGGCACCAGGCTCCCTGGGTCGGGCACAGGATCTAGCACAGCGCTCCAACATTGATCCACAGGAAGTGAATGAGCAAAGGTCAATTGCATTTCCAGCCCACATGTAAAATGACCTCAATCCCAGAATGACCCAAATCCTTCCCCCATCTGCTTTCTCCTGAAAGGCATAGAGAAGAAACTCCAGGCTGCAATGTGGTGTAAGTGTATGTATGTGGTGCGGTGAAGGGAAACACTGGAAAACACAATCTCCAGCAGTAAATGTCCTGCAGAGTCAGATCTGGATTCAAGCACCGGCTCTGACACCTGCAGCTGTGTGAAGTCGGACATGTTGCTGAGCCTCCCCACATCTCAGTTTCTTCATGTATGATACAGAGATAGTAATAGTCAATTTGATGGGGATCTTGTAAGGATTGAGTGAGATAATGAGCATAAATAATGTATCACAGTGCCTGGCACACGGCAAGCCATGATACATATTGCCTATTATCTTGTAAAATACTAGGGGATCCTCTTCGTAGTGGGTTCTTATTTCATTTTGGCTCTCCGTTTGGAAAACCCCAATCATCTCAGAGGAAGCAACTAAGAGATCCTCAAATTAAGGTTTTATAGGCCAAAAAGTAGATACATTTTACACATAAGCAGTTTGGTAGTGGCCACAGGTGCTACATATCCAGAACGGATCACTTAACATATACCAGTGGTTGATAAGCACAAAAACTATGTTCGACATCGCTAATAAACCACCTCCCCACGTCCAGAAAAACAAATTAAAAATAATAAGATACCTTGAAAAAAATCAAAGTGCCAGAGGTTATCTAAAACTCTAAATCACAATGCACAATGCCCACTGTAAACTGGGCACTCGCAATCCCTACCACTGAGAATTTAAACTGACGGCAACTCTCTGAAAGATAACATGACAGTATGCACTGAGAGTTTAAAAATGTTTAGACTCGGCCGGGCACAGTGGCTCACGCCTGTAATCCCAGCACTTTGGGAGGCCGAGGCAGGCAGATCAGGAGTTTGAGACCAGCCTGGCCAACACGGTGAAACCCCGTCTCTACCAAAAATACAAAAATTAGCCAGGCATGGTGGTGGGCACCTGTGATCCTAGCTACTCGGGAGGCTGAGGCAGGAGAATTGCTTGAACCTGGGAGGCGAAGGTTGCAGTGAGCTGAGATTGCGCCACTGCACTCCAGCCTGGGTGACAGAGCGAGACACTCTCTCTCAAAAAAAAAAAAAAATGTTTAGACTCAGGAATGTGAGGCTGTTTGAAAGGAATAAATGGAGGCACAGGCAAAGGTTTGCACATAAGGACATTTATTACTTATAATAATGAATAATGGGCCAGGCGCAGTGGCTCATGCCTGTAATCCCAGCACTTTGGGAGGCCGAGACGGGTGGACCACTTGAGGTCAGGAGTTCAAAACCAGCCTGACCAACATGGTGAAACCCCGTCTCTACTAAAAATATAAAAATTAGCTGGGCGTGGTGGTGCACACCTATAGTTCTAGCTATTCAGGAGGCTGAGGCAGGAGAATCGCTTGAACCTGGGAGGCGGAGGTTGCAGTGAGCCGAGAGCATGCCACTGCACTCCAGCCTGAGCGACAGAGCGAGACTCTGTCTCAAAAAAAAAAAAAAAAAGTAATGAATAATGAAATGTAACCTAACTGTCCTAAATATAACCTGTTAGAGAATGGTTAAATAAATGATGATCCATTCATATGACAGAACACTGAATGATCATTAAAAGCAGCAACTTTAAGTAGTTGTTAAATTACTGACAAAATGTACACAATAATCATTAGTCATAAAGCTCAAAATACAATACTGAATATTTTATTTAAATACACTTCGCAAAGGGAAAAATGTAGAGAGAAATAAGCCTAACCATTACCATAGTTAATGGGATCATGAGTTAATTTTGTTTTCTTTTGCACATCTTTCCACATGTTTACAATTGCTTTCACAGTTTAAGAAAAGAACTTTTTATTAATCTCTTTTTACTTTATTATTGTGGAGAATTTCAAAGAAATTTAAAAACCAAGTCATAATAAATCTCCACGCTTCAACAATTCAACTTAAGGCTACTGAACTTTTTTCGAAGAAATAAATTATTTTTTTAAAAAAGGATATTTACATATTTAAAACAGAACAGATTCTTTGGAGTGTTTTAAACATAAGCTCTCTATTTTGGGACTAAGGAACTGACAACTTTTTTTGAGACGGGGTCTTGCTTTGTTGTGCAGGCTGGAGTGCAGTGGCACAATCACGGCTCACTGCAGCCTCAACCTCCCAGGCTCAAGCATACTGAGTAGCTGGGACCACAGGTGCATGCCACCACACTGGGCTAGTATTTTTAAATTTTTTGTAGATACTGGGGTATTACCATGTTTCCAAAGCTGATCTTGAACTCCTGGGCTCATGTGATCCTCCCAACTCAGCCTCCCAAAGTGTTGGTATTACAAATGTGAGCCACCTCATCCAGCAGATAAATTCTTGAAGTCCCTTTCAATCCACAAAATCATTGCTAGAGTAGAGCTTCTAGCCCTTCTAAGGTTGACCTCAAAGCTTACTTCTTGCATGTCTGAGAAAGTAGGTCACCTGTTCTGCCACCTCTGGTTAGAAGCCTACCTCGTCTAAGCACATTCCCCTTCCTCGCTGCAAACCCCACTCTGCATTAGGATTTGGGCATTTCTGAGACTTTGAGGTCACCAAGGGCTCTGATGAGATCTCAACATTCCGATCAAAGGCTCTTGGGCAACGCTGGCCATTGCCTAATTAATCGTATTACTTCATCTCAAGAAGGAACATTTCAAACCCACCGAAGTAGGAAGCTGGGGAGATGTTTGACCAATAACTTTCACTAAGAGATTCACTTCTCTGTTTGTCATGCCCTGATTCAGCTCTGCCAACACCTATTCTGGTTGCAGATCCTTTGCCACTTTATGGAGTTTTTGAGGCAGTGCCCTGCCCAATCACACTGAGCATCAGGGACCCCAGCTCCAAGTGGGCATTTAAGAAAGACCACACAGACCGGGCACGGTGGCTCACGCCTGTAATCCCAACACTTTGGGAGGCCAAGGTGGGCGGATCCCTGGAGATCAGGAGTTCCAGACCAGCCTGACCAACATGGAGAAACCCCATCTCTACTAAAAATACAAAATTAGCCAGGCATGGTGGCGCATGCCTGTAATCCCAGCTACTTGGGAGGCTGAGGCAGAAGAATCGCTTGAACCCAGGAGGCAGAGGTTGCGGTAAGCTGAGATCACGCCATTGCACTCCAGCCTAGGCAACAAGAGCGAAACTCCGTCTAAACAAAAAAAAAAAATAAAAAAGAAAGAAAGAAAGACGACACAGCAACAGAGCTACAGCAATTCCCTCATCCAAGAGGTAGGTAACCATGTGACTGCCCCCACAGAAAATGAATACTGCCCCAAATCAAAGCACTATCTTCCCCTCCCCCAAAGAGACACAAGCTGCAGCAGGAATAGTAATCTTTTTTTTTTTTTTAAACAGAGTCTCGCTCTGTCACCCAGGCTGCAGTGCAGTGACCCAATCTTGGCTCACTGCAAACTCCATCTCCAGGGTTCAAGCCATTCTCATGCTCAGCCTCCCAAGTAGCTGGGATTACAGGTGTGCACCACTGCGCCTGGCTAATCTTTGTAATTTTAGTAGACAGGGTTTCTCCATGTTGGCCAGGCTGGTCTTGAACTCCTGACCTCAGGTGATCCACCCATCTCGGCCTCTCAAGGTGCTGGGATTACAGGGCGTGAGCCACCATGCCCCGCCAGGAGTAGTAATCTTTATTTTTATGTGGGTGATCCAAAAATAATTCTCTCTATTCTGGAAGGTGCTCAGGCACTGATATTTAAAAAAGGATGTTCCCTTTTTCTATGGGGCATTTCAAGCAAAACAATGAAACTGCATTTTAAGGATCTATGAAGCTTTTCTGTCCGGCTCTACTGATGAGCTTTTCTGATGAAACTCCACTCTGTATTAAGAAGAGGCACCATCAGCTCTCCTCTCCTATGAAGTACAGTAAGCTGACCCACTATTTATACCTCTCCTAGGGATGGGTTAAAAATTCTTTCCCCTTCAGTCTAGATTAAATAGATCTTTAGCTCCATAGGGTATTGGAAATCTGTCCTATATTTGCATTCCCCCTAAGATCTAGTATAATATTTAGTATACAGTATAAGTATTCAGTTAATGTTTAATGAATGTGAGCTTTAAGTCAGTGATGAGAAAAAGAGAAGAAAAAAATGTTTAATGAGTGAATTAATTATATAAATGAGAATGAGAGGCCCAAGTGAAATCCAGCCTCTAGTCTCTCTCTCTTCAACATTCATTCATTTGTTCATTGAACAAATAGTTACGGTGCCAGGCACTATGCTGACTATTCCTACAGAATACAATGACCCATATGCTGGGCAGACAATGGTTGGGAACAAAGACAGGATCTGGTCCTCTGCTTTGTTCTCAGGCCCTTCCTGAGGATGCCCGGCATCCACATCTGGAGAGAACAAAGAAGCCTCTATAAAAAGTAGCAGGTCCATTCCTCAGGGGGTATGAATAGGTTGCAATACCCAAGATCTTAATTGTTAAAAGTAATCTGCTCTAGGATGACCATCCATTAATTTGTCGAGACTTTTCCTGAAGCTATTTTCAGCCTCTCCTACTTTTTGATGAAATGAATTCCATGCGTTTACTGCCTTTAGGACAAAATGTTACTTGCTTTTATTTGTCCTGATTTTTTTTTTTTTTTTTTTTTTGAGACAAGGTCTTGCATTGTCACTCAGACTGGAGGACAGTGATGCTGATGCGACTATATCTTACTATAACCTCAAACTCCTGGGCTCAGGCGATCGTCCCACCTCAGCCTTCAGAGTAGCTGGGACTACAGACACACACCCCTAGGTCTAGCTAATTTTCTTTTTTTTTTTTTTTTTTTTTTGTAGAGATAGGATCTCAGTATGGTGCCCCAGGCTGGTCTTAAATTCCTGGCCTCAAATGATCCTCCTGCCTCAGCCTCCCAAAGTGCTGGGATTACAGGCTTGAGCCATCGCACTTGGTCTGTCCTAAAATTTACACTGTTAGGTTCCCTTGGTAAATCCAAGTTGGAGCCTTTTTGGACATGTCTGTATTATCCTGGCCAGAGTTTCAAGGATCCTGGACATTGCTCCTTTCCATTTATCTTTCCAGATTCAACAGCCACAATGTCTGAAGTCTTTCCTGACACATCTCTTTCCTGCTATAATCTTGCTCCTATATGTTGCCCAATAAATCACAAATCATTTTAACCCAAAGAGATCTTAGAAAAAACCCCTCTCCCCAGCTTTCTTTTCTCCTTATTCTCTCTAAGCACTATTTTATAAATGAAGAAAATCTACCACTTCGCAAGTGGCAGGTCACATAGCTGGTTACTGGCACACAACAACCGCATCTTCCTTTCTTGCTCTTTCACGTCTCACTTGCTGGAAAAACCAAAACCACAGTGGGCCACAGTGGCTGACGCCTGTAATCCCAACACTTTGAGAGGACTACGTGGGCGGATCACTTGAGGTCAGGAGTTCGAGACCACCCTGGACAACATGGTGAAAACCCATCTCTACTAAAAATACAAAAATTAGCCTGGCTTCGCAGCACACACATGTAATCTCAGCTACTCCGGAAGCTAAGGCATGAGAATCGCTTGAACCTGCCAGGCGGAGCTCACAGTGAGCCGAGATCATGTCACTGCACTCCAGCCTGTGCGACAGAGTGAGACTCTGTCAAAACAAACAAACAAACAAAAAAACAAAAACAAAAAAACAAAAAACAAAAACCAGAACCACAAAGAATATCCTAAATGCTCAGGTCCTCTCTGCAAGAACAGGACAGTGTTTTTTGTTTTCTTCCCAATCTCTTTGATAAAGCCTATGTGTTTTCCTGGTGTTCTGGCCAGGGGAGCCTACTGGATTTTAAGATACATTCCCCAGTACTAGGTCTCTACGCTGCGTCTTATTAAAATAGTTTATAGTTTATATTATTATCTTTTTTCTCTCCAAGTACATTATTCCTTCAAGAAAATGAAGTATGTATTATGCAGAGCAAAAATAACAATGACAATATTTAATGAATTCCAATCAAGACTAAGTGATTTCTGTGACACCAACACATCTGCACTTAGCTTGTGTCAGCATTAATGTGAATTTTCATTTCCTCAACTAATAGCATTGGGAAGTGTTCTAGAAGTTTGTCATACAAGGAAGGAAAGTCCCATCTGTGATCTCCAAAATGGGCACCCAGAGGACAGAGTGGGCCAGAAACAGAACTAATGGTGATGACTGGGATTCTAAGAAAGTTGAGTAGGTAGCCCAAACCTCAGTTGTCAACTCCTGCCAGTGTAAATGAGGTCTTTTGAGTCTTACCTTTTCTCTCACGGGGCTTTCTGAAGTCTTCCACTGAGGTATGATAAGTTCATGCTGCAGCTTGGGGCTGCCTTCCTCACTTCCTCCTGCCAATACAAGATGCAAAACCATTGGAATCCCAGACCTCTATACCCCAGCTAAGCCACACATGCACTTTCTGTGAGCTGCCCCTGCACTGGGTCATTAGAAGACTTGCTGGATTTCAGGCTCTTGGCACTTCCTAGGAACTAGGCACTCTAGGTGTCGGTGATATTGTGGTAAATAGGACATATAAGGTCTCTGTACTTGTAAAGGTGGGAGACAGACAATGAACAAATGTTCTCACATGGTGCTAAGTACCCTGAATAAAATAAGTTGGGGTCATGGAGTAAAGAGACATCTATCAGGAGGTGCCTATTTGAAACAGGATGATCAGCATAGATGGCATTTGAGTCCTGAGGAGCCAGAAGGCAGCCATGCAAAAACGTGGGGGAAGAGTGCCCCAGGTAGAGGAAACAGCAAGTGCAATGGCCCTGCCTGAGCAGAAGTGAACTTGGCCTGTTGAAGGAACAAGCATAAGGTAGGGGTAGCTAGTAAATGAAAGAGGAAGTTGGTATGAGATGTGGTCAGCAAGACAGCCATGGGTCTGATAATGCAGAGACCACGGAGAGTGTCTGGATTTTCTTATAAATAGACTTGGAAGGCACTGGGTGTTTTAAATACAGAGCAATATGATCTGTGTTAAGTTTAAAAAAGATCACTCTGCCTGCGTGGTGGAGAATGGGGGTGGGGTGAGGCAGAGCGGCGAGAGTGAGAGCAGAAGCAGGAAGGCCAGGCTAGAGATATGCTGGAGCCCTGGTGAGAGATGATGGTGGCTCAGATTAGAATGACATCAGTGGAGAGGAATGAAGCGGTGGGATTCTGGGCATATTCTGGAGGTCAAGCCCATGAATACTGCTCCCATGGAGCTTTAGTTTTCTTGCCTGTAAAATGAAGACAAAGATGCTACCTGCCCATCTCACAGCTTTATTGTGAAGAGTCAATATGAAATTGCCTCCTACTCCGCAGAGCATCACTGCATCAAGTTACATTAATTGGAGCTTCCTAATGGCAAGTTTACATTTGTATTCCACTTTCTACTTCCCAAATCACTCTCCCAAACCAGTTCTCCTTCATGCTCAAGGCAACCCTGGGAAGTAGGAAGTAGGAGTCCTGTTTTTTTTTTCTTTTGAGACGGAGTCTCGCTTTGTCGCCCAGGCTGGAGTGCAGTGGTGTGATCTCGGCTCACTGCAAGCTCCGCCTTCCGGGTTCATGCCATTCTCCTGCCTCAGCCTCCCGAGTAGCTGGGACTACAGGCACCCGCCACCACACCCGGCTAATTTTTTTGTATTTTTACTAGAGACTGGGAGGAGTCCTGTTTTGCAAGAAAGAGAATTTAAACTATAGGAGAGATTTGTTCAGGGCGCTGCAGAACTCAAATACTGGCGGCAGACTATCTTAACAAAATGGTAATTTCCCGACACCTAAACAGACTGGTCTCCGTAGTGTTCCTGGGAATGGGGCTGAGGACTCCAAAATCTATTCTGTCTAAACTAACTACATCAATCATACAGAATATGAATGATAAAAAGATGGCCATAGTTGTTCTGTTAGAGTGGTGATTATGAGTAATTATTAACATTCTCTTCAGAATACCGATATAATGCACTTGCAGTCAACATAGATTTTAAAAATAATCTTATTGGACCAACACCAATTCATCAGACAGGCAAATATTAGAAACAATGCATTCATATATTTATCAAATATTTTCTGAGTACTTAACTATGTGCCAAGTACTATGCTATGAATAGGTGCTTAATATTCATGGAGGAACAAGACAAGCATACTGCAGGACAGGAACGGTGGCTCACAACCTGTAATCTCAGCACTTTGGAGGTCCGAGGTGGGCGGATCACCTGAAGTCAGGAGTTTGAGACTAGCCTGGCCAACAAGGTGAAACCCTGTCTCTACTAAAAATATGAAAATTAGCTGGGTGTGGTGGCGCATGCCTGTAATCCCAGCTACTCAGGAGGCTGAGGCACGAGAATCCCTTGAATCTGGGAGGCCAAGATTGCGCCAGTGCACTCCAGCCTGAGTGACAGAGCAAGACTCCATCTCAGAAATAAAAAAAAGACAAGCATCGCTCTTGCCCTGGTGGCTCTGATAAGTCTATATTATTTTAAACAAAAAGGAATTCTATAATATTTAATGGAGCATTTAATGGAATTAAATGATATCTACGATTGTAAAAAAATAGTGAAAGCAATCTAAAATCTCACCAAAAGAGGAACATAGTACATGTTAAGAAAAGGTCTCCAAAACTTGGAAATAAGGCAAGAGCAAGCAAGATGTCTTCTCAATGTTGTATCAGAGCATTGTTTAACAGACTCACCCATGGATTACTGCATTATCTAGGGGAATGTACCATTGACTTTTTATTTACCATTGATTAAAAGCTACACTCTGTGAAGTTATATAATCTATATATATCTATAGAATTCTGTCTGACAGAGATGTAAGTGATTTCAGCATAGTAAAAAGATAACCTGGCCAGGCACAATGGCTCACGCCTGTAATCCTAGCACTTTAGGAGGCCGAGGCGGGCGGATCACCTGAGGTCAGGAATTTGAGACTAGCCTGGCCAACATGGTGAAACCCCGTCTCTACTAAAAATACAAAAACTAGCCGGGTGTGGTGGCACATGCCAATAAGCCCAGCTACTCAGGAGGCTGAGGCAGGAGAATAGCTTGAACCCAGGAAGCAGAGACTGCAGTGAGCCCAGATCGTGCCACTGCATGCCAGCCTGGGCAACAGATAGAGACTCTGAAAAAAAAAAAAAGAAAGAAAAGAAGGAATGAAGGAAGGAAATTAAAAAAGAAAGATAACCAAGAATTATGGTTTGCTTCATGGGGCATCCACCATTTCTGCATCTGCCCTGGGCCACATGATTTCAACATTCTTTCTCCAATGCTTGTATCACCCCTTTCTAATGCTCCCTGAATCAGCTTTACTCTCCTGTTTGCTACCTCATTAATGAGTTGAATAAATCTTGGCCACATTTGTATGAGTCGTGTTTTTAACTTTTGAAAACTTTGTATAGAGTCATTAAAATCATGTTTTACAGAGAATTTGATGATGTGGAAAACGCTCATGGTGTGAAGTGAAAAACGCAAGACACGAAACTGTACTTATGGGTATGGTTCCAATTTTATCAATATATATCCATAGGAACACACAAAGAATGTGGAGGGGAAAAAAAACAAAATATCAACAGCAACTGTGGATTTGGGGGTTGCAGATCATTTTCTTTTACACTTTTCGTTATTTCCCAGATATTCTACAGCAAGTGTTCTCCAAGGACTCAAAACTCAGAGAAGGCGCCTGTGCTAGGAGCAGTAACTAGCTTTCCTTGTCTTTCTTCATGCTTTTCTCCTGCACTAAGCACTGACACAGGCCTGGTGCTACCCTAGAACCTCCTCTGTGCCTCAGTTTCCCCTTCGGAACAACAGCTCAAAGGGCGGTTCCTTTGAGCCCTTTGGGAGGACCGCCCGACCTCGGCCCCTGGAAGTTCCGAACTGTCGGAAGAGCTCTCAGCCTCTGGGTTTGAGGCGGCCCGGGGGTCCAGCCAGCCCACCCTCGCTCCGCCGGTGCTCGCTCTATTTGAAAACGCTGACTGTTGGTCCCCCAAGCAGCAGTCTGGAGTCAGCCCAGCCCGTCTGCAGCGGTGGAGCCAGGGCTAAGCCTTCTCCGGTCATAATGAGAGAACCCGGGCACCGCCCCCCGGGACCAAGCCTTCCGCGAAATCTGCTTATAGCCCCCGAGGGATGGAGCCGGGGAGGGGATTGGTGTCTGGGAAACTAGTCCTGAGAAACACGGACATCACCCGGCATCTTAGCTGGAAACATCGAGTCAGACCCCTTCGCTTCACAGAAGGGGAAACTGAGGACCAAAGAAGGCGGCCGTCGGGTTGGCGTGGAAAGAGAGCCCTGGTTTCCAGTGCCACCGCGGACCTCAACCCGTGGCGTGGCCTTGGGCAAGTCCTTTCCCTTTTGTGGGCCTCGGTTTCCCCATCTGTGAAATGGGTGCGTTTGACTTGGCCTTCAGTAGGGCTCCTGCCAGCTCGGGGATCCGAAGTGTGTGGCTGCAGATACCCAGCGAGCCATCCCCTAGCCAAGGCTACCACAGTCTGCCGCGGGCATTTTATGTCCTACCCCACCAGTGTGGCAGGCACCGAGCCTGGTCCCAGGAAGCCGCTCCCAGGCCACACGGGCAGGGCGCTCGGGATGCTCGGCGTTGGCGAGTGCAGCGGGCGGTAGAGAGAAAGACAGAGAGAGAGGCGGAGCGGACACGAGGGACCGTGAGAAAACGGAGGAGGATAAGCCCCGAGAACGGCGGAAAGAGAAGCCAAAAGCAGAAAAACAGAGGAAGGAGAAGGCGAGAAGGGAAGGCTAGCCAGTGAGCGGACCGGCTGTTTTCTGGCTGCGCCGGGTTTCCCCGACCTCTGCCACCTCCCAGGGCGCAGAACGTGGGAACAAAGCCCGGGCTCCCAGGCTGGGGACGGCGGGGGCGCAGGCCCCGCGGAGTTGCGGGAGGCGCAGGGGTCGCGGTCCCAGCGCTCCGGACCCGCAAGGCTACTCCCAGGTCTCCGGGCCACCCAGCCTCCATCCCCCCGCGCCTGGCCACTTACTTGTCCATCCAGGCTCCCGCGCCGCCCGCGGCCGGAGGGGCTGCAGGGCAAACGCCAGCAAGCAGAGCCGGGCGGCGCCTGCGCCCCCTGGCATGGTGGCGGCGGCCCTTAGCGCTCGGCGCTCACACGCCCTCAGCCATACCTGCCCACTGCCCGGCGGTGGAGGCGCGTCTGGAACCCCCCGGCTCGCCCCGCGCCTCCCCACCCGGCTCCCAGCCCTCTGCCGAGACGCTCCGCCTCCAGCCCCGCGGGCCTCCGCCAGGGGATGGAGGAGGGGAGGCTCCAGCCCGGAGGGGGCTGGAGGGAGGGGCCGGGGAGGAGCTGGCGAGACTCGGGGGAGCGGGGCTGGCTCAGGTGAGGGAGACCGCGGGGAAGGGAGAATCCGAGCCCCCCAGGAGGAGGGATTTGTGGTGGACGCGGCCTGTAGAGGGTCGGGGACTCGGGCTTCTAGGAGTTAAACTGGACCCCTCTCCGCACAGCGGCCCGTTTACTGTCCCGCACTGTGCCAGACGCCTTGGGTGACACTCAGAGGTGATTCACCCAGCGCCGTCCCCCGGGGGCCGCCACTCTCGGAGACAGGCTCAGAAAGAGTTAACCCAACCGCCAGGCACAAAGAACTAAGTGCTATATGGACTTCTTTTTTTTTTTTTTTTTTTTTTTTTTTTTTTTTTTTTAAGCAGGACACAAATCCAGGAGCCATTCCTTCTGCCTGGGAGGAGGGAGTGATGAAGACCAGAGGAATCCCAGAGGAGAAGCCATCTGAGATCGGGAGGAGGAGAAATGGAACATCAGGCGGAGGAAACAGCCCAGACAATCGCACTGGGACGTGAAAACCCTTGGGCTGCATGCGGGGAGAAAACCAGAATTGGGGATGGTTAGGGTTTTGGAGGGAAACACAGGGACATGTGACCAAAAATAATAATAACTACTGTTACTTATTGAGGACTTTCTATGTACTAGAATAAGAAAATCATGATAGCTAAGACTGATAAAACGCTAAGTGTCAAACGCTGTCTTCAGCACTTTACACATATTCACTTATTTAATTAATCGGAGAAAATAACTTTTATGAGCCAGGGACTCTGCATACATTATCTCTTTTCATTAGCCCAGTAATCCCATGGGGTAGGTACTAGTACTATCCCTGTTTTAGAAATGAGGAAATCAAACCTGAGAGGCTAAACCACTTGCCCAAGATTACACAGCTAATGTCAGTGCCTAGATTCAAACCCACATCCGTATAACTCCAGAGCCTGATGCAACACACCTTATTTTCCAGGTGGAGAAACTGATAATGAGAGAGAAATGACTTGCCTAAGATCCCTCAGCAAGTTTTAGCAAAGCCTCGTTGTAGAATCCCAGCCTCAAACCTCGTCCATCTGTTCCTTTTTCTGAGCCTCTTTAGTCAAACCCAGGTTGACTAGAGAAGTGCTAAGTGTTGGAGAGGGCGAGGCACTCCTGAAGATGATGGGTAGGTAGGTCTATCAAACCCTACTCATGGGCACCCATGAGGGAAATCAAATAAGTGGTTCTGGCCATTAATGTCGTTTGGGACTCCGTTAGTCTCCAGCTGCTGTAAAATTCGTATCTTTCTGTGAACCCGAAATATCTGAGATAGGTCTCAGTCAATTTAGAAGGTTAATTTTGCCAAGCTTAAGAACGTGCTCATGACACAGCCTCAGGAGGTCCCAACATGTGCCCAGGGTGGTGGGGGTGTAGCCTCCTTTTATATATTTTGGGGAGACATGAGACATCAATCAATATGTGTAGGATGTACATTGCTTCCGGTCCGGTAAGGCAAGACAACTCCAAGCTGCAGAAAGGGTGGTGCTTCCAGGTTATAAGTAGATAAGAAACAGAAGAGGTTACATTCTTTTGAGTCCTTGATCAACCTTCCACTGAATACACAATTTAGTCTAGCTCAGTGAATCTACATTTTTACATAAACAATAGGGCAGAAGAAGCAATCAGATATGCATTTGTTTCCGGTGAGCCTCAGAGGGATGGCTTTAAATTCTGTCTGTCCTTTGTCCACAAGGAATTTCCTTGTGTGAAAATTGTGAGGAAGGTATGTAGCTGTTTCTCTTTGTAGCTATCTTATTTAAGAATAGGATGGTGGCCTGGCATTGTGGCTTAGGCCTGTAATCCCAGCACTTTGGGAGGCCAAGGCGGGCAGATCACCTGAGGTCAGGAATTCGAGACCAGTCTGACCAATGTGGCGAAACCCTGTCTCTACTAAAAATACAAAAAAAATTAGCCAGGCGTGGTGGCACACCTGTAATCCCAGCTACTCAGGAGGCTGAGGCAGGAGATCGCTTAAACCTCGGAAGGGGAGGTTGCAGTGAGCCAAGATCACGCCACTGCACTCCAGCCTGGGCGACAGAGTGAGACTCTATTTCAAAAAAAAAAAAAAAAAGAAGAAAAGAATAAAATGGGGGACAGGTTTGCCTGACATTGTTCCCAGCTTGACTTTTTCCTTGGCTTAGTGATTTGGGAGTCCTAAGATTTATTTTCCTTTCACACTTCTCGCGTGCAGAATATATCCACCCCATCCCAGCAGCCCAAATGTCTTCACTCATTCCAGCATTAATTCCAAGTCTGAAGTGTCATCTAAATTTCATCTGTATTAGATATGGGTGAGACTTGAAGTTTGTTTCATCCTGAGGCAAAATTCCTCTCAGCTTCCAAATACAATGTGGTGGGAAAGGCATAGGATAGACGTGCTGATTCCAAAAGAGAGATACTGAAAAGAACAAGGTGACAGTCCCCAAAAGTGCAAAACCTAGCAAGGCAAATTCCATCAGATCTTAATGCTCTACAACAATCTTCTTTGGCTGGATATTCTGCCCTGTAGGCCCACTGGGTCAGCAGTGTCACCCCCACAGCACCAGGCAGTGGCCAGCACCATAGCTCTTTGTCACAGTCCCCCACCCCAAGGCACTGGGCAGGGGCAGCCTGGCCTGCTCAAGAGAAGGAGACTCCACCCTTTCACTCCCTGCCTCCCCAACAGCCCGCTGTGGTGGGAGTGGCAACCCTGATGATCTGTGAATCATTTTTCTTAAAGAATGAAGCGAGCTGTATTGTCCTGTCCCGTAGAACAAAATTCTAAAAGCCTTCCTTTGTTTCATCCTGTCTTTATTCCTTTTGGTCTAAATTGGCAATGTCTTTGCTGGTAAAACCCATCTCTATTTCTGACTTCTAATGAGATGGCTGACTAGCTCCATGGGTTATTGTCCAGCCACACCCTTAGTGTCCTCTCCAGAAAATCCTTTTTTATTTTTTGCAATATGAATAGGCCAATAATTTTCCAAATCTTCAAGTTCTGTTTCCTTTTTGCTTAGCAATTCCTTCCATTTATCTCCATCCACTCACATTTTACATAAGTACCGAGGAGAAGCCAGGCCTCATCTTCAACACTTTGGAAATCTCTGCAGCTAAATATTTAAGTTCATCACTTGCAATTTCTACTTTCCACAAAACACTAGAACACAATTGGTGGTGGAGAAAACACAAACTCAAAGTGCTTTTTCCTCTTCTCTCACTCAACACAACAACAATCAACAGAGAAGACTTCTGTGATCAAAGATGTGGGGGCTTTCCCCACACACCAAGCAGCAGTGAATTTAGACACTATAGATAGCATCAGATCCCACAGGTTGAGGTCTCAGTTTCCAAGACTGGGCCCCCTTCAGACACCAGACGTGTGTTCTTCCAGAACTTCTGACCAACTGGCTTCCAGTTGGGGTTCCCAGGACACCTCTTTGGGTTCAATTAGTTTACCAGAGCAGCTCACAGAACTCGGAGAAGCACTTGTTAACATGAACCCAGCAAGGCCTGTGTCTTCAGATTCTTCTTGACCTCTCTGTGCAACATTCCTTCCTCAACAGTATGTGGCAGCTTGCT